>NC_000001.11:61372016-61675047 GCF_000001405.40 Homo sapiens | reverse complement strand
ATATAGTTGTTATGTTCAAAGTGAGTTTCTTATAGGCGGTTATATTGTTGGATCATTTTTCCCCTATTCTGCTAATCTCTGTCTTTTAATTAGTGTATTTAGGCCACTTGCATTTAAATTAATTATTGATATATTGAGGCTTAAGTTTGCCATGTTATTACTTCTTTACTGTTTCCTCCCTCTGTTTTTCATTCTTCTGTTTTTCCTTTTTGCCTTCTGGGCATTACTTGAACTTTGAAAAAATTAATTTTCCTCTATGATGCTTTCGAGCATATTGCCCCACATAATTTTTTTTAGTGATCTCTCTAGACATTGCAATATAAATACATAACTTATCACCGTCTACTGGTGTCAACACTTTGCCTCTTTAAGTGTTGAAAGCTTACTTCCATTTAGGTCCCTTTGTGCTTCCCACTTCTAAAATACAATTGTCTCAAGTATTTCCTCTACATATATTGAGCACCACCACATCAGATAGTGTTACAAATTTTGCCTCACTTAGTAGCACCTGTAGGCTATTTAAAAAAATTTTTGTCTGGGTGCGGTGGCTCATACCTGTAATCTCAGCTACTCCAGGGGCTGAGGCAAGAGAATCACTTGAATCCAGGAGGCGGAGGCTGCAGGGAGTCGAGATCATGCTACACTGCACTCCAGCCTGGGAGACAGAGTGAGTAAGACTCAGCCTCAAGTAAACAAAAAAATTTTGCTTCACCTACCAAATATGATGTAAGAAACTTATGAAGGGAAGTTAGTCTGCTATATTTACCCAATATTTATCCATTCTGTTCTTGTTCTTTTAATTTCCAAAGTTCCCAGCCTTATCCTGTTACTTTCTTTCTGTTTGGAGAGTTTACTTTAGCTATTCTTCAAGGGTGAGTTTAATGGCAACTAAGTTTCTTAGTTTTCCTTCATGTGTGAATATCTTTATTCCCCTTCCGTTTCTGAAGGATAATGTCACCAGATATAGGATGCATAACTGAAAGTTCTTTTCTTTCAGCACTTGAAAAGTGTTGTGTCATTTCTTCCTGGCCTTTACAGTTTCAGATGAAAAACCCATCCTCTAAATTGGTGTTCCTCTACAGGCAGTGCATCATTTCTCTCTGGCCTTATTTTTTTTCTTTGGTTTTCAGAAGTTTAATTATGATGTACCTTGGTCAGAAGAAGAAATGTAACAGCAGACACAGAGGTCACAGTGATGTGATTACTGCTTGGAAGGTGGAAGGAGGCCATGAGCCAAGGAATGCAACTGGCCTCTAGAAGGAAGCTCAGAAAGGCAAGGAAACAGATTCTCCCATAGGTGCCTCCAGAAGGACACAGCCTTATAACACTTTCTCCTGAGCTCCTTGAGACTCATTTTGAAATTCTGTACCTCCAGAACTATAAGATAATAAATTTGTGTTGTTTTAAGGCACTAAATTTCTGGTGGTCTGGAGCAGCAATGATGGGAAACAAATATAGGCCTCAAAACCTCCTTTCACATATGGCCACTTATGTGGACAACGGAGTCAAACTTTCTTGGTTCAGATTCTACCCTCTGCCTCTTAGTGTGCTGTGTGACCTTGGACAAGATACTTCATCTCTCTGAGCCTGTTTCCTCATCTATCAATAGGGAATGAAGTAATAATACCAAACTACCCATTAACATGTCTGTTTCTATTTCCTCGGGACCTATATGTAACATTTTCAAAATTGTTCTCATCTGCTTTTTTTTCCCTTAAATAATAGACTTTATTATTTAGAGCAGTTTTAGGTTCATAGCAAAATTTAGTAGAAAGTACAAAGATTTTCCACTATCCCCACACATGCATACCCCTCTCCCACCACTATCAAGATCCTTACTACAGTGGTATATTTATTACAGTCGATAAGCCTACATCGACACATCATTATCACCCAGAGTCCATAGTTTACATGAGGGTTCACTCTTGGTGTATATTCTGTGGTTTTGGACAAATGTATAATGACATGGAGTCACTATTACAGTGTCATATAGAAATAGTTTCATTGCCCTTAACATCCTCTGTGCTCTGCTTATTCATCCCTCCCCACCCCCACTCCTGGCAATCACTGATTTTTTTACTATCTCCATAGTTTGGCTTTTCAAGAATGTTATACAGTTGGAATCATATAGTATGTAGGCTTTTCAGACTGGCTCCTTTCACTTAGTAATATGCATTTAAGTTTCTTTCATGTCTTTTCACAGCTTGACAACTCAGTTCCCTTTATCACTGAATAATACTTCACTGACTGGATGTACCACAGTTTATTTTCCATTCACCTACTGAAGGACATCTTGGTTGCTTCCAAGTTTTGGCAATTATGAATAAAGCTGCTATAGACGTCTATGTGCAGGTTTTTGTGTGGACATAAATTTTCAACTCCTTTGAGTAAATACCAAGGAGTGTGATTGCTGAATCATATGGTAAGAACAAGTTTAGTTTTGTAAGAAACTGCCAATCTGTCTTCCAGAATATCTGTACCATTTTGCATTCCCATGAGCAATGAATGAGAGTTCCTGTTGCTACACATCCTCTCCAGAATTTGGTGGTGTCAGTGTGCTGGATTTTGGCTATTCTCACAGGCATGTAGGGGTATCTCATGGTCATTTTAATTTGCGTTTCGCTGATTACATATGATGTAGAGCATCTTTTCGTATGCCTGTATGTCATCTGTATACTTCTTTGGTAAGATGTCTATTATGGTCTTTGGCCCATTTTTTATTCACGTTTTCTGATTTTTATATTTTTTAGAGGTAGGGTTTCACTCTATTGTCCAGGCTGGAGTGCAGTGGCATGATCATAGTTCACTGTAAACTCCAGCCCCTGGGCTCAAGCAATCCAAGCAATCCTCCCACCTCACACTCCCAAATAGCTAGGACTACAGGCATGAGCCACTGTGCCTAGCTAATTTTTTCTCTTTTCTTTTTCTTTCGTTTTTTTTTTTTGAGACGGAGTCTCGTTCTTTCGCCCAGGCTAGAGTGCAGTGGCACAATCTCGGCTCACTGCAACCTCTGCCTCCCAGGTTCAAGCAATTCTCTGCCTCAGCCTCCTGAGTAGCTAGGATTACAGGCACCTGCCACCACGCCCAGCTAATTTTTGTATTTTTAGTAGAGATGGGGTTTCACCATCCTGGCCAGGCTGGTCTTGAGCTCTTGACCTCGGGATCCACCCGCCTTGGCCTCCCAAAGTGCTGGGATTACAGGCATGAGCCACCGCGCCTGGCCTAAATTTTTTATTTTCTTGTAGAGAAGGGGTCTCACTATGTTGCCCAGGCTGGTTTCAAACTGGCCTCAAGAGATTCCCCTGCCTTGGCCTCCCAAAGTGCTGGGATTACAGGCATGAGCCACTGCGCCTGGCCCCTATTTTCTTGTTGTTGAGTTTAAAAGGTTTTTTTGTATATTTTGTGTAACAGTTCTTTATCAAATATGTCTTTTGCAAATATTTTCCCCCAGTCTGTGGTTTGTCTTTTCATTCTCTTGGCAGTAACCTTTGCAGAGCAGATATTTTGAATTTTAATGATGTCCAGCTTATGAATTATGTCTTTCATGAATGGTGCCTTTGGTGTTGTATCTAAAAAGTCATTACCAGACCCAAGAGCATCTAGATTTTCTCCTATGTTTTCTTCTAGGAGTTTTATAGCTTTGTGTCTCACATTTAGGTTTGTGATTCATTTTGAGTTAATTATCGTGGAGGGTGTAAAGTCTGCATGTAAATTCACTTTTTCTATGTGGATATCCAGTTGTCCCAGCACCAGTGGTTGAAAACTCATCCTCATTTTTAAACTTATTTCCCCCTTATTCATTATGACAGGGGAAATAGCAGCACGTCCACCAAGAAAGAAGCCCAGAAGTTATCTTTGATGCCATTTTCTCCCTTCCTTGGGTGGATCACCAAACCTTTAATTCCACCTCATAAATACTCTGAAATCATTACTTCATCCTCATTGCAACCCTGCTATTTCAGGCTCCTGAATATCTCTCATCTAGGATCCTCTGATAAACTCCTGCCTTGGTTACCTGGCCAGAGCTCCACCTTCCTCTCCGTCACCCTTCCTACTCCTACCATACCAGACTGATGGTTCCGAAAAGAAAGCGATCATCTCTGTCTCTTGCTTAAAACCCTCAAGAAGCTACCTATGTCATTTAAGATAAAATCCAGATTCCTTTTTCTGGCTTAAAAGGTTTATCCTGATTGAGTCCCAGCCACCCTGCCCTGTCCCCTCACAGTGAGTACTTGGTCTGCTGACCCCTTGAGATGACTGGAATGTGCCCTGGTCTCTTTTAGCCTGAGAATTTTGCTTACTGCTGCTGCTTGTTCTGAAACTGCTCTGCTCACCTCCTTGGAAGGATTTCCTTCAGGTTCTTGAAGATGTGGTCGGAGGTTAGAAGTCCAAATCTGGTCTCAGTGGGCTAAAACAAAAGTATCAGCAGGGCTCTGTCCTTCCGGAGGCTGTAGGGGAGAATCTGTTTCCTTGCTTTTTCTAGTTCCTTTTTTTTTAAACTTTATAATTTCAACTTTTATTTCTGATTCAGGGGTACATGTGCAGGTTTGTTACATGAGTATATTGCATGATGCTGAGGTCTGGGTGCAATTGATCTGTCATCCAGGAAGTGAGCATAGTACTCAATAGGTAGTTTTTCCACCCTTGCCCTCCTCTCCCTCCCCACTCTAGTAGTTCCCAGTGTCCATTCTTGCCATCTTTATGTCCACGAGTACCTGAAGTTTAGCTCCCACTCATAAGTGAGAACATGTGGTATTTGATTTTCTGTTCCTGTGTTAATGCACTTAGGATAATGGCCTCCAGCTGCTTCCATGTTGCGCAAAGGACATGATTTCATTCCTTTTTATGGCTGTGTCCAGTTCCTCTTTAAATTGGGTTAGCTGCCTCTCCAGTCCTTTGTTAGTATCCTGTGCTTCCCGCTAGCATGGCACTGGTTAGATATTATGATAATCTCTTTTAAAAGCAATAACTACACTTATTTATTTATTTATTTTGAGATGGAGTCTTGCTCTGTCGCCCAGGCTGGAGTGCAGTGGTGCAATCTCGGCTCGTTGCAGCCTCTGCCTCCCTGGTTCAAGTGATTCTCCTGCCTCAGCCTCCTGAGTAGCTAGGACTGCAGGTGCATGCTACCAGGCCCAGCTAATTTTTGTATTTTTAGTAGAGACGGGGTTTCCCCGTGTTGGCCAGGCTAGTCTCGAACTCCTGCCCTCAGGTGATCCACCTGCCTCAGCCTCCCAAAGTGCTGGTATTACAGGTGTGAGCCACCGTGCCTGACCCCAAAAGCAAAGCTAAAATGAAGAGGCATGTTGTAACAGACACCTGTCTACTCAGCACTGAGATTAAATATATGTTAGTAATTTGCCATATTTATTTCAGATTTCTCTTATTTCTCTGAAGAAATACAAGCTTATAGACATAAGTAAAGTTTCACTCCTCCCAATCCTTTCTCTACCTTCCCTCCCTAGCGGTAAACACTACTTTGAAGCTGGTGTGGAGGTCTTTTTACTCATTTGTCTCCCTCACTAAACAGTTGGTGCCTTGAGGTGCCCTTTTGCTGGATTTCTCTATTCCAGATGCTTAGCACAGGGATTGTCAGTAAATGCTCATTGAACAGCTATCTGGTTGACTGAAACTAAGCCTCGGCTTGGCTGCTTTTAACTTTCCACCTTCTGAAGCAACGCTTTCCAATTTTTTTTTTTCAGACAGCTCTGCCTATTATTCTTACTTTAATGGAAACATGCTCCTTCTCAGAGAAGGGCTGAAATTATCATGGGGGCAAAAACAAAGAACATGAATTTTAGAATCAAACTGACTGGGTATGTGCCTGGCAGCAATTACTTAATCTCTCTGGATGTTTAATTTCCTCTTTTGTAAAAATGAAGCTTAATAATACTCATTTAGTTGGGATTTGTGAGTATTAAATTAAATAACAAATGTGAATATGCCCTTTAGGTGGAATAGGTGCTCCATAAATGTTACCATTCCAATAAAAATAATTAAGTATTTTATCTTCTTTCTTTCCTTCTTTCTCTCCTTTCTTCTTTCTCTTCTTTCCTTCCTTCCTTCCTTTCTTTTTTCCTTTTCTTTTTTTTTTTTTTTTGTTTTTTGAGATGGAGTCTCCCTCTGTCCCCCAGGCTGGAGTGCAGTGGCTCAGTCTCGACTCACTGCAACCTCCACCTCCTGGGTTCAAGTGATTCTCCTGCCTCAGCCTCCTGAGTAGCTAGGATTACAAATGCATGCCACCATGCCTGGCTAATTTTTTGTATTTTTAGTAGGGACGAGGTCTTGCCATTTTGGCCAGGCTAGTCTCTAACTCCTGACCTCAAGTGATTCACCACCCTCAGCTTCCCAAAGTGCAGGGATTACAGGTGTCAGCCACCCCAAAGTGCCGGGATTACAGGCGTGAGCCACTGCACCTGGCCTTCTTGTTTTTCTTTATCAGACTTTTTCCCCTGGCAGGCTTTGTGGAGTATTTTCTTTCTCCATTTTCATGTTTATTTGCGCCAAATATTCCTTCACTCATTCCTTTCCCCAGCCTGTAACGGACCTCCACTGTGCCTGTCCATAACTGAAGCACACTTCCAAGTCCGGCTCCATCCAGTCCTGAGGATTCCAGCTTTCTTCTCCCCTTTTCCTCATTAAATGTAGGTGGTAGATAATTTAGGATCTGTATTAGACTCTCTATAATCTGACGTTTATGTTAGAGTGGTCTTTTCCTTTCTATTTGTTCCTTGAGGGCCAGGACTGACTTATAGACCAAGACCATTTTTCACACCTCTCAGCACTAACATGGGAGATAGTATGACATGGAGTCAGATTGCCTGAGTTCAGATCCTTGTTTTGCCACTTGGTAGCTGTGATCTTGATCGAGTCACTTAGCTTTACTAAACCATGGTTTCCTTAGCTATAACTTGAGAATAATAATAAAACTTGTCTTTTCTTCTTCTTCTTCTTCTTCTTTTTTTTTTTTTTTGAGACAGGGTCGGGCTCTGTCACCCAGGCTGGAGTGGAGTGGTGTGATGTCAGCTCACTGTAACCACCACCTCCTGGTCTCAAGTCATCCTCCCACCTCAGCCTCCCAAGTAGCTGGAACTACAGGCATGGGCCACCACACCCAGCTAATTTTTGTATTTTTAGTAGAGATGGAGTTTTGCCTTATTGCTCAGGCTGGTCTCAAACTCCTGAGCTCAAGCGATCTGCCTGCCTTAGCCCTGGGATTACAGGTGTAAGCCATCACACCTGGCCAATACCTGTCTTATGGTCTCGTTTAGAGAATTAGAATAAGGCATGTCTGTAAAGCATCTTGTACTGCACTTCTCCCTAAGTTCTCAATACATGCTGGCTATCGTTTTGGTTATTGTCCATTACAAATGATTTATTGTATGGCCTCTTAATGTTAGCGCTACTTGTACTTATTTCCTGTTGCTGTTGTAACAAATTACCACAAACTTCCCTGGCTTCAAAAATACAAATTTATTATCTTACAGGTCTGGAGGTCAGAAGTCTAGAATGGGTCTAACTGAGCATGAAAGTGCCTTCAGGGCTGTGCCCTTCTGGAAGCGCTAGGGGAGAATCGGTTTCCTGGTCTTTTCCAGCTTCTATGGGACACTCACATTCCTTGGTTCATTGGCCACATATCACTCTGACCTCTGCTTCCATTGTCACATCTCTTTCACTGATTCTGACACTCCTGCCTCTCTCTTTCATTTATAAGAACACTTGTGATTACCTTGGGCCCACCCAGATAATCCAGGGTAATTTTCTCATCTCAAAATTCTTAATCACATCCGCAGTCTCTTTTGCCATGTAAGATAAGATACTTAAAAAAAAAAAAAGATATTCAGATGCTCTGGGCACTAGGATGTGGACACCCCTGGAGGGGGCCTTTATTCTGCTCGCTATACTAAAAGAGTAAAACTCATTCATTTATTCAACAAACATTTACTCATCACCTACTCTGTGTCGGGCCTTGCTTTAGTCCCTGGGGTTGCAAACACAAAAATAATATCTGGCCCTAATGCTGCTTTCATTCGAATGGAGAAACTGTCGGCAGTGGATCTATCTTATGATAGTGTTTCCAAAAATGTGGAAGGGAAATAAAAATATCTCATGTTTAACAGTTAACCAGGCCTTAGTGCTCTTTTGACTGATGGAGCAGCAGAAAATGAATGTAGCATAGTTCTTTCTTTTCGAGACAGGGTCTCACATTGTCTTTCAGGCTAGAGTGAAGTGGCATGATCATGGCTCACTGCAGCCTTGATCTCCTGAGCTCAAGCGAGTACCTAGAACCATAGGCATGTGCCACCACATCTGGCTAATTTTTAATTTTTTTGTAGAGACAGGGTCTCACTGTGTTCCCCAGGCTAGTGTCAAACTCCTGGGCTCAAGCAGTGCTCCCACCTCAGCCTCTCAAAGTGCTGACATTACAGGTGTGAACCACCACACCCCACCCTAGCATAGCTCTTGTTAGCTTGTGCATACCCCAGACTTCAGCATGTGAGTACACATCAATTGAATTGAGGTATTCTTAAAATTTCTCTTCCAATGAGAAACCAACAGAAACCAGACACACAATTTTCAAGTGAGAATGAGAACAGGAAAGACCAGTATTGCTTTTTATTTCTTTTTAACATGGAGGTTGTATGTGAGTAATTGCAAGCATTAGGGAGAATGGTTTACTTTGGACATCATCTACCCAATAGAGTAACCTTTTAAATTTACTTTCTAGCCATTGGAATAAACACACAGATTTTTTTCTTTACTTTTCTGCCATCCATGCTTTCAGTGATCAGTTTCCAGGATTATCAGAGGCATCATCTGATTTTATTCACAGGAATAGGAAATAAGAGAATGAACACAGGAATGGGAAGTACCTGACAGAATTCTTAGAGATATGGGTCTTGGTTGATAGGGCAAAATTAAGGAAAAGAGAGAAAACCAAAAATAGTATTTCCAAGTGTCAAATCAATCGTGCTTATTTGGGTCCCTTTTTCAGAAATGAACAAAAAATATCCTTCTCTAGACCCTGTATTTTCTACCTAATTCTACCTGGCTCCTTTGAATCCAAACTTTCCCTCCAACTTCTTTTCTTCTTCACAGTCTTCCTTCTATGTCATTGCCAAGCAGTGGGCTAATAACACCAGAAGGAAAAAAGCTAGAAAGGTTTTCCCTCTTTCCAAGTACCTGACAACATGTGACATTTTGGTTGTTGTTAGTTGGGGCCTGGATGTGTTTGTACTTTGCCTTCTTTAGCTCAGAAAGGACTGTTATGGCTGGAATGGGCTTCTTAAAATGCAAGAGGCTCACTCTATCTGGCCTTTTGCTTATTCATTATTTTAAAAGGTGGGACTGGGGGCTGGGTGCAGTGGCTCATGCTTGTAATCCCTCAGCACTTCGGGATGCTGAGGCGGGCGGATCACCTGAGGTCAAGAGTTTGAGGCTAGTCTGGCCAACATGGTGAAACCCTGTCTCTACTAAAAATACAAAAATTAGCCGGGTGTAGTGGCTAACGCCTGTAGTCCCAGCTACTTGGGAGGCTGAGGCAGTAGACTTGCTTGAACCTGGGAGGCAGAGGTTGCAGTGAGCTGAGATCGGGCCACCACACTCCAGCTTGGGCAAAAGAGCAAGACTACATCTCAGAAAAAAAAAAAAAAAAAAAAAAAAAAGATTGGAACTTCGTTGAGTCACTTTGGCTTGTAGAGCTCACACAGCTCATTTGTGAAGGTTACACTAACATTCTCTCATTCAACAAATACTTATTGGGGATCTACTATGTGAAAAATAGGGGCAGTAGAGTGGGAAGTAGGGAAGGGAAGTAGCATCTGAGCTTCAATCTGTACATGCACTATGACCTTTGACGCTATTTAATTTGCCTAAAAAGTATAATTCATACTCAGACTTACGGAAACTGCATGAAAAACTGGTTTCCTCATCCATGCCACTTCCAACTGCCTATCTGTAGCACTGTGTTGAAAAGGATTGTAAGGCTTAGCTCAAGCGTCATGGGAATAAGAGGTGGGATCAATAAATAATGTTTGCTATGTGTGAGAATGGTGACACATAGGCTGTGTAAATTTTCATTTATTCATTAAACTCTTCCTAAATACCAACCATACACTTAGAACCATGAAGGCCTATGTCGATGTAAATGCAGTACAAGCTAATATATGACTAATGCCAGTGGAGGGCCACAAACACATTGTACCAAAGAAGCATAGAGAAATTGCTCTAGAATAGTCAGAGAAGGGATCAAGGAATAGCAGTTACATGAACTGAGCCTCGTGTATCAGTCAAGGTTTGATCAGGTAAGCAGAACCACTATGAGTGTTATGAATGAGGAACTGATTATAACAATTAGATATTACATAATTGTGGAAGCATCTGGGGAAACAAGGTCGAGAAAGGAAAGCTGGAAGATCAGATATCAAATTGCTACTTATTACTTTTTATTTCTTTTTAGCATGGAGGTTGTATGTGAGTAATTGCAAGGATTAGGGAGAATGGTTTACTTTGGCCATCATCTACCCAATAGAGTAAACTTTTAAATTTACTTTCTACCCATTGGAATAAACACACAGATTTTTTTTCTTTTCTTTTCTGCCATCCATGCTTTCAATGATCAGAAACACTGCCATGGGTGGATGAGTGGGAGCTTGCAAGGGAAATCTGGGAAGCCACAGGTATCTAGCTCTGGGGTGGGACTACCATAGAGAACTGATGGAGAAGCCAATAGAAGGTTGTTGACTCTGCATCTGGTGATGGGTGCGGGGAGTTGGTGTGGTCATCAGGGCCAGCAGTCAGGTAGGAGAGCTGCTCTCAGAACACTGAGATTCGAGGACCAGTTTGAACTTGTTAACCCCTTTGTTTATGTCTCTCACCACATCTAATCAGGAGGTTCTTTCCAGAACTCTTGCAAATTTCTCTTTTGGTCAACTTAAACCTGGAATCATACAGGAAAAGAGATCCTGGAAAATGTGGTTCCAGCTTAACCAAGTTGACACAGTTCAAAACCATCACACCTTGAAAAGCGGGACAGGCCGGGCATGGTGGCTCACGCCTGTAATCCCAGCACTTTGGGAAGCTGAGGCAGGCAGATCACTTGAGGTCAGGAGTCCGAGACCAGCCTGGCCAACATGGTGAAACCCCGTCTCTACTAAAAATACAAAAATTAGCCAGGTGTAGTGGCTTGTGCCTGTAGTCCCAGCTACTCAGGAAGCTGAGGCAGGAGGATTGCTTGAGGCCAGGAGGTGGAGGTTGCGGTGAGCCGAGAGCGTACCACTGCAATCCAGCCTGGGCGGCGGGAGAGAAACCCTGTCTCAAAAAAAAAAAAAAGAAAAGAAAAAGTGAGACAAATTTGCATAAAGGAAGAAGGAGTGAACATAGCATGTGGGGAAGTCTTGTGAGCAAAGGCTTGCAGGTAGGAATGAATAAGTTAGTATTTAGGAAACCATGAGTGGAGGTCTCATGCTGGGACATAGTGGAAGATAAGATTGGAAGCAAAGGTTGGAGACATTACTTAATTCACTTATTCAACAATTATTCACTGAACACATTATCTATGGGGCGCTGTACTGGGTTCTAGGGGCATCGTGATGCATAAAAGAGCCAGATTTTGGAAGATTTTGAATGTTAGACTAACATTCTTGTTCAGTTTTTGATCCACCTGTTGAGAAATAATAGACTCTTCCATTTGGAACAATTGGTCAGTTGAATTTCTGTCCTTAGTTCAAGTCAACCAGCACTTAATTAAACTCAATTTAAGCTCCTTCTCTGTGCAAGCTCCTTGCAGGCACACGATCATTGTCCTTTCAATGGTGAAATACGGCTGCACCTGATAATATTGATTAGAGCAGAAATACTGAGTCACTTCTTTTCCTGCCAGTTTTCTAGAATGATTTGTGCCCACATTTTGCTTTATACCATGATGCTGTCCTTCCAAATAAAAGCCCTTTATTAGGCACTTAAGTGAGCCAAAACAACATGCAGATTAAATGACTTAAAATCGCAAATTTTGGCCGGATGAGGTGGCTCATGCCTGTAATCCTGGCACTTTAGGAGGCCGAGGTGGGCAGATCGCTCGAGCTCAGGAGTTCGAGACCAGCCAGGGCAACATAGCCAGACCTCATCACTACTAAAAATTAAAAAAAGAAAAAATCAGCTAGGCATACTGGTGCATGCCTGTCATCCTAGCTACTTGGGAGGCTGAGGTGGGAGGATTGCTTGAGCCCTGGAGATTGAGGCTGCGGTGAGCCATGATTGTGCTATTGCACTCTAGCCTAGGTAACAGAGCAAGACTCTGTCTCAAAATAAATAAATAAATAAATAAAATAAAATAAAATAAAATAAAATAAAATAAAATAAAATAAAGGGCCAGGCATGGTGGCTCACGCCTGTAATCCCAACACTTTGGGAGGCTGAGGTGGGTGGATCACCTGAGGTTGGGAGTTCGAGACCAGTCTAACCAACATAGAGAAACCCCGTTGCTACTAAAAATACAAAATTAGTGGGGCGTGGTGGCGCATGCCTGTAATCCCAGCTACTCGGGAGGCTGAGGCAGGAGAATTGCTTCAACCCGGGAGGCAGAGGTTGCAGTGAGCCGAGATCGTGCCATTGCACTCCAGCCTGGGCAACAAGAGTGAAGCTCCGTCTCAAAAAAAACAAAACAAAACAACCCCAAACCCCCCAAAAAACAAATTTTTGTTGAAACAAACATTATTTCAGTATTCTGTGAAAATGTTGATGCATAACTCATATTAGTCCATCTTGGATAATACGTGAGTTCTGTGCTAGCAAATTGTAACACAACTCAGCATTGTGCCTCATGTTATGCATATGAGATCTCACTGAAACCTCGCAAAAGCCCTAGAAGGTAGATTATATTATTGACCCCATTTTGTGGGAAAAGGAAAGCCAGACTTAATGAGATTAAGTAACTTTCCCAGGATTATATAGTTAGAGGCTGAACTAGGAATCATCTCTTCTTCACCGTTCCGCAGCCAATAAATGAGCAGTCAACTACTCTGTAATTTGGCAGCTAGTGACTTAGATACTCCTCCAGGTGATTCAGGAAGAATAATATATACGCAGGAAAGGTGTCTAAAAAATATGACTCTTAGTGTTAATAGACACAAGTTGAGAATAAAGCACCTGTAGAGGAAATCTGCAAAGAGCAGTGGGAAACTGAAGTCTTTCGGCTGCATTCCAATAGCGCAAATTGGCATTTGAGCATTTCCTCCATATTCCAAGATGCAGGCACCTGCATGTCAAAATCTTCCTTGGGATATTTGGATAGTTTTGAGCATTGTATGGTGGGTACTTTTTTCTTCAAAACTAGCCCCTAAGCTTATTGCTGGATAATGTGTATGTGCTGCCATTTCTGCTAAATAAGCAACATAATGAGGATCCCACTGAAGGACACGTGTGCATGTGTGTATGAGAAAGAGCACTGAATCTTTACAGAGTGAGAACCGAAACAAAACCAAGGACAATATCTAATCTTTGAAGAGTTTGCCGCAGGGTCAGTACCATTTCTTCCATTTCATTTCTATTTTACCACTTTCTGTGGCCCAGATCTTTTCTGAAGTGTTTCTATCAGCTTGGTGGACTCTTTATATTCCTTGATACAATGCACATTATCCTCACTCTGCTGCATCTCGTAATAGGTTTCTACATTAATTTGTAGGTTATCAAGCAGTGTTGCATTTAACCCTCATAACAGCTTAATGTGGTAGACAAAACCAAGGCCTAGAGAGACGAAAAGACTTGCTGATATAATTTGGCTATGTCCCCACCCAAATCTCATCTTGAATTGCAGCTCCCATAATCCCCATGTGTCGTTGGAGGGACCCTGTGGGAGGTGGGATTTCCCATGCTGTTCTTGTGATAGTGAATAAGTCTCATGAGATCTGATGGTTTTATAGAGGGCAGTTCCCCCTGCACACCCTCTCTTGCCTGCCTCCATGTAAGACATGGCTTTCTTCCTCCTTTGCCTTCCACCATGATTTTGAGGCCTCCCCAGCCATGTGGAACTGTGAGTCAATTAAACCTCTTTTTTTTTTTTTTTTTGAGACGGAGTCTCACTGTATCACCCAGGCTGGAGTGCAGTGGTGCGATCTCGGCTCACTGCAAACTCTGCCTCCCGGGTTCACGCCATTCTCCTGCCTCAGCCTCCCAAGTAGCTGGGACTACAGGCGCCCGCCACTACGCCCGGCTAATTTTTTTGTATTTTTTTAGTAGAAATGGGGTTTCACCATGTTAGCCAGGATGGTCTCAATCTCCTGACTTCGTGATCCGCCTGCCTTGGCCTCCCAAAGTGCTGGGGTTACAGGCGTGAGCCACCGCACCCGGCCTAAACCTCTTTCTTTTATAAATAATCCAGTCTTGGGTATGTCTTTATTAGCAGCGTGAGAACAGACTAATACACTTGCTCAGCTAGTTCTTGGTAGAACCAAATAGCTGCTGCTTTTTCTGGTCTGCCTTATCAGTAATGTCAGTCCTGGGAAGGAGAGCACCATGGTTAGGAGTCAGAGTTTTTACTTTTTAATCACACTTCCGTATGATGACATCCTGTTTTCTTTTGGACTCATTTTAATTAGTTCTGGGATGGGGACTGCATGCAGTGGTTGTGGTGTGGGGGAGAGGTTATACAGGAATCCAGGGCACAAGGTCTATGCCCAGTGGTTTGCCTTCTTCACAGCACAGACCATCCAAACCAAATGTGACAAATGGGCAGAATCTCATAAGTATTCCAGCTCTTCACTGCCCTAGTTTGATTACATTGTCCTGGATGGCATTTGGAACTCAGTTCAGGGTGCGTATAGTTGAATTATGCAATTTGCTGATATGCAATTAACTGGAGTAGCAACACATTCAATCTAATGGGGGCCAGACAGAGACTGCATAATTCTTAGGAGCACAAGCTGATTATGCAGTTAAGTGATATGCACTTAAGAGAAGTGCGCCACATCTATCTGATCCCATTTCTTCCAATAGATTCCTCACAGCACTTTACCCTAGCCTTTCTGCTTTTATGGTCAAACATACTGTAACCTGTATCTACTTGAAATGAGAACCTTACAGTTCGTATGTAGATTTGGGATTCATTTCTTTAAAAAAAAATCAATCTTTTAAAATCTTAACTCTTGGATACACAAATGGGTAGGCAAATGAGAAAAGAAAGGGGCAAACCTGAGGTTCAGCATGTCTTGGTCTCAGGGATAGGAAACAACACCGGAATTGTGCAATTTAGGATGCTTCATTTTTAGTTTCTTTTCTCTCTCTTTTTTTTTTGTTTGGTTAGGAGGTTGTTTCAAATGCAAACGTGAGGTGCATGAAAATATTTCTTTTTAAAAGCAAAGGACTTTGCACTCAGTATTTTTTAACTTGAAAATGGATATGGTAGAAAGGCAGTCCTTTTATGACAAACTTCAATTAAATGACAGTTCATTTGGGAGAGCCAGTTTTAAGTTATTCTCATAATGATGGATTGTTAATTTAATTTGGCAGGTTTTACTGTTTCACTGTATGCTTGCTGCATGCCCTGGATTGACCTAAATCCTTTGGGAGACCCCAAGAAATATAAAATATGGCTGCTTATCTTCAGCCTTCTTGGGAGGTCATGACCCATGCTTACAAAGCAATTGAAGAACAATGAAACATAGCATATTATTAGGTGTCAAAAATGGTTGTTAACGAGACTAACAGGTAAAAGAAATCAGAGAAAACTGGGCTAGAGTTTTTCATCACTAGAGGGAGACAGGGAGAAGCAAGAGTTAGTGCTTCACTTAGATCGATCAAAACAACTCTGTAAGGGTATTACTATCCCCCATTTACAGATGAAAAAACTAAGGCCCAAGGATGTTAGGGAACTTGTACATGATCCACAGGTAGCAGGAAATGGAGTCAGAATTTAGAATTAGGTTTATCTGTCTCCACAATTCCTTTTTGGAAGTTTTAAGCAAGAGGCCATGGCAGATAGGCTGTGGAGGATTCAGACATCTGCCAGGAGAATTAACTGTGTGACCATCATGGTCCCACCCAGCCTTGGGGTCCTGTGGTCTGGAAAGATTTCAAGAAGCAGGTGGGAGTTGTGGTCTCAGTTTTGGGGGAACTGTTTCTTATCTAGGAGAAGAGATGCCAGCCTTGTAGATGCAGATTTTCCTGGGTTGAATAGATTTTTACAAGTTCAGCGAAATCAAATGTGGTGATTGAGAAAAGAACAGAGTAACCCAGCATTTGTGACTGGTTTGGTGGGTCAACAAGAGAGAATGACAAAGATTATTGTCATCAAATAGCCTTTCCTGAGAGGGCCACATAGTCATCAAATTCCCTTTCCCTAAAGGAAAATCTGCTCATGGCCCACCAAGAATGGGGAGCCAGATACGACTGGGGCCAGCTGGGACTGAATTGGTCCCTGCCTTTTAGATTTGCATCAAAATTACTTGATACCCCTGCTCAGGATTTCACAAAACTGCAATCAGGTAGCCAGGGCTGTATTCTCATCTGGAAGCTTGACTGGGAAAGACGACTTTTAAGATTATTCAGATTGTTGACAAAATTCAGTTCCTTGCAGCTATAAGACTCATGGTGGCCTACTTCTTCAGTGTCAGTATACTTTTGGAGAGCATTTTATAATTTGCAAATGCTTTTTCATTCTAAAATTAAGCACAAATATGCTCCTTCCATTGTCATCTAAGGAGTCCACCATTCAAACAGCTGCCCAAACTGAAATTCTGAAAGTTACCCTTGATTCCTCTCAATTCCTCAATTCATTAGCAAGTCGTATGGGCTACACCTCCAGAATAAATCCTGACTCCAATAACTAGTTTCCACTTCATAGTCACTACCATTAACCAAGCCACCACCATCTTATCTAGCCTAATGCAACTACTTTCTTGCTTTGTTGTCGTTGTTTGTTCTTGTTTTTTTTTTTTTAGAGACAACGTCTTTCTCTGTCACCCAGGTTAGAGTGCAGTGGCACAATCACAGCTCACTGCAGCCCCAACCTCCCAGGCTCAAGCAAACTTCCCACCTTTGCCTCCCTTTGCAGCTAGGACTACAGATGCACACCACCACGCCTGACTACTTTTTTTAGTTTCTGAAGAGATAGGGTCTCACTACGTTGCCCAGACTGACCTTGAACTCCCGGGCTCAAGTAATCCAACAACCTCAGCCTCCCAAAATGCTGAGATTACAGGTATAAGCCGCTGCGCCCAGCCTGCAACCACCTCCTTACTGCTCTCCCCACTTTCCCTCTAGTCCCACCAAATCCATTCTCTACAGAGCAGCCAGGGAAGTGTATAAAATATGAAAATAAGATCATCACTTTGGCCAGGTGCAGTGGCCCATGCCTGTAATCCCAGCATTTTGGGAGGCTGAGGCAGGCGGATCACCTGAGGTCAGGAATTCGAGGCCAGCCTGGCCAACATGGTGAAACCCCGTCTCTACTAAAAAAAATACAAAAAATACATAAAATTAGCTGGGCATGATGGCAGGTGCCTCTAATCCCAGCTACTCAGGAGGCTGAGGCAGGAGAATAGCTTGAACCCGGGAGGCAGAGGTTGCAGTGAGCCAAGATCATGCCTCTGCACTCCAGCCTGTGCAACAGAGTGAAACGCTGTCAAAAAAAAAAAAAAAAAATCATCACTTTCTTATTCAAAACCTTCCTCACAGCTTCTCATTGGGATTACAAAAAAAATCTAATTCCAGTTCCTTCATGATCTGGTCCCTGCTTGCCTCTGTGATTTTATCTCCTACTCTCCCCCTTGGTCATCATGTTTTGGCCATGCTGGGTGCCTTCTTTTCCACAAATATAAGATGACCTGTCTGACTCACAATTTTTGCACTTACTTTTCTGTCCAACTGGAATTCACTGTCCCTAGACCTGCACATGGCTGGCTACTTTTCATGGTTCAGTTATCAGTTTGAAGTCATCACTTTACAGAGAACATCTCTGGCTGCTTTTAGGCAAAGTAACAACCACCTCTGAACTTAAAATCGCCCTTCGTCCCATCACTCAGTTTCCTTTTTCTCATAGCACGTGTTACTGTCCAAAAATAACTTCTTCCTTCTTTCCCTTTCTCCTTTCCTCCTTCTCTTTCTGCCCCCATTCTTTCTCCCCCCATTTACTTATATATCTATTTTCTTTTTCTTTTCTTTTTTTTTGAGACGAAGTCTCCCTCTTGTTGCCCAGGCTGGAGTGCAATGGCATGATCTCAGCTCACTGCAACCTCCACCTCCTGGGTCCAAGTGATTCTTCTGCCTCAGCCTCCCGAGTAGCTAGGATTACAGGTGCCTGCCACCATGCCTGGCTAATTTTTTTTTGTTTGTTTGTTTTTTGTATTTTTAGTAGAGACAGGGTATCTCCATGTTGGCCAGGCTGGTCTCGAACTCCTGATCTCAGGCGATCCACCCGCCTTGGCCTCCCAAAGTGCTGGGATTACAGGCGTGAGCCAATGTGCCTGGCTCTTTTTTTTTTTTTGAGGCAGCGTTTTGCTCTTGTTGTCCAGGCTGGAGTGCAATGGCATGATCTCAGCTCACTGCAACCTCCGCCTCCCAGGTTCAAGCCATTCTCCTGCCTCAGCCTCCCGAGTAGCTGGGATTACAGGCATGCACCACCACGCCCGGCTAATTTTTTGTATTTTTGTATTTTGTATTTTTAGTAGAGACGGGGTTTCACCATGTTGGTGAAGCTGGTCTCGAACTCCTGACCTCAGGTGATCCACCCACCTCGGCCTCCCAAAGTGCTGGGATTACAGGCATGAGCCACCATGCCCGGTGGCTATTTTTTACATGAATATTGCCTTGTCTTCTTTCTAGAAAATATGCTCCATGAGGAACTTTCAGCACTGTGCCTGGCACATAATAGATATTCAGTAAGAACTTATGGGATAAATAAATGAACCTTGTAAGGAGGACATTAAAGGGGTTATTAATTTCCATTTTAATTAGAAATATTAGGTCACTTTCCCAAAGTCAGAATATTGTATGGTGTTTCCCCATGAGTCCTCCAAAGACTGGGACCATGTTTTCTACATTTTTGTTGCCCCAGCAGTCACTGGTATGTAGTGCCAAGGAAGAGGATAAAGCAGTAGTTAGTGAATTGGAATCCTGACTGCTCTACTGTGTGTTACCTTGGGCAGGTTATTAAACTTCTCTGTGGCACGATTTCTTCATATGTAAAATGGGGATAAAAATAGTACTTGCCTTATAGGGTTATGAAAATCAATTCAATTCATATAGGTAAAGCTCGTAGCTCAGTGGTTGACACATATGAAGGGCAATAGATGTTCTTCTTCACTCACTTTTGCCTCCCTTTTCTTTTTCTAGGCATTTAATTAATATTTGCATTAAATTGTTGACCTTTCTATAGTTTTCAAACTGTTTTAATGAGTCATCGTATTTCTTTTCAGTTTCTCTAATCCCAAGCAGGGCTTCTTTCTTGACTTCAATCACTCACTCCTTGAAAGGTAGCAATGTTGCCTTAACTGAAAAGGTTAAGTAACCCTCTCCCTTTTTTTTTTTTTTTTTTAATTTTATTTGTATCTGCCTTGGCCATGTACATAGACACCCAACGGCCCCTTCTCCCAGCCTGGGGAAGGGGTGGTGGATTCTGGAGGAAGTAGACATCAGAGTGAGGACACAAAGTTCAACAGAAGCTGCTGCTCCCCTCAGCAAGGGGCATCTGTGTGAGCGGGGACTTGTACCCTCTGCTCTTCCTCCCTACCAGGCCATCTGCGAATCTGCATGCGTTCTCCTATTTGACTCAGGTCACTCTTCCCTCTCCCCATGGACTAGCTATGAGCAGGAGACACAACCTCTTCTCTTGTGTGTTTCAGCTTCTTTTCCTGCTCTTCCCATCCCTTAAATTCTATTCCTGGGGATAGAGACATGAATACCCATAACCTCTCTCCTAAGCCTCCTCATAATCCAGGGTGCCACATCCAGACTCTCGACAACTGGTAAGGCCAGCGACCTGGAAGCTCATCACAGCAGGCTATGTGTGAAGGTAGGACAGTAGACATGAGTGTTTATCTGTGTAAGGCAGGACTGCCACCATGGCAGGGTGTGGGGAGCCACGGGGCTCTGGGGGTGTGTCTGAAAGTGGGGGCAGAAAGGTTCAGGAAGCCAAAGACATGGGCTTATTTATAGTAGAAGTCCACGTGGGCTCCAGGCTTGAACACCCCCTTTTGCAGCGAGCTCAGCCGTTTCTGGGCTGACACCCTGCAATCCACCAGCTCTCCCTTTGCCTTCAGCTCCTGCAGCCTTTTCGCATGTCTGGGTCCATGGAGGTCTACCGGGCTAACCTCCGGGACACGTCTGTGTCCACAGGACCTGGGGCCTAATTCGGCACCCTCACATTAGGTTCCTCCGACGCCAGGACCTCAACAGAATGTTACCAGCAGCCTTTCCCGCACAGCACAGCGCTCAGCCTTTGAAGGGCTGCAGGGCACAGAGGGTTGAGATGTTAACCACAGTTCTGTTGAGGCCAGGACTGGTTGGTAAGGCCTTCGAGACGCTGCAAGTCCGGCAGAGAGAGCATGGAGGTCAAGTTCAGCGCCCAGTCTTTGTTCACTTGAGTGGAGTCACCCAGGTCCACGAAGCCTTTGGACACATCCCCAGGAGAGCCCGCGTTGTTGATGAAGAGCAGTTGCTGCAGCTCCTCGGTCCTGGGGAGCTGACGCAAGGCCCCAAGCAGCGGGCTGCAAGCCAGCCTCGGCGCCCAGGTCTGCGGGCACCCGCACGACGCGCAAGTCAGACCGCCCGGCGCCCAGCTCGGCCTCCAGCTGCCGCAGCGCATCGTCGTTGCGGGCGTTGAGGACCAGCATGCAGCTCGGCGACAGCAGCGAGGCCAGGAGGCCCAGGTCAGCACAAATACAGCACGCTCCAGGCCGCCCTCCATGCCGCAGTCCTAATCATGAACTAAGTCCCTGATAAAGGGGGAGGGGGAAAGGAGCCGCCAAGGCTGGATAAGGTTTTGTCTTCAACTATGAGCAGAAATATTTAATATTTCGGGCCTTAGTCATTTCCGGAGACTCCAGCTCCTTGCTCAATTTTTAGAAAGTTTTTGTTTTTGTTTTTTTTTTTTTGAGACAGTCTCGATCTTGTAGCCCAGCCTGGAGTGCAATGGCCCGATCTCGGTTCACTACAACCTCCGCCTCCTGGGTTTAAGTGATTCTCCTGCCTCAGCCTCGCGAATAGCTGGGATTACAGGAGCGCCACCACACCTGGCTAATTTTTGTATTTTTAGTGGAAACGGAGTTTCACCATATTGATCAGGCTGGTCTCGAACTCCTGACCTCAGGTGATCCGCCCACCTCGGTGTCCCAAAGTGCTGGGATTACAGGCCTGAGCCACCGTGCCTGGCCAGGGCAATCCTTATTGTGCTTTCTTTAGAGATGGAAAGAATGCTCCCCTCTTTCCTCGTCTTTCATCTTCTGCACCCAGCTCTTAGTAGGTGCCTTAAAAATGCTAGTTTTATCTCTCATCTCCATGCCTCACCAAAACGGCTAGGTTTGAATTTCACTTCAAAAGTAAGAGTCAAACGAATGCTGATAGCAGCTTTACTCATAGTAGTCAAAGATTAGAAGCAACCAAAGTTTTACCAATAGGCGAATGGATCAACTGTGCTCATGGCCTAGCCGCACAGTGGAATACTACTCAGCAAGAAAAAGGAGTGAACTATCAATGCACACAGCAACATGGGTGAATCTCGACGACATTATGCTGAGTGAAAGAAGTCACATACAGAAGAGTTCATACCATGTGATTCTACTTATATGAAATGCTAAAGAAAAATCTAATCTAGAGTGACAGAAAGCCAACCAGTGGTTGCCAGGGGCTAGGGTTGTGAGTGGGGATAGACCAGCACAAAGGAATGGTTTTGTTTTTGTTTTGTTTTGAGATGGTGTCTTGCTCTGTCACCCAGGCTGGAGCACAGTGGTGCAGTCTTGGCTCATTGTAACCTCTGCCTCCTGGGTTCAAGTGATTCTTGTGTCTCAGCCTCCCAAGTAGCTGGGATTACAGATGTGCACCACCATACCCAGCTAATTTTTGTATTTTTAGTAGAGATGAGGTTTCTCCATGTTGGCCAGGCTGTCTCGAACTCCTGGCCTCAAGTGATCTGCCTGCCTGGGCCTCCCAAAGTGCTGGTATTACAGGCATAGCCACCATACCTGGCCATTTTTGTTTAATTTTAATTTTTTTTTTCAATTTCACTCTGAACAAAGCATGTTGACACAAAGGAATCTTTTTGGATGTTGGAAATGTTCTATATCTTGATTACAGTGGTGGTGACATAGGTGTATTGCTTTGTCAAAGCTCATGGATGAGTACAATTAAAATGAGTGCATGTTGTTGTATGTAAACTATACCTCAATGAAATTTGTTAGGGAGAAACAAGAATCAAGATAAAATGATAATACAGTTAAACCACACTTGACAGTTTCTGGTAATGGTGTTTTTTCCTTTTTATCCATGTTCTAAGGAAACAATAATAACAACAAAAACCGTTGTTGTACAGATATTCCAGTAAGGAGCATTGGCCACTCCTTGGAGTGAGGAGGAGTTGTAGAGTGTTATGCTTTTATGGTTTGGGAAGGAGAACATCTGTTGTGTTCCATCAGCTTTGTTCCTTTGTTCCCAAAAGGTGTGGGGTGTGTTCTGTTACTTTATAAAGCTTTCTCAAGTTCTGCCCATCTTCTTTCACTACCTCACTTTCCTCCTTTCATTTTCTTCCTTTCTTTGTAATTCTTGGCCTGCCAAATTCTATGAAGTTCTGAATCACAGAAAAGCAGATCACCTCACATTCATCTGAAAAGCCAGGTTTAAACAGGAAAAATAAGCAGGAAATTTTCAGGCAATCGTCTTGAGATAATCCAAGTTGAAGTTCTGCTTTTTACTCTTTTCTCACCATCTGGATTTCTTTGAATAATTAAGGTTAATTCTTTATTACTCTCCTTGTCTGGCCCAGTGAAGAAACATGGTGAGTTCCTGAGAGTTTGGAGCTTGTAGATCAGAAAAATAATGTTTACAAAATATGTAAATACTTTGGAATCAGTTGTATTAAACAAATTTTTTTTAAAAAGTATCATTTTTTTTTTTTTTGAGACAGAGTCTCACTCTGTCACCAGGCTGGAGTGCAGTGGCACAATCTCAGCTCACTGCAACCTCTGACTCCCTGGTTCAAGCGATTCTGCTGCCTCAGCCTCCCGAGTAGCTGGGATTACAGGCATGCACCACCAAGGCCGGCTAATTTTTGTATTTTTAGTAGAGACACGGTTTCACCATGTAGGCCAGGATGGTCTCGATCTCCTGACCTCGTGATCTGCCTGCCTCGGCCCCCCAAAGTGCTGGAATTACAAGCATGAGCCACAGCGCCCAGCCAAGGAATTATAAAAAATTTTCATCACGAAGGAGTAAAACGATGTAGAACTTTATAGAGTAAAATATGAAAACTGCCATGCCCAGAAATAACCATCTTAATTTTTTGGTGAGTACCTTTCTTGTTTATTCTCTATAGGTTTGTCTTATGTCTTAAACATAAATATGCCATACTGTAGGTACCGTTCTGCAACTTGCTTTTTTCAACTACCAATATTCTTATAAATCTTTTCACATCTGTACATATATTACGTTGAAGCATATGAAATTGTTATTTATGTCAATAGCAGTAAAACATTGGCAGTTTCATATGGTTAACCTAATACATCTACTCCAGTATTTTAGTGGCTATATTGTATTGTAAGGTGTGGTTGTAGCCTAATTTTTTAACAATTCCCCTGCTGATGGGCAATTAAGTTGTTTCTTCCTTATTTTGCTAAAATAAACAGAACTGTAACAAAAAAGAAATATATGAATATTTATATACGTATTTAGGTGTATATATATTATATACCTTTGCATATATATGTATGTATCTTTATACATTGTTCTATCTATTTTTGCATATATGTATCAGCATTTCTATAGAATAGTTTGAGTAGACTCCTAGACACATAACTGTGGGTCAAGGGGTTTACACATTTTACATTTTGATAATTATGAACAAAGTGTCCTCTAAAATGTCCCTAACGATTCATATCCCCAGAGTGTCCTTTCCCCCAACACCTTCAATAATCTCATGGGTAAATTGGTTTTTGAAGCATTTCAAAATGGGTTATTTTATTCAGCAAAAGATGTAAGAAAGACCTGCTTAAGTCCAGCTCTGTGCTTAGCCTGGAAAGTAAACGTGTGTAATTAATGTGGTCACTGCCTTCACAGTGTGTTTATTCTGATTGGTGAGACAAGACTAATGCACACACAACACAGTTGCAATGATTTCAGTGTCATAATTACCAATTATCTCTAGCAAGATTAATTAAAAATATACCAACTGCTTACACTGAGGGTCCATGGAAATCAGACAGAACTGAGTGGCACTCTGAGTTCCTTCACTTACTATGTGCATGACCCTGAGTTTCTTTATTTGTAAAATGGGGATAATAATAATATTAACTTGGTGCAAAAGTAATTGAGGTTTTTGCCATTAATTTCAATGGCAAAACTGCGATTACTTTTGCACCAACCTAATAGTTTCTTTTTTTTTCTTCTTTTTTTTTTTTTTTTGGGACAGAGTCTTGCTCTGTCACCCAGTCTGGAGTGCGGTGGCATGATCTTGGCTCACTGCAACCTCCGCCTCACAGGTTCAAGCAATTCTCCTGCCCCAGCCTCCCAAGTAGCTGGGATTATAGGCACCCACCACTATGCCCAGCTAATTTTTTGTATCTTTAGTAGAGACGGGGTTTCACCATGTTGGCCAGGCTGGTCTCAAACTCCTGACCTCGTGATTCGCCCGCCTCAGCCTCCCAAAGTGCTGGGATTACAAGCGTGAGCCACTGCGCCCGGCCCCTAATTGTTTATTTATGGGGTAGTTGTGAAGATTAAATGGACAGTGCTTGGCACTTAACAAGAACTCCATGGAATGTTAGCCATTGCCATTTGCCTTCACTTTGAGAGCACCTACCAGCCTCATGGGCCTATGGTTATCCCTTGAAGGATGTGGCATCAAGTACTGGATACAAATATTTCTTATGTGGTGTGTCTAACCCTGAGGGGATTGGGACCATTGTCCCCCTCTTTGAACATTACACTCCTACTAGTATAGTTTAGTTGCTAAGGTTTCCGCTCTAAAGTTATTTTGTATTCTAAAAACTTTAAACATTCCCTGTGCTTTCAAACAGGGGGAATGCACATTGCTCTTTCACAACGCCCTGATTCTTGGTTGAAAAAGGGCCACTTCAATTAAAATATAAAATTATATTTTAGAAAGAAGACAGTAAGGGGAGACACTGTAGATATTTTTAACCAAGAATAGGATGGTGCAAAGTTAAGCCATGGAGATACCATAGCTTATCCTAACAGACAAATTCGCTACATTCATTAATAATGTTTCAGAAGCTGTTTTCTTCCAGGTATGTAAATTTTGTGTTCACTGTGGTAGCATAAGCAGCTGGGTGGAAAAGTGTCTGGTCCATTATGCATGACCATGAAAGGACTGTAGTCCATAAACATACAGCTCCCTTCTCTAGTACATTTATTAAATCTGTTCCAATTAATTGCCCATTTGATGCTCAGGTGGTTGTAGCAACTGCTGCTCAATGGAAATTGTGAGAAAAGATCAGATAAATGTAAACAATGGACATTCTAACAAGAGGGAATTGTCCCTACTGGAAAATCATTAGGAGGAAGGACTTTGGTGCATGTAAATTGCCTTTGGAAAGAGGCATCTCCATCAGCTGCTAAGGATACCCTGACAACGTGGATAGGTCTGGATTGATAGGCAGCAGCAAGGAAATGCTAAAAATGCCACTTAAAGGCAGGGCTGAAACCACTGCTGCTCACTCAGTCCCAAGGTTTTTTGTGTTGGGAGTCCATTGGCATAATTATTTGTCACGAATGAAGTGATTCACAGGCTATCTGAAGTAGGTTAACTGTTCTCCCCGAGACAGTCTTGACCTACTTAGGCTTATTGGATTCCTTTGACTATTTCACGAAAGTTCTAGTCTTTTTCCCCAGTAAAATAACCTTTCTCATACATACCTAGGATTTTGCTTATAATCTCTGGGGTTTCATAGAAGCCCCAGAAGTACCATGGACCCTGGATTAAGAAATCCTGCTTTGTGCTCATTTCCTGTTTTCTTCGCCCTTTACTTCTAGCGGTGTCAATGGTAGTTTTTCCTTCTCAGGATGAATGTCTACCGACCTTCATCCCACAGAGTTGATCCTTCCTTCAAGTCTGGTTCATGTTTCACCCTTTTGGAGCTCTTTGTGCTCTGAGCTCTATGGGCACTTGGAGTTGGTAACTCTTAATTTAGTACCCAATTGTTTCTAGGACTACCTGATTGTATCCACCGCTAGCACAGCATTTATAAATTCATTCATTCAACACATGTTTAATGAATGCCTACTATGTGCCAGACACTGTTCCCAGACAGTTTTTGTGCTCTATGATAATCAGTATCATACAGCATTTATACATTCATTTATTCAGCACATATTTAACGAGTGCCTACTATGTGCCAGACACTGTTCCCAGACACTTATTGTTCTGCGCTATAATCAGTATTATACAGCATTTATACATTAATTTATTCAACAGATATTTAATAAGTGCCTACTATGTGCTAGGCACTGTTCCTAGACACTTATTGTACTGCACTATAATCAGTATTATACAGTCAGCTTGCCAACTTCCCCACTAGACTATGTCCATAGAGGCAAGGACCAGGTCTCCCACCTTGCCACATCTCCTTCTTTATTCTCACTCGTCTGTCAAGGCTCAGCTCCAATACCATCCCTTCTGGGATGGATTAGGCAATCTCTTCAGTGCTCCTCTGGTGCCCGGTGCTGACCACTGTTAGAGCTCCTACCACATTATTTTGAAGTCATTTGCTCCCATATCTGTGTCCCCTGGTGTAGTCTCCTCCGTGCCAGGGTCTTCCACCCAATACAGAGCCTGGCAATGGGAAAACTCAGTAAATATTTGTTAAATATCTAAATTTTCTCTCACCTCCATGCCTTCAAACATGCTGTTCCCTCTGCCTGAAATGCTCTTCCTTCACTATTTGCAAATTCTTATCAATCTAAATATCACTTTCTCAGGAAAGTTTTTTTGATCTGTAGATGAAGTTAGGTGCCCTCACACAATGCTCCCAACATAACTTTGGACTTCCTCTAGCATTGTACTTTATTGAATGATCCTCCCTCGATATTCTCAGGGGATTGGTTCCAGGACCCCCTCAGATACCAAAATCTTCTGATACTCAAGCCCATTACATAAAATGGCATAGTATTTGTGTATCACCTATGCACATCCTCCTGCATACTCTATTTTTATGTTATTTTAAAATTCTTTACTCTCTTATCTAATTTTACATTTTTACCTTTAAAAAATATTTTTTTGCCAGAATGCCATTGACAGAGGGCACCTGTATACTTTAAATCATTTCTACATTACTCATAATACCTAATATAATGGAAATGCTATGTAAATAAGTTGTTATACTATATTTTTTATTTATATTATTCTTTATTGTTGCAGTGTTTTTTTTTGTTGTTGTTGTTGTTTTCTGGCTGTTTTCAATCTGTGATTGGTTGAATACATGAATGTGGAACCTGTGGAAATATAGCGCTGACTCTACTTCCTTGTTTGATATTTACATTCCTTGTTAGCATATCAGCTTCAGTAGGGCAGGGGTCATGGCTATTTTATTTGCCTCTGTATAGCCAGGGACTAGGATATTGTACAGTCCTTTACTACTCAAAGTGTGGTTCACAGGCCAGCAGCATTGGCATACCCTATGAATTTGCTAGCAATGCAGGCTCCCACGCTCTATCCCAGACCTACTGAATCAGAATCCACAGGTGATTTACATATGCATTAAGGTTTGAAAAGCAGTGGTCTAGTACAAGAGCATTCAATCAATAAATGCCAAATGAATAATGAGTTGAATTGAACAAAATGGAATCAATTTACTTTTGGCACCCCTATTGTCTAGCACAGGGCCTAGCTCAAAGTAGGCACTCAGTAGTGTTTGAGGAAGGAATATTGTCTTCCACTGTTCTGCATGCACTGTGTTTTCTTCAACTAGCTTATAAGCCAAACGTTAGGGCCTTTCTTCTTAATCTCTATAACTTGAAACTCCTCACTGAATGCATAGTAGACATTCAATAGGGATTCAAAGCCAACCTGATACTTCAATGTTGGGTAATATGTTATCTACCAGGTTGGATTCAAGCAAGAGAGTTTGTGGTGTGGGGTGTGTGAAGTGACCAGGGATGTTTCCAGTTGTCTAGAGACCCTCATGTCTTGATAGCAGTGCTGTTAGTCTCAAGCTTTAATTCCGTAAAGAATAGCTCATGAAAGGCAGCAGAATGGAGAAGAGGCCATATCAATGAGAACCTGGATTTCTGGTTTTCACTCTTTTCTCAGGACACTGTTTGGTTTGAAGAGGTCTAATTATGCCACTTCTACCAGCAAAACCAGTGGAACAGATCCTTCTGAGTAGTATGTTTTAGTGTAATTCCCTCTTCCATATTTTCTCAAGGAAAAAACATTTGCTTATTGGCATTTGGTCTTAGTATTAGGACAGCTTACAGACTGTGGGCAAAGGCTGTGTGAAAATAGGCATATTGATGCATAAGGTTATTTTTTTATAACTAGGTGAAAGTAAAAGTTGGATTAAAATTATATTAATTCATGTAGTGAATATTCTTGATGCTTTGGGCAAACGTTGCACTCTGTTAAACCTGGCAGACACTTCTTGAGCACCTCCTGAGCCCAGTGCTGCAGATTTAATCATTGACCTTGAGGAAATCAAGGCTAGAGAGGGAGTCTGTATCCTGATTTGTTTTAAAAGTATATTCATTAGAATGTCAAAATCTAAGAGGTGTGGCAAGAACTTACGTTTCTTTAAATTTGTGGGATTTTAGAAAGAATAATTGGAATCTTGAAATTCTGCAGTGCTTGATCTTTAAATTGTAGATCACGAACTTTCCAAAATAGTTTCAAGATTATCCTGCATTGGAAGGAGTCAGGTAGAACAGCAGAGGTGGCCATCAAACAGTGTCTCTCTGGCTCTGCCCTGTCTGCTCTGTGAGTATGTCCACCATCTTTTTCTATCTGACAGTTCTGGAAGAATTCAAGGAGGTTCTCACGTGTAATTCATTTATTGGTCCTTGGGTGCTCAGTGGTGGACACTGTTTTGGTCCTTTCCTTCTCTTGTTCCTTGTAATGAATCTTCTTTCACAACAAAAGCTGGAGTCCTGGATCAGCAAACACAGTCTAGTTGCAGGCCCACTAGAGGCCTGTCACTGCCACTTGGTGCCAGCAGGCACGTATGGCAATGCCTTTGTTGGCACACCCTCCAATTCTAGTGCTGCCACCCACTCTGCCTACAGATACATTTGATGCCTTTCCTCTCCTTCCTCGCCTGTGCCCAAAAGTCTCTGAAACAAAACTGGAGCTCACACCTGAACCTAGTTAGCAATCTGATCAGGAGCCAAGTCAACAAGGAATTTCGGAGTCACAGCCCTTCTATTCCCCACTTCATATCCCCTGCTTGCAACCTCATCATGGCAGGAGAGGCCTGACATGAGAAGTCTGATTTTTTGTTCAGATGTCCCAGATTGTGCCCGTTTTCACTCTTACTTTCCATCTCCTTGGGAGGAATAGACTTAAAATAGACTTAAGGAAGCTATTATGTAGGTGTATTTGTAATAGGACATATGTCTATGCTCCCCACACCCGGCAAAGCCCAGAGAAACACTCCTTTTATCCCTACAGTTAGCTCCAGCCTCCAAGGAGGAGCAGATTTCCCGAGGCTGTTTGTCCTAGACCGTCCCATTCCCAGTAGGGGTCTGAGCTGTTTGGTTTTATTGCCCACCTTATAAATGAGAACAGTCTGGTTTGATCAAGAGGTTAAGAATCCAGACCATGTGCCCAGCACACAAAGCAGTAAGGAGCAAAGGCTTTGTTAGTCAGAGCTTGACTCCAAACTGACTGCCACTTTCTTATCCAGTCTAAGACCCCGTTACCTTATCTATATAATGGGGAAATCCTTATGAAAGTGAGAAACATTAAGTAAGATTATATATATATTGTGTTTAGCTTAGGTCCTAAATCACAGTAATCACTCAGTTATTGTTTGGTACTAATAATAACAAAAATAGCCAAGTGGTTTATTTTAAAATAGCAAAATCTGTAGCAATAGTGTTATAACATGTCTTCTTGTCTCCAGCTCCTTACCCTCCGCAATCCATTTTTTATTCAGCTGCTAGATTCATCTCCCTAGAACATTGTGATCATATTACACCCCATGTGAAAATGTTAGATCGCTTCTTATTACTTACACCTAAAGTCCGAAGTTGTCTTTGCATTCAGGCCTGTTGGTCTGGCCCCAACAAAATATTACCCCCGTTTCTCTACTACTCCTCTTCACACCTCCTCCACTCCAATTAAAATAAACCAACATTCTTCATGTACACCCACACCCTGCACACTGTTTGTTCTTTTTTATCCAGAATCCAGATCTTATCTCTCCTTTGATGCCTGGCTTAAGTGCCACCTCCTCCACTAAGACTTCTCCAGCCCATAATAAACCTCATAGCTCTTGATGGACCCCTTGTCATCACACAGATATCTAGGTAAAATTCGTGCTTAAAATTTATATGTATATCTCTTACATCAGATGATTGGTTTTAGCTATCTAATTCATCCTTGTATTCCTAAACCAGAATTTCTCAACCTCAGAACTATTGACATTTTGGGCCAAATAATTCTTTTGGGGGGTGAGTTACTGTGTGCATTGTAGAACATTCAGCAGCATCCCTGGCCTGTACTCACTAGATGCTAGTAGCACTCCAAAGCCCCAGTGGTGACAACCAAAAATGTCTCCAGACATTATAAAATGTCCTCTGGAGTGCAAAATCACCCCCAGTTGAGAACCACTGCCCTAGATTCCAAACCATGGAGGTTTGAACATGAATGGTTCTCAGTAAATGCTTATGAAAGGAAGGAAAGAGTTTGGCTTAGGCCCTTTTAAGTTTGAGACAGTAGTGGAATATATAATTAATGATATTCTTTCAGCATTTGGGAATAGAAGCACAGAGTTCCTTTGAAAGCTCAGAACTAGAGATTGATATTTGAATGCCACTGGCATAGAATCAGCTAATAGGCATTTCTTGTGTTACATAATGTTTTGAAGTCCCGAGTCAGATAGGAGTTGGGATCCAACCACTAGCCTTACCATTGTAAACTGTCACTGTAGGTGAGTATTTTAACCCTTTTGAGCTTCAGTTCTCTTGTTCTGTAAAATGGGGGTAATAATTATAACTCGCATGGGGTTGCTCTGAGGATAAGTTAGACAATGCATGTAAAGTGGTCATTTGAAAGCCTGGAATGTAGTAAGCACTTAGTAATAGTTCAGCATTATTATTAATATTGTGATTAATAATAATGATTAATTTTTAATCCATTCAGAGGTCATGACAGTGTTAGTTCCATTTTATAGACAGGTTGTGGTTAGAATCTGGATCTGCTAGGCTGGGCACAGTGGCTCACGCCTGTAATCCCAGCACTTTGGGAAGCCGAGGCTAGTGGATCACCTGAGGTTGGGAGTTTGAGACCAGCCTGACCAACATGGAGAAACCCCGTCTCTACTAAAAATACAAAATTAGCCGGGCATGGTGGCAGGTGCCTCTAATCCCAGCTGCTCTGGAGGCTGAATCAGGAGAATCACTTGAATCCGGGAGGTGGAGGCTGTGGTGAGCCGAGATTGCGCCATTATACTCAAGCCTGGGCAACAACAGTGAAATTCCATCTCAAAAAAAAAAAAAAAAAAAAAAAGAATCTGGATCTGCTTAATTGCTATCTTTCCCTGGATCATATTCATCTCACATAATGCACACAGCATCTCACTTCCCAGAAGGATCTTCACCTTTTCATCTGGAAACTGAGTGCTAACTGCCTACGGCAAAAATTCCTTTTCAATTGGTAAATAACATCTTCTTCTATAACTATCATTGGGAAACTCAGTAACTGCTTATTAAGTGCTTTGGGTAAATAGATGGAGGAGATATTGTATATAAGACACCTGTGTTGCCAAAACAAAGCACCTGCCTGTTTGTAGCTTACTAAACCACAGGCTCAAAGATTCTGTCCCTCAGGCTTTAGGAAATGAATTCATAAGTTTAGCAACCATTGGCATTAGCTCCAGGCAGCGTTTGATTTTTGGAGTAGAGCAGCATGAGCAGAGGCTGTGGCCCAGAGCAGAAGCTGGGGCAGAAGCCCAGGGACAGGCCAACAGGTGGGTGGGGGAAGCTAACTTCCTCCTGTGAGAGCTAATCGGCTGAGGGCATCCAGCAGGCCAATGCAAAATGAGTCTCCTGCCCTTAGAAAACAAATACCAGACAGGTCAGGAAAATTTAGCCCCAAACCAGTTCTGTCACCAACAAACTGGTTGACCTGGGAAAAGGCATTTAACCTCTTCAAGCTTCTGTTTATTCGTTGGCAAATGAGGGCATGGGATGAAATCGGTGGTACTCAATCACTGCTCTGGCACATCGGAGGTGGAACACGACTAGCCTACATGGTGCAGGATTTTTGTAGTAATTACTAGCCATCAAAAATGCCTGACAACTCATACATATACCTGAAAAACAGTGTTGGGGTTGGGGGTTGGTTTTCTTTTTATCATATTAGGTTTCTGTTATTTGATAGATTGGATTATTCAGTTCATTCATTCATTCATTCATTCATTCAAATGTTATTGCCTGAGCATGCTATGTGCTGGGCCTGTCCTGGGACCAGGTGCTGCCTTTGCTTTCAAATGGGGTTTACCTGGAACCAGTTAAAATTCCTAGGTCATAGGAGGTGACATGATACCTTTTCTCCTCCAAATAAGAATCGCTGAATCTGATATGACTGTGGGTAATCTGGTCATGGAAATCCCTGCTTCCCAATCCTTACCACTTCTACCGACCCCCATTCCTACTGGCTAGGAAATTCTCTAGGCAATTATCAAAGTTCCCCCAGCCCCCACCGGGTTCCTGCAGACGCCGAGGCGTCTACTAGGTTTGCCTTCTGATTCCTGTAGGTGGAGCCAGATCCCCCGGCTGAGAAGCCCTGGGCCTGCTCTCTGCGGCGGCCGCCGAGCGGTAGGTTTGCTCTCCAGCTCTCTTTTCCTCCTTCTCCCTCTCTCATGTGCGGTCTCCCTCAACATCCAAACCAACCGAGTGCGTCTGAGGTGAAATCGTGCCAGACTTAGAGACGGCTGCCAGGTTTCTCTCAAGTCTTGGCTTAACAAAAGAAAGCAAATTACAAAAATGGAAATTTTCAAACTAGCGTTCAGTGGTATTCAAATCGACGTTTGGGTAGCGCACAGGCACAGACCGCATTCGTGCTATTTTGTGATTAAAATGATACCAAAAATACCTCCTTGCTTTGGTTTTCGTCTTCGAAAACGACTTCTTTCCTTCTTCTAATTTCCCCCTTACTTTTGGGAGCGGCAAACCCCTGACCACTCTAGAATTGCTAACATTTGGACCGGCGTCTGTTGAAATCTTGCCTCTGCTGACTTTTTTTTTTTTTTAAGAGTTGAACTTTAAAAATGTGTGCACTTTGCAGCCTGGGGAAATACAGATAAAGAAGTTTCTAGGCACTTTCCCAGGAAGTTCTGTGTTTTGTGTGAGGAACTACAAGTTCTATGACAGTGCATAAATCGTCTTTACGTCTCATCTTGATACCGGGAGCAAACCTGAATGCGCGTCTTGCCAGCATGCATGCTACCTCGTTCTCCTTTGAGCATGAATTGTGTGCTCTGTCTCATGCTTTTAAAACATGGGTTTAAGGTGGCCATTGAGTTGGATCTTGAATGATTTTACTTAACATGAGGTTTTATAAAGAGCTTGATTGACCACGTCCTGCTCGATTATTTTTGCGGTTGCTAGACAAGGCCCTGTCCCACGTGGGTTTGTGAGAAAGGTGCTCTCATCATCACCCCACCCCCAAGACTGCACTATTTCTTTCCTTGGAAGCGTTGACTGTCTCCTTCTTACACAGCTGTGTTTGCAGTGCCTGGAGACAGGTGGGGGAGCAGTCTTGGAGGCCGAAGCTGCCAATTCCTTCTCTAAGGACTGTCTGAATAGCTATTAAATTTTAAAGCTCACACGCACGCACACACTTGTTTTGTTTGTTTTTGGTGGTGGTCACTCACTGTGCCTTCCCGTTTGTTGTACAAGGGCAGCTGCACCAGTTTGCCAGAGTGAGATTAAATGTCACAGACAGACATTCTATTGTGTGCATTCGCCAGCCCACCTAAGCATCACCTTGGGCCACTGCCATGTCTTTCTAGGTGCCTCAGAAAGCTGGGTCCTGTAGCATTGGCGGAGTTGTGGGACTGCTTATGAATTTCGGGAAAGAGGTTCTCCCATCTGGATAGGTAAACTTAAAGCTCCCACGAACACTGCAATACTCAGGCAGTAGTCACATCAAGAGGTTCTTGTTGGTTTGGGCCTACACGAATTAGGATTCTCTACCTGGCACAAGTGACTGTGGACAAATCAAGCTGCTAGTATTTTTCAGATTTCAGAATAGAGGGATGACATTTTAATCTGGAATCAGATACCCTGCTCTTTTTACCCTTTAGCCCCAAATACCCAGTGCTCTTCAGGACCCTCGTGCCTTTGCTTGTGCTGTTTCTTCCTCTGGGAATTTCTCCCCCATCCTCTTCTCTGCTTAGTAAACTCTTGTTGGTCTTTCAAGGCTTGTCTCAAATACAGCCTCTTTGAAATCTTTCATAGCCGTGCCCATGCACCGAATTTCCACCCCCTCCCTGTCATCTGTTAAATGTCGCTGTCTTGCTAGATCTATGTAACATACTACGTACTGCATAACTGTGTTACGCACATCTTGGTATGCCTCTTTCTCCCCTAATAGAATATACTCTTTGCCCAGGCAGGGAACACGTCTAATTTACCTCCTACTTCTCAGGCTAAAGATGCTCAGTAAAATCTTTTGAATGAATAAAGAAACATGCTTGGTTTTTTCATCAATTTCCAAGAGACAATGTGTTTACTTTCAGGCTCTCCTAGTTCAATTGCCAGACACCTATAACCATGTCCGTAGAGCTGAGAGTAAGATTTTAAAGTTTATATTAAAGTCTGATGTTCATAGCTCAGAGACATTCTTTTGGCTTACGGTAAAGGAAAGTTTGATGAGCACGTTGGTGGAAAATTTCTGTATTCCCAGCACCTGATTGATGCCTCTGTTCCTACAGAATCCAAAGAGAGCAGAGCACTCCTGCAGACATGGGAGCTTGTGAAAGTTGTGTAGCTCTCCTACTGCTTTGGTGTAGTCTTGCGGATTATACTAACAAGTTGTTATTCATTAGACTTTACTCATTAAGTCATTCAAACTAGAAACCTGAAAATGTCCTTGGAGCCTCCCTCTCCCTCACTTCCCACATCCAGTTATCACCAAATCATGTCAGTTCTTCTCCACAATATCTCCCAGATCTGCCCACTGTTCTCCATCCTTGCTATTGCTGTGTTCCAAGCCATTATCACTTCCCAGCTGGACAATTGCCAAAGCCTTCTAGTTAGTCTTTCTGCTTCTAGTCTTGCCTGCCTCCCATCATGTCATTCCCTGGCTTACCAGCTTTCAGTGACTGCACTTTGCATAATCCTTTGCATGGCCTTGTGTGGTCTGGCCCCCAGTATCTTTTTAGCGGCTCTCTCACTGAATATACTAGACTTCAGGTCCTTGAACTTGCCAAACTCTTGCCTACTTCAAGGCCTATCCATATGCTTACTTGCCTACTTCTTTTGGGAATACTTTCTCTCAGCGTTCACTCTCTTGGATCACTTCTCATCTTTCAGAATTCAACATACATGGCACTGCCTTGGAAATGCAGTCCATGCTTCTCCTTTCTACTTCCTCCTTTCTGGATAAATCACATCCCCATTATCGTTACTCCTGATGCCCTATTTTTCCTTCATATTACTTATTAGTGGTTGCAATTATAAAAAATTATTGATGTTTTTATGTATTTTATGTCTGTCTCTCCATCCACAGTAGATCAAATGAAGGCAGGGATCATGTCTCTTTGTTCAAAAGAGTTTACCAGGAGACCCAGTATCTAACATATAGTAGGTTGTCAAGAAATACTTTTTGGATAGTGCTGGAAGGAGAATGCTAGCAGGTCGTGTGTAACAGGCCTGTGACGTGAAAATAGTTTCATGCAAAAGAAAATGCTGATCTGAAATGAGACTTAAGGATGTTTACGCACATGGAACAAGCAAGGGGAAGACTTGAGTTTTGATATGATATCCCATGGCCTTTCCCCACTGCTATTTGAAAAATAAGAAGAGAACAAGAACAAAAATATTTGTTTTACAACTCTACCAAGATTCAGCCCTCCCCTTTCTCTCCCCCTTGCATCAAGTACATCCTGTACTTTTGGCAACATGTTGACTGGATATTTAAAAGCTGTGAACTGTTCTGAAAATTTCACATAGTGGGTTATGGGCCATGTGTGTTTGATCAAAATTCAATTACTACACTGTACCATACTTGGAAACCTATCATCCCAAGTTATGAAGTATGACGAAATAGGCGAACCTAATTGGTTCAGTATGGGAACAGTATCAACCAAGCTTGTTATGATAAATAGCTTCCTGTGTTAAAGGTTCTCTAGAGCTTATAAGTATCTTGGCTCACCTCCTTCAATGGAATAGGAATACTGCTCCCAGGGACCCCCTAGATCATTGTCCCTTCAATGCAACTGCAGTTCAGCGTTTTCTTCAATTTACTACCCCGAAAAAGAAAAATGCAGTGCAATTTTCCCTAGTCCTTCTCGTTTCTTCATTTAGAATTTGAGCACCTGGTAACTTCTTTAGCTTTTCTTGGCCTTAGAAAAACAATTTTTAAAGTTATGAAGCATTCCAATACAGAAAACCAGAAAATGACAGACATCTCTGTACCCACCACTCAGGATTAACAAATAATAATTTTTTTCCCTATTTCCATCAGATCTTTTTTTCTTTTATGTATCCTTTCTTATTTTTTGAGGCCAAACTCAGGCTACAGTATTTATTTATGAGATTTGTAAGTTAAGTCCTGAGATACTTTAAAACCCTTTAACCAAGAGGATGTGTATCACATTACAGAGAAGTACCTGTACATCGCATGTCTTTTCAGGTGTTGAAATGGACTCAATGAGAATTTCTGGATGATACTGTAGATAGGATTACAAGGAACCCTAGAAGAGGTTTGTTGGGGATGTAGGGTGTGGTGGTGCATGCTTGTTATCCCAGCACTTTGGGAGGCCAAGATGGGAGGATTGCTTGAGCCCAGGAGTTCGAGGCTAGCCTGGGCAACATAGTGAGACCCCATATGTATCTTAAAAATGTAAAAAACAAAAAAGAAATAGTCTTAACAGCTTGAAAAGATAAAGAAGTAAAATAAAACAAAATATTCCCATGCTTTATGGTTATTATGGGAATATGTACATACTTTTTCTTTAGAAGTGACATTTTGGGTTGGGTTAGAAGTATTTCCTTCTAGTGATCGCAGTAAAGGGCAAAACAATTGGGTGACTGCCATTTTAAATTCCAAAAAATAATCAGTAGCACTGGCATTTTCCTCAGAAGACAGCGTTAGGGCTGGGACAATTTGCATATATTTACCCTTAATTCAATCTTACCTTTGCAGTTGCTTTCCCAAGTTTGCTCTCATTTTATTCACCATTTGTAGTAGGCCATCCTGTTAAACCTGTTAACGAAAATGCATAATGCTAAATCTGCATTTCCCCTGTGGAAAAGTTTTGTGTTTTATAAAAAGTCGTTTTGGTAAAAAGCAAGAACCTTAGTTTGTCCTTGACAATAATTCATCAGTCATGAGTGCTGCAATGTATAACCACGAAACAGAGAAATATCCTTGGTGAAGGTAAATATGCAAGCCCACACAAAGGAAAAGTAAATACATTGCATGGTTTAGCAGTTTGAAATCACAATGCTGCCAGGATTACATTAGAGTCGTTCTTCTTGTTTTCTGCAGTACCATTAGGTTTACTTTCAAAATTGCAATTAGCTTAACAGTTGTGATTTCTAAAATGGCCCACTTGCCTTCCTTGTTTTCCTCTATCAGGTGGACACTAGTATCATAATCCTTCCATAATTTTTAAATAGAACTTCCAACAAGAAGTGCTCCCTGAAAGCCGTAAACTTCAAAAAATAGAATGTGACTGTAGGCACTTATGCTAATCTCCCTTTTGGCAAATCAGCTTTTTTTTGTATTGGATCTTGCCTGATTGAATAACACGGGAACTGCCAGAATAAATGCTATTATCTCTGTACAGTAATTAAGGAAATAGTCTTTGTCACTCTAATACGGACCAAGCTCTGCTTGCCTGTAATAAAGTTAAACGATAAAGAATCTGGAATGTAGAGAAAAATAAAGGGAAGTCAGTTACTAGCACGTGTTTCCTCCAGATGAGTAGTAGAGAGATGGAATGATGCATTTTGCAGAGACTGATGAAGAAGTTAAATCACTAAAACATATCAACTTGTAACATTTAATGAAATAATTATTTCAGGAAAAGAAACTCTTCAATTTCTATCTTTGGGAAGAGTTGATGGTTCCTTCCTTGGTGAATCTCAATGTATTATTTTAAAACATAGCTTCTCCAAATACAGGTCAAACCCTACTATACTAAATATCAGTTTTGAGACAGTTCTGTCAGTAATCGCAATAAACATCTCACTATAATAAAAATAGTGTTAATTACATAGTTTTGAATTGATACTGACAGAAGAAAAATTTCCCTTATGGATTTAGTGCACCCAAGTGTGGTGTTCCATCTTTTCCTCTGATGTTCTCAGTCATTCTCCTTCCATCTCTCTGTGTGTATTTATCTATCTTGGCTACTGTATATCTAATTATTTCAGACATGGCCAAGAGGAGCCTACGGGTACTGGCAAGTTTCAGAATAAACCTTACCTCAGAGCCATGGAATATAAGAAAACCAGTTTGTTTTCTTTAGTAGAAATTGAGGTGAAGGAGTGATATTGGGCAAAGAAGGAAACAGCACTATATTAACCATCTTCTTCAAGACTGTTGTGTTCCACATTTTGGAAGATCTGGCTCAGGGGTCAGCAAACGTTTTCTGTAAAGGACCAGATAGTAAATATTTTCAGCTTTGCAGGCCATATGATCTCTGTCATAACGACTCAATTCTGCTGTTGTAGTGCAGAATCACCCTGGACAACATGTAAACAGATGAGTGTGGCTGTGTTCCAATAAAACTTTATTTATGGACACTGAAATTTGAATTTCAGATAACTTTTATGCATTGTGAAATATTATTCTTCTTTTGATTTTTTCCAACCTTTTAAAAATGTAAAAACCATTCGTAGCTCATGGGCAGTACAAAAAACAGGTGGCGAGCCCACAGGCTGTAGTTTTCTGACTCCTGACCTAGTTGATTATAATCTTTTTTTTTTCACTTAACAAGTATCTGTTGAGTACCTGCATAGACCAAAATATTTTTAAAGCATTATGATAAATATTAATATATATAAGAGATTCAGCATTTATCATATATCTGTTGAACTTTCCTATGTCCCAGGCACGGTGCTAAGTAGTAGCAAATAAATATTAAAATGTATGAGATTCAGAAAACACTTAGTACATATCTGTTGAGCTCTCCTATGTCCCAGGAACGTGCTAAGCACTAGCAAATAAAATGGCAAGCAACAGGGACACTGCACCTGTTCTCATGAGTGTCCATGATCATGAAGTATGAGAAGCTCGACAGCAGGGAGGTTACAGGGATTGTGGCAGATATAACCTGGCAGATATAACCTGACTTTAAGTAGCTTTTGGGTTTTTTTTTTTTTAATGGTACTTTGTACTTGATCTTCCTATCCTTGTTGATTGATTTATTTTTGAGGTAGAATCTCTTGCTCTGTCACCCAGGCTGGAGTGCAGTGGCGCGATGATGACTCACTGTAGCCCTGATCTCCTAGGCTCAAGCAATCCTCCTGTCTCAGCTTCCTGAGTAGCCAGGATGAGGGGATGCACCACCACACCTGGTTAATTTTTACATTTTTTGTAGAAATGGGGGTTGGGGGGTCTCGCTACGTTGCCTAGGCTGGTCTTGAACTCCTCATCTTAAGCATTGCTCTCGCCTCGGCCTCCCAAAGTGCTGGGATTACAGGCGTGAGCTGTCAGGCCTGGTCGATCTTCTTACCCTTCATCCCTGCCTTAAACATCACTATCCGATTCTTCTTAAGGTAGAGTATGGTGATAATACCTTTACTCTAGGTAAATCCATACCTAGAACAGATTTATTTATGTATTTTTGAGACAGAGTTTCACTCTGTCACCCAGGCTGGAGTGCAATGGTGCGATCTTGGCTCACTGCAACTTCCACCTCCTGGGCCCAAGCGACCCTCCTATCTCAGCCTCCAGAGTAGCTGGGACCACAGATGTGTGCCACCATGCCCAGCTAATTTTTGTATTTTTGGTAGATAAGGGGTTTCACCATGTTGCTAAGGCTGGTCTCAAACTCCTGAGCTCAAGCAATCCACCCACCTTGGCCTCCCAAAGTGCCGGGATTACTAGAATAAATTTCTATTTTACTGAGGAAACCAGTTGACTCTCTGGTCTCCCTAGGGTATGGTATCATAGAGAGGGCTAAATTGAGTCTCTGACTTGGGAGAGTAAGCACTCAGCATCAGTGGTATCCAGACCCAACAAGATGGGAGAAATCTTTCTGTATTATTGAACCCATGAATAGCAGCTATCTCTACTGCTATGGACACTTTATTTGTGAACACAATGGGCAAGCTCTGGCATGAATAGGAAAGATGCTGACTGATACAGATCAGATCATCCTTTTCCTACTGTTGTTGAGACCTCCTCTGCAGTGGGTGCCCTTTGATGAACATCCATGCAGAATACAAATATTCCTACACTCTGGGGCCATTCTGTGAGGTGCATTATTACAATGCTCTCCCATTCATTCTTGTTAACACCCTCCAACCTTGTTTCTCCTAAGTCTAACCATCTAGCTAAACCATTCAGCACTAGCCACAAATTGCTGTAGATCTGTACCTTATCTGTTTCCTTCCAGGCAAAGGGGACAGTCATATGTACCATTTGAAGTTTTCCTACTGAAATAATTATAATACCCTTTTCTACTGTCCTTTGGAGTCACCCTTAAGTAGGGCATCAAGCTCCTGTGGTCCACTTTTAGCTGGTGTATAGTCCTGCAGATTTTTTTGCTTCCTCAAGTTACTTCTTGTAAGCGATTGCCCACAAAGCTTTCAGAGTGAGCTGAATAAGAGGCAGCAGTCCCACTGGAATAGGTGCACTGGGAGCATGAGTGACCCACAGCTCACCACTGCCTTTACCACCTCCCTTAGTACACTCTCACATCCCACACTTCCACTTAATTTTGGAGTATTGCTATGCATGCCTAATTTGATGGCTTGACATGTTAGATAATACACAGTGAATAACAGGCAGCTCAGATCACATGGTCCCTTGGTGTCCCATGGCCAAACAGTTAGTCTCTATTAGTGAAAACATAGATGTTTCTTAAAAAAAGGCTATGTGTTTGTGGAAGAATGGCTGAGTTCCTGATCTAGTTGATCATAAATTTTTTTTTGGCTTTGCTCTAACCCCCAGGTGCCTGTATTCTGATTATTCTCTTGGAGTTATCTGTCCAGTGTCCTCATCTGTTTTACACACTTTGAGTGCCATGATTCTGCTAGATATGCTGCATCCCGGACCAGCTGGAGAGTTGTCACGTGCTTGGGTACCTAATCAAAGCTGGCAGCCTTAGGTGTTATTTGGTAAATGGATCCAGCAGCTTATCCAACTGTGGTATGAGTTGCTCCAAAATCCTACGATGCCGTCTGAGCATCTCTGTACTTAGGTGGCAGAGCTTTGAATTTTTGTGAGGTTTCCCTCAGACCCTTTCATGTTCAGGCATTTTATCAAGGCATCTAGGATTACAGCTGCTTCTTATTTACAGTGTTTTAAGGATACGATACCATCAATGTACTGAACTGCCATGATGTCCCATGGGATTGGGAGGCGATCAATGGCCTGTTGGCTAAATGTTTACAGAGCCAGAGTTGCTGTGGTCCTCAGGTAAAACAGTGCAGGTGAACTGCTTTCCTGCCAGATGAAAGTGAACTCTTCTGGTATTTTCTGCTTATTGGGATAGAGAACAAAGCATTTATCAGATCCGTAATTGCATTCCAAGTGCCAAGGCTGTGTTGATTTACTCTAGTAAAGAGAACATATTTGAAAAAGTAATTGCAATTGACACGCGCCACATAACTAAACTTAAGAGAATCCATTGTCATTCTCAAAAACTCGATCCAGGCACAGTGGCTCACACCTGTAGTCCCAGTTACTTGAAGGGTTGTAGCAGGAGGATTGCTTGAGCCCAGGAGTTTTGAGGCTGCAGTGAGTTATGATTGTACCACTGCACTCCAAGGTGGGCGACAGAGTGATATCCTGTCTCTAAAAAACAAAACAAAGCAAAACAAACCCGTACATTTTTAGCAGTGGCCATGGTGGTGAATTAAATGGGGCTATGACAAAAATCATGACTTCAGCATATTTCAAATCTTATTTATTTATTTTTGAGAGGGAGTCTCGCTCTGTTGCCAGACTGAAGTGCAGTGGTGCAATCTTGGCTCACTGCAACCTCCGCCTCCCAGGTTCAAGCGATTCTCCTGCCTCAGCCTCCTGAGTAGCTGGGACTACAGGCACGCGCCACCACGCCCAGCTAATTTTTGTATTTTTAGTAGAGACAGGGTTTCACCGTGTTGGCCAGGAAGGTCTCGATCTCCTGATCTCGTGATCCGCCCGCCTCAGCCTCCCAAAATGCTAGGATTACAGGCGTGAGCCACCATGCCTGACTTCAAATCTTATTTTTAATAGCTTATTGAATTACTTTAAGGTGAACATTCTTGTAACCAACGAGTCAAGAAATTCAAGTTTACCAGCCACCCCAGAAACCCCTAAGTGCCACATCCCAATCGCAGCTCTCTCTTTCCCTTCAAAAGTAACAACGATCTTAAATTCTATGAAGTGATCAGTTCCTTGCATTTTTAAAGCTTTTATCACCTAAGTGTGCATCATTAAATATTATAGTTTAATCATGCCCATTTTAAAATTTATATGTTTCAGTCATTTTTAACCTAAGCCTCCTTCTCTGTGCCTCCTTTTTTTTTCTTACAATTTATACCAGCCTATTTGAACTGTAGAGTTTCCCAAAGTCTTAAATCTTTCCCAACATCTTACAGTTTTAAATTGCATATGCATGGAGCAATTCAATGTGTTTCTCTAACCTCTGATTTTCTGTAAGTTGGCAGCTGGATCCAGAGGCTTGATTGGACTCAAATTCAATTCCTCTGGCAATACGATAGGCAATGTTCTTTCATCAGAAGGCATATAATATCTATCTGATTTTTGCTCTTTTTGTGATTTTAGCAGCAAGTGATGCTCAAGGCCTAGACTCATTTATTTATTAGAGGTTTTAAAATTGTGACTTTCTATCACTTTGTTTTCATATGAGCTGAAATAATTTTATAAAGAGACCCTTCTCTTTATGCACCATGTGGTTAGCCAGTTCATATGGAATAGGCAAGGTAAAGGCTTCTTTCTTTTAATTCTGAAGGAAGTGAATTGGATTCCTTTTTATCCTCACAAGGTGAGCAATTCATTGCTTTTCCCTTTAATATTATTATAAACTCATGGATTTAAACATATTTGATGAACTTTAATCTATTGCAGTTTTTACTGAAGCTGAAATTGTCCCATCTTTGGTCAATAGGAGCCTCTTCAAGTTGCCTCCTGAATCTTTCTGGCATGATCCCAGGGGTCTTTGATAGCTTCCTTGCCATCTGGCATGTCAACATGTTCAAGGCACATCTTGTAAGCCATTTCTCCAAAAATCCACGCTTTCTTTAAATGGGAAATGGTATTTCAAAACCACAGTCTGGGCCCAAGGGAAGCTCATTATTACTGGGGTGATCGTGGTTTCTAGTTTGTACTGATATTTCCAATTTAGATGCAGGCTATAGGGTTTGTTTTACCTAACCTCTTCTATGCTACACCTGTATCTCCTTTCTTCCACACCGAGAATCCTGCTACTCAAGGACAAGATAGAAGTAGAATATCCTATAATTATCTATTTGCTTTGTCCCACATGACACATATAATAGTCTCAGAATAGCAATACTAGTACTACCATCATGAATGATGATTACCGAAAGCGTAACTGAAAAATACTTTTATTTTGCCTATGCTATTTCCATCTCCCTCATTTTAATGGTTTTTGTATATCTAGCTTGCCAGATTATGTAGACATATAATGTAATCCCTCCCTTTTAACCCTTATTTAGTCTTAGTTATGCAATTGAATATACATCTAATACCCACCATTAGTTCTTATGTCAATGACTCTCCAATCATTTGGTGGTCTGAAGCTTGCTAGCTAGTATGGTGCTATCCCATAGAATTTTCTGTGATGATGGAAATGCTCCATATCTATACTGTCCAGTGTGGTAGCCATTAGCCACATGCAGCTGTTAAGCACTTGGAATATAGCTAGTTTGACTGAAGAATTGAATTTTTATTTATTTATTTTTTTTGAGACAGAGTCTCGCTCTGTCACTAGGCTGGAGTGCAGTGGTGTGATCTCAGCTCACTGCAACCTCTGCCTCCCGGGTTCAAGCGATTCTGCTGCCTCAGCCTCCCGAGTAGCTGGGACTACAGGCGTGTGCCACCACACCCCGCTAATATTTTGTATTTTTAGTAGAGATGGGGTTTCACTGTATTAGCCAGATGGTCTCGATCTCCTGACCTTGTGATCCGCCCACCTCAGCCTCCCAAAGTGCTGGGATTACAGGCATGAGCCACTGCGCCCGGCAAGAATTGAATTTTTAATTTTACTTCATTTAGTTCATTCAAATTAAAATATAAATAGCCACATGTGGCTAGTAGCTACCGTATTGGTCAGCTCAGAGGTAGTAGGTTTCTTAGGAAGGGTTCATGGGAACAATATTCCTTGAGTTCTTGCATGTTAACAGTTTGCCTGCTCCTTTTATATTTATAGGTCTGTTTTGCTGTATATAAAATCCTTGGCTCACATTTTCTTTCTTTTAGGATCTTAAGTACGTTACTCCATTTTCTTCTGGCATAAAAAGTTACTGTTGAAAAATCTGATGATAATATAATTTTTTTCCCTTTGAGTCATGTGCACTATTTGCCTAGAAGCCTGAAAGATTTTTTTTTCTTTTTTCTTAAAGCTCAGTCATTTTACTAGAATATGACTTAATGCTTCAGTAGACACTTCGTCACATTGACCAGAGATGATAATTTTATTAATTGTGAATGCCACTGCATGACATGGATTACCTAGAATCCCACTTTTCATTGACAAAGAGTTGAGCATTTTTTCCAGTCCACAGACACGGCCAAAAATCAATCTCCAAATCCAATCTTTGAGATCTTAGGGTCTATGTCCTGGTACCATTTTCTGTATCAGTCAGTGTCCAGTCAGGAGACAGAAACCACATCAATAATTACAACAGAGAATATTTATTTACTGATTTTTTTGAGATGGAGTCTTGCTCTGTCGCCCAGGCTGGAGTGCAGTGGCGCAATCTTGGCTCATCGAAACCTGCGCTTCCTGGGTTCAAGTGATTCCCCTGCCTCAGCCTCCCCAGTAGCTGGGATTACAGGCGCCTGCCATCACGGCTGGCTAATTTTTGTATTTTTAGTAGAGATGGGGTTTCACCGTGTTGGCCAGGCTGGTCTCAAACCCCTGACCTCAAGTGATCTGCCCACTTTTGCCTACCAAAGAGCTGGGATTACAGGCGTGAGCCCCCACACCCAGGTGAGAATTTATTATAAAAGAGAGGGCTGGGCGCGGTGGTTCACGCCTGTAATCCCAGCACTTTGGGAGGCCGAGGCGGGTGGATCACAAGGTCAAGAGATCGAGACCATCCTGGCTAACACGGTGAAACCCCGTCTCTACTAAAAATACAAAAAACTAGCCGGGCGTGGTGGCGCATGCCTGTAATCCCAGCTACTTGGGAGGCTGAGGTGAGAGAATGGTGTGAACCTGGGAGGCGGAGTTTGCAGTGAGCCGAGATCATGCCATTGCCCTCCAGCCTGGGTGACAGAGCAAGACTCCATCTCAAAAAAAATAAATAAAAAAAAGAGAGAGAGACAGTAATGATATAAATGGCACAACCATTTTAGATCTTTTACTAAGCACACAGTGTGCTCTTTCAGTAAGCAATTTCAAATATTGTTATTTTTTATTTAAGGAAAGACTTCAGTATCTGATCTGTTCCCCTGCTTTGGGTTGCTTCAGGTACTCCTGTGATCCATATGTTGGATTTTATCTGCCCATCATCAACATTAGTCACTTTCTCTTGACTTTATTTTTCCTCATTAATTTTTTATTGTAAAATTTTTCCTTCCTTCTACCCCCCAGTTTTAAGGCATTACTTGTCATGTTTATTTGCTTTTATTTTTCCCCTTTGGTAATCTTCACTTTATAAAAAAGTTTTTTCCTTTTATTGGTAATTTTTCCTTGAAGTCTGTTATGTCATTTCTGAGTTTTTTCTAATTGTGATTTGTTATTTTATTTATATTGTATTATTTTCTTAATATTTTTCAGCTCATTTTAAAATAGTATGTAATAGTTTGGGTTTTTTTTTTTTTTTTTTGAGACAGAGTCTTGCTCTGTCACCCAGGCTGGAGTGCAGCGGCGCAATCTCAGCTCACTGCAACCTTCACCTCCTGGGTTCAAGCAATTCTCCTGCCTCAGCCTTCCAAGTTGATCTGTTTTTGAGCATGACTTTCAGATATGCTTTCATTGTCTATAGCGATATTATTCTGTTCCGTCTTTTCCTCTCCTTCTCTTCTCCTTCTGCTTTTTCTTTTTCTTTTTCTTCACCTTTTAATAGAAACCTTGTATGGTATTTGATTTTGATACTTTGTTTGTTACTCATTTTAATGTAAATTTGGTTTTGGTTTTATTGAACTTTAAAAAAGATGTTTGTTTGAGATTTTTTTTTTTTCACTTTACAAAGGCTCTCTCTTTTCTTTTTTTTTTCTTCTTTCTTTTTTTTTTCATTTTTTCCCTGAGATTTCCTGGCTCTGTTCCCCTCCTGCACTTCGATCTGGACCTTCTTTTTCATTTAACTCTGTTGCTCCTACCCTGCCCCTCTCCTATTTCACTCCCAGAAGTTTATCCTGTGTGGTTCTGTTCTGGAAGGAAGCCTTGTTGGGCCTGTTTGAAGGGTTCAGAGGGATTTGACTGCTCCAGCCACTTAAAGGCCTTACTCCTTACACTCAGCCACTATTGGAATTTCTACTGCTATTCTCAAATCAGCCCGCTGCACTTGAAGTCAGTATCTGTTGCCTTATTGGGGAATTCTCAGTCCATCAGTTGCATCATTGTTGCTTTCCTCTGATTTCTCCAACACAGATGCTGATAACGTGTACATCTTGTTGTTACTGTTGGTCTTTTTTTCCCCCACCCATTTGTGTTTTGGGGTTTGTGGGGATACCTCATCACTTAGCTTTGTTGTAAATATTGGTTGTGTTTGGTTTTATACCAATTTTTTCTGTACGTTTTTATGGGAAGATTCAGCAAGATCTAAAACTATGCTGTCACTGCTGCCCCTATCTTCACCTTTTGAGTTTTTGACAGTGGTATTTATACATAATCCCTCAGGGATGTGATATTGTTTTTGATTCCCTGCTTGGTTCACTTCACTTGTCCCTTCCTTCCATGATAAGGAAATCAGCGTGGAGATTCTACCACTTGCCAAAATGGTATTCCAAATTTGTGTTCTGGAATGGGAAAATAACCACAGAATGGGTTCACGAACCCTCTTGGCCAAGATGGAGTCTGGCCAAAACTGCATGTATCACTTGACCCTCCTAAGTCCTTACTTCTACTAATGGATCACAGTTGCCTTTTGTGTCCCTAGGGGTAACACTGTCTAAGAACCAGTGTCCAGTAATACTCCCAAAGTCTAGATATTTCCTTTTCCCCAGTGCACAATTACCCTGGCAAATACCTTTGATTTTCTTAAGGAGACAAGAAGTTTACAATTCATACTTGGGACAGTGCCATAGGATCCTTCCTCATGGATATCTGGCTTCTTTATTCAGTGGGATCAAAAGTAAATTGGATCAGTTTCTGGAAATTGGGTAAGGAAATCTGACTTTTCATTGAGAGAACTCAAATCAGTCCACCACTTTTAGGACTTTTTTTTCTTGACATTTTTTCTGTCCATCTCTTTCAATCCTAGGAAGACCATAATACATAACCTCATTCTTGAGGGTCAAAACATTCTGATTACCACTATATTCCTGCCACTTACATGGGAGACAATTACTGCTGCCATTTGTCCTCTGCCACTCCAGAATCCTATCATCACAACTGAACTCAGACAGCCTGTTTCTACAGCAGTATCTCCTACATAAGACAGCCCTACCAGCTGGGCGCAGTAGCTCATGCTGGTAATCCTAACACTTTGGGAGGATTGCTTGAACCCAGCCGTTCAAGACCAGCCTGGGCAACGTGGTGAGACACCATCTTTACAAAAGATAAAAAAATATTAGCTGGGTGGCTGGGCACGGTGGCTCACGCCTGTAATCCCAGCACTTTGGGAGGCCGAGATGGGTGGATCATGAGGTCAGGAGATCAAGACCATCCTGGCTAACACGGTGAAACCCCGTCTCTACTAAAAATACAAAAATTAGCTAGGCGCAGTGGCAGGCGCCTGTAGTCCCAGCTACTGGGGAGGCTGAGAAAGGAGAATGGCGTGAACCCAGGAGGCAGAGCTTGCAGTGAGCCCAGATCATGCCACTGCACTCCAGCCTGGGCAACAGAGTGAGACTCCATCTCAAAAAAAAAAAAAAAATTAGCTGGGTGTGGTGGTGCCTATATTCCCAGCTACTTTTGAGGCTGAGGTGGAAGGATTACTTGAGCTTGGGAGGTTGAGGCTGCAATGAAACATGATCACACCACTGCACTCCAGCCTGGGTGACACAGCAAGACCTCATCTCAAAACAAAAACAAAAACAAAAACAAAAAACCTTGGCAATCACTGTATTGTTTTAAAGGATATTGGTGCTTGAACCACAGATGTACTTCTCTGTGTCTTAGTGAAGGGAGCACATTCTTTGGTCTCTTTTGGCCAACACGGAAGGTGAATGAACAGGTCATGCATAGTATTTCCATTTTAACATTATTAACTCCCCAAGTCTTTGGATTTTTTTTTTGCCTCTACATTATGTCAAGGAATTTTTGATAACACTTAGGGTAGGCCTCTTTTGAAACCAGATTTCATTTGATCTTCTTGAATTAGATAACTGAATTCTCTTGAATTAGATCACTGAATTCAAAATCTAGCAAACGAATCCATGATGATAATAATCCCTTCTGTTTGATCTAGCCTTTCCCCTATATGGGTCCATGATCACACATATTCCCTGGGCTTCTAGAGCTATAAATAAGCAGGAAATTGCAAATATTTAAATAGCTAAACTTTCTTGTCTCCCTGAGGCATGATGGGATTTGGCTTTTTTTAATAGGTCACAAGACAATGATAATTGTTGTGGTGGAACATGAAGATATTTGGCATCTTCTTGAAGGTAACTATCTCGGGGAGGTCACTGCAGGGTCTCCACGCAAAGCAGAACTGGCATGATTGGGTGGGGAAGAAGGGTTGCTTCTGCTGGTGAGCAAGGCACAGTGGATATTGGGGGCTCCAAGGACTCATATTCATCTGAATTTGCGCAACTGTTCTCATTTCAGTTCTCAAAGTTCCACTCTTTCTTAACCAAAGTCTAACTTGCACATAGAAGACCCAGTGAGGCTGTGAATTCAATTTAATTTGTGATTTAAAACTCGCATGATCAGCTTTGGCATCTTACTTTTGGACATCATCCCATTCAGTTTAAGAGATTAGAGATTGTTTGATGGCAGTTACAGAAACTCTCCAATCTTCTAATTTTGCCTTGAGCTTAGAATTTAAAGAAACGTAAAGGCCTGAGCCTTTCTTTAAGCTCTTCGGGGACTCAGAAGTATTCAGCCTGCCCCGTAGTCCTTGGTTGCCCCATTCTTGCCATACTGATACACCAAAAGGCATGCTTCAAGAGGCACTTAATGTAAGCCCACCAGCAGTGTGACAGTGTAAATAACTCTTTGCAACTGTGCCACAGGCTGCCAGTTTCCCATTTTTCAGTGGCAATTGAATCAGCCCTGCCTTCAAACCCAACCAAATCAGATAACCATTCCCAAATCCTTGTTGGTGACTCTGCTGTCTATAACTACTTACAGTCTCACAAACTTTATTAGTCAGGGCTCAGTATAGGAGATAGAAAACACTCTAGGCTTTTGAAGCATTAGCAGATTTTATATAATTAGAGGATTTTATATAAGAAATGAGGGCCAGGTGTAGTGGCTCATGCCTGTAATCCCAGGACTGTGGGAGGCCAAGGCAGGCAGATCATGAGGTCAGGAGTTTGAGACCAGTCTGGCCAACATGGTGAAACCCCGTCTGTACTAAAAATACAAAAATTAGCCAGGCGTGGTGATGCATGCCTGTAATCCCAGCTATTCGGGAGGCTGAGGCAGGAGAATTGCTTGAACTTGGGAGGTGGAGGTTGCAGTGAGCCGAGATCATACCACTGCACTCCAGCCTGAGCAACAGAGCAAGACTCCATCTTGAAAAAAGAAAAGAAAAGAAAAGAAATAAATGAGGTGCCTTAAAAATGGTTGGAAATACTAGAGTGGCATGAATCCGGAGACCACTACTGTAACTATTCAGCTCAGTGCGCATCATCATAGATGCTATTTAGAGATCAGGTATTTGGGGCTAGGAAGCCACTTCCTTTGTCACCATTGAAATGTTTAACATCCATGAAGGTGTTAACCAGGTACTGAGTCTGGTCATCACTGCCCCATAGCTGCTTTTGATGCTCATGTATGTATTCATGAGCCTGCTTGTTAGCAGAAATAGCAATAGGATAATAGCCTGTGAAGGGTTAATGGATATGAGGCTGTAAAAAAAGCATAAAGAAGTTTATATATAAAAAAGAGAGATGAGATGGCCACTAGTGGGAGAATACAGAGGAAAGGGACAGTTTCTGTTTGGATGTAAGAGATTTAAGCATTGTTATGGGCTGAGGGGGAAGGCAAAGAAGGAGAGGGTGGTTGAGGATGTAGGATAGGACACTAGGAGCAATTGATGAGACAAGCTCTGGAGGAAGTAGGAAGGCAGGAATCAGGGTGACAGTCATCAGGGTTGACCCCAAGCAGAAAAGCAAAAGGAGCAGGCTTACTCTGAGGAAAGCCAGGACCTTGAACGTGCAAAGATTTGACCCATGCAAGGACTCTGCTGGATGTGAGAAATCAAGGAGCATAATCATAGGTGAACGCGTGTCTGCTTCAGTCATACAAGAGCAGTTTTTGTAAAACAGACGACTGGATGTGGATATAGTTTCTATTTTTTCAAATGAAGAACTTATTTGGGGGCATCTCATCTTTCAAATTACTTTAAACAGGTTGGTGTCAGAGTTTACATAGGACAAATATAATCTAACATGTATTATGTAAAATATGAATGCTGTTCCACAACTACTCTGCGATCAGAGTTCTACACTCTTGTAAATGTGTGAAACTGACCAACACTGGATCAGTGTTACCCAGTGGGTTACCAGGACTCAACATGGCGCTGCTTAAACCTCATTTGTACACAGGGTCTTCCATTTCTGCTAGCCATCAGATCTCCATAACTTAACTCTAGCCATTGTTGATATGGCTCTTTGTATTGCCCTGAAAAGTAAGTTATCTTTGGTTGGGGAAAATAATGCAATAAGGTTGTATCCACTGTAAAAATGTCTACTCTTAGAAGTGAATATGGTAAGAACAAAACTTTTGGGCTAGGTTATGCAAAAAAGACCAAAAGCAGGTAACTAGGTCAGAATGCAACCTGCCTTTATCGCTCAGACTGGAGTGCAGTGGTGCAATTTCAGCTCACTGCAACCTCCACCTCCCAGGTTTAAGCGATTCTTGTGCCTCAGCCCCCCAAGTAGCTGGGATTATAGGTGTGCACAACCACAGCTGGCTAATTTTTAGGCCGGGTGCGGTGGCTCACACCTCTAATCCCAGCACTTTGGGAGGCCGAGGCAGGCGGATCATGAGGTCAGGAGATCGAGACCATCCTGGCTAACATGGTGAAACCTCGTCTCTACTAAAAATACAAAAAATTAGCCAGGCATGGTGGCGGGCGCCTGTAATCCCAGCTACTCAGGAGGCTGAGGCAGGAGAATGGCGTGAATCCGGGAGGCAGAGCTTGCAGTAAGCTGAGATCGTGCCACTGCACTCCAGCCTGGGTGACAGAGAAAGACTCTGTCTCAAAAAAAAAAAAAATTTTTTTTAGTAGAGGTGGGGTTTCACCATGTTGGCCAGGCTGGTCTTGATCTCCTGGGCTCAAGTTTCTGCCCGCCTCAGCCTCCCAAAGTGCTGGGATTACATGTGTGAGTCACTGCACCCAGCTTCAACCTGCCTTTACATCTGTCCTTTGCTAGGGCTGCTAAGCTCATAGCATCTGGGCAGGGGCTTTTGTGTGTCAGGGAAGGTGGAAAGTTCTCTTACTTTTGTCGATGTGGTCAGTGTGGGAAGCTATGTGGTGAGCAGAGGGGTGAAGTCTGAGCTAACTGCTTGAGCTAAGTAGAGATGTGGAAGGTGCTTTCTAAGGAAAAGGAAGAGAATTTTCAATTCCTTTCTTCTTCTTTGGTCAGTCTCGGTGTCAAGGGAGTCACTTGGCTGGGCCCTAAACTGTCCCATATAATCTCATCCTCACTCCCCCTACATACCCATCATCCTAGATAAACTTACAGTCCAAGTAAAAGTGGTTTGTGCAGATGTAATGCAAACATACCCTCAAGAAAGTTCCCTGAGCGACTCTTTTCAACCAGACAGCTGGCCCAAGCCCTTACTATATAGTTTGAAGCTGTTGCAGTCTTTGATCATATTACATGTTCTAATGCTTTATTTTGAAAGCAAGGCTGAGAAACACTTTCCTATAATATGTTAAAAATTTGTCTGTGGTTCTCCTTCCTCCCTGTTACATCCTCCAGGGGCTCAATGCCTTTCACTGCCTCTATTTGCCAAGATCTCCAATTCTCTTACCCACCGCAAATCTAGAGCTCTTCCCCCATCTTTTGAGATGAATCTTACCTGTGTCCCTTTTTCTCAGGGCTCTGCAAGGTGACTGGCTAGCTAATTTAATTAACTAATGCACAATACAGTCCCATTGGCTTCATGCATCACCCTTTGAGGATAACATTTACATTTTAAATGAAGCTTCTTAGACTGTCAAGCTGGACAAGTAGCTTATAGATCATCAGGACAAATGCACTAATTTTGTAGAAGAGGCCATTAAGGCTCTGAGGCCTCACTGGACTTGCTGGGGGTTTTGGGGCTGGTAAGGGGCAGAGTCAGAACTGGAATCAGTTTGGAGTTTAGTGCATCTTGCCCAATTACATATAAACTCTCATAACAGGATTAGTCAATAGAGGAACCTGCAAGTATTAAAGAGAAAAAAGTGTTTTGAATTGTGTATTTATTTGATATTTAGCATGCATTTACATACAAAGTTGTCATCACTCCTTACCTACAATTCCTTTCTTTGTTTTGTTTTGTTTTGTTTTTGAGACAGAGTCTCACTCTGTCTCCCAGGCTGGAGTGCAGTGGTGCGATATTGGCTCACTGCAACCTCTGCCTCCCAGGTTCAAGCGATTCTCCTGCCTCAGCCTCCCAAGTAGCTGGGGTTACAGACATGTGCCAGCACGCCCAGCTAATTTTTGTATTTTTTTTAGTAGAGATGGGGTTTTACCATGTTGGCCAGGTTGGTCTTGAACTCCTGACCTCAAGTGATCCACCCGCCTCAGTCTCCCAAAGTGCTGGCATTACAGGCGTGAGATGCCGTGCCTCGCTAAAATTCCTACTCTCACCAGTGTCTCTGTGATATGCTTAGCACAGTGTATTGCAACTGTTTTTACTTGTGTGCCTCTGCACCTGGACAATGAGCTCCCAAGGACAGTGACTGGGTTGTATTTGTCATTGCACCCAGCACCAAGGTCAAGATAGGGCAGAGTGGGAATTCAGTACGTATTGCTGAAAGAATGGATGTAAGCATAAATGATCACCAGGCACCGCTGTGCTGTGGTTCTGAACAAAGTTGTTCTAGTGATGAGGCATCTTTCCTAACATTCTTCAAACCATGTCAGATACTTACTGTCTTTCTCTACTTCCTCCTAAGACTGGTTTCTAATTTTATATTTTTGTGTCGTTGACAGTATACATTGGCGTTATCTCTCTAGTTTCTTCTACTTCGTAAGACTTCTTTGTCTCATATGGTTATCATTTCCCTTTTGCAAGATTAGGAAGTGACATACTTTAAGAATACCAGATTAATCTGTTCTGAGTTTTTTTATTCTCAGCTGGGATAAAAAAAGAGTCTTTTGAAGAGCCTTCAAATCAACAGTAATTTCAAATTTTCACAACATAAAGAGGCAGAGCGCAAAGTGAATTTGACACTTTGAAAAATGCCGTAAGCCTCCCAGTAGATGGATGAACATGTTTCCACTTCATGAAAGCTTGTTTCATAAGTATTCCATAAATATCGATGTCAGGGTTGTTAAGTAATTAATATTAACCTATTGAGAAAGCGTTTCTTTTCTACGTGGTTGATTTCCAGTGGGGAGACTAATTAAATATTAAAGACCATGTGAAATGTTTTCTATAATTACAGTTTCTAGCTGTATTTACAAATGATGTGCCTACATACATAGTGAAATAATCATATGACTTTAATACATTTTTATTCCTATATAGCATATGTAGATTTTTTCAATCTAGATTTCCTCCGCTCAAGCCTGTCTATCGTTATTTATTACCCTTCACAATTGCCCTTATAAACTTTTCCCTCTTTCCACTATGATTTGGAAGGTTACCGTTCCACATTCCACACCAGCCTCTCTGGTGCTTTTTTTTTTTTCTGTTGTGTGTGTTTTAATCACAAACAACCTCCATATGTAGGGTAAATTAAAGTTTGTTAAGACAATGGGAGATGTAGCAACATAGCTTAAAATAAAACTTGAGAGTAGATTCTAAGTGTCCACATCACAAATCAATGATAAGCCTGTGAGGTAAGGCACATGCTAATCGGCTTGATGTAGCCATTCCACAGTGCATCTACATTTCTAAACATCATGTCATATGCCATAAGTATATACAACTTTTAGCTGTCATTTTATTTATTTATTTATATTTATTTTTTGAGACAGGCTCAACAGGCTCACTCTGTTGCCCAGGCTGCAGTGCAGTGGCACAATGATGGCTTATTACAGCCTTGGCCTCCTGAACTCAAGTGATCCTCCCATCTCAGCCTCCCAAGTAGCTGGGACTACAGGTGTGTCCCACCACACCTGGCTAACTAAAAGAAAATTTTTTTTTTGTAGAGACAGGGTCTCATTATGTTGCTCAGGCTGGTCTCAAACTCCTGGGCTCAAGTGATCCTCCTACCTCGGCCTCCCAAAGTGCTGGGATTACAGGTGTGAGCCACCATGCCTGGCCCGTTAGCTATCAGTTTAAATAAATGAATGCATCTAACTAATAGGCTTGTTCTTTTTTTTTTTTTTTTCTTTTTTTTTTATAGACAATGCCTTGCTCTGTCTCTTAGTCTGGAATGCAGTAGCACAATCAGGGCTCACTGCAGCCTCGAGCTCCTGGGCTCAGGTGATCTTCCTGTCTCAGCCTCCCAAATAGCTGGGACCACAGGCATGTACCACCGTCCTCGGATAATTTTTTAATTTTGTTGAAGAGACAACGCAGTGAAGGTCTCACTATGTTGCCCAGGCTGGTTGCAAACTCCTAGGTTCAAGTGATCCTCTTGCCTCAACCTTTGAAATAGTTGGGATTACAGGCGTGAACCACTGTCGCCCAGCCAGTAGGCTTGTTCTTACAAGTTCTTTGTCTGCCCCCCTCCCCCTTCTGCCTGCCCATGGTTTCCTTTCTCTCCTTCCTTCTCCCTCATCTGCTCAGTCTCTCATCTACACCCTTCCCAGAAACCAAAAGGCTGTTTCAGATTCTTCCCGGTGTCTACACAAAGCAATCGAACCCTCTCTACCTTATTCCAAATCCCTGCAACCCCTGACTTTTCTTTGTAAATGTGGGAACTCTGTGAAAACTTCAAAATCCCTGTACAAGCCACTACTTTCTTTGAAAATCCTCCTTCTCATTCTCTGGGTGGGAATGGGTCATGCCTAGTTTTGGCTCTTTCATGACCCTTAATTTTCAAACAGAAATCTTCATATACTTTTAGATTTTACTAACCCCTCAAAAGCACATGAACAAGAAGCCAGTTCTAATTTTTGCTTTCATTTTTCTTTACATATTTTTTGCTGTAAAAATACATCACATGTTTGGCAATTTTAGATTATTGACCTTAAGGAATAATTGAAAGAAAAAATTTCAGAAGCATCCTGCTGACCTTGCTAAATATTTGAATAAGTTAAGTGGATTCAAGCAGAATCGTTTCTGATGTAGAGAACCTAGGATTGTTTTTAGAACGTAAAATGCTATGACTTTCACATGTGCATTAAAAGAAGATTTGATTTGCTGTGTTTAAAAAGAGAGAAATAACTTTGAATAGAACATTTACCTCATATGGAGAAAAACATTTTAACATCAAACAAAATTTGCTCATTTAAAAAAAAAAAGCCCACATTTTATTCTCCAAAAAACAAGGACAGAGATTAACTTACTAATGGTTTGGAAGCTCTGCCTTCTTCCATTTGAGGCAGAGTCCTCAGTAGCTACACACTTGAGAATTTACCCGATTGGTACCTGCAAGAAGGAAAATCATCGCTCACACACTTTCACCCACAGTCACAGGCTCAAGCACACTTAAGTCAAGGCTATTCCAAAGACTAATATCAGATGGAGAGCTCCTAAATCTTTTGTTCAGTGGATTGGATCAGGCATGATGGCTTTTCTGAAAAGAGCTTCCCTAACTTTTGGTTCATTTAGCACTTTAAACCAGGAAAATAAGAATACAAACTGGATTCTTTCCAAGTGTTTACAGATTAATAGACATTTTGGCCACTCGCTAACTATGTAAGTATTGTTTAAGTAGTAACCACATGTAGACACAGGTGGTATGGCCTCTCTACATCAAAGTGCAAGAAGTGGGTGCATTGTTGATGAACAGCACACACTAGGCAGTTTTGGGGGCAGCAGAAATTCACTTTACGCAGAGGTCATTCCCAGACCTTTTGCTAAGCTGTTCATTCATCCATGTAACATATTTTTAAGTCCTATGTACCAGTCACTGTACTATGTACCAGTCCTATGTACATATTTTTGAGTCCTATGTACCAGTCACTGTAATTCAGAGGAGATACAAATTCCAAAGATGTATTTGTCAGGATTCTTGGTTGCAAGTGTCAGAATGTAACTCGAATGCTTTAAGCACAAAGGAGAATTTATTGGCTTATAAACTGGGAAATGCAGAACATATTTGCTTCTCATATGCTAGATCTAGGGGCAAAATAAAATTATTTAGGCTCTATTTCCATATTCTCATTGTACCTCCTCTAATGTTAAGTTAAATCCATGGATGTGCTCTTTTCATGAGGGGAGAAAGATGGCTGCTGATGGTCCAGGGCCACTATCATTTTTCAATTCTAAAGTAAAAGAAGAATCTTCTCTTTCCTGGATCCATATATTAATGTCATGGAAAGACTCTCTTCAATTTGCCAGTGCTTGGATCAGACATTATTGTTAAGAAGATATGGTACCATGATTGGCCAGGCCTGGGTCACGTGCCCAAGCCTGTTGCAAGTAGGTAGACAGGGAAGTGTGATTAATAGTCTCAGCTGAACCACATGGGATAAAGGAGTAGCACTTTCCCAGTGAAAAGGATGGTCCTGGGCAGAACAGTATAACTGATGCTCACAATAAAAGACAGTCTCTTCCCTAGGCTCTCAGTATGGTGAGTGAGACGGACGTTTAAACAGCTACAGCAGTTAAATGAATGCTAATGCAGGAGAGTACTGTATGAACACAGAGTGGGGACTTAGAACTCAGATTTGGGGGATCAGTGGTGGTTTCCTGGATGGTGCACCCCTTGGTTGAATCTTGATGGGCAAACAAACAGGGATTATTGAGCGAATGGGGGAGTGCAACAGAAACAGCACAACCAAAAGCAGGGCCATGTCAGAGGGTAAGGGCTATTTGAGGAACTCGAAATAGTTTGAAATGGCTGGAATGCAGCATGTTCCCGGGAAATGTCAGGGAAAGAGGCTGAAGAAGCACCCAGGACCAGACTATGAAGGGTCTAAGTGACTCATAAGGGATCTGAAATATTTAAAGCAGGCAAGTTATTTGTTCAAGCATGTGTGTGTGTGTGTGTGTGTGTGTGTGTGTGTGTGTGTGTGTGTGTGTGTGTGTATTTGAGACATAGTCTCACTCTGTGGCCCAGACTGGAGCATAATGACACAATCTTGGCTCACTGCAACCTCTGCCTCCCGGGTTCAAGCGATTCTCCTGCCTCAGCCTCCTGAGTAGCTGGGATTGCAGGCACCTGACACCACACCCAGCTAATTTTTGTATTTTCGTAGAGATGGGATTTCGCCATGTTGGCCAGGCTTATCTTGAACTCCTGACCTCAAGCGATCCACTCGCCTCAGCCTCCCAAAGTGCTGGGATTACAGGCATGAGTCACTGTGCCCGGCCCAAGCGTGTGTTGATGGCAGCATAGATTAAGAGGGAAATGGACTGGGGGGAGAGACCTGTCACAGTAATCCGAGTGAAAAATGATGAAGATCTAATTTTATTTTATTATTATTATTATTAAAAAAAATTTTTTTTGAGACAGTCTCGCTCTGTCACCCAGGCTAGAGTGCAATGGCGTAATCTTGGCTCACTGCAGGCTCCATCTCTCGGATTCAAGCAATTCTCCTACCTCAGCCTCCCAAGGAGCTGAGACTATAGGCACATGCCACCACGCTGGCTAATTTTTGTATTTTTAGTAGAGATGAGGCTTCACTATGTTGGCGAGGCTGGTCTTGAACTCCTGACCTCAAGTGATCCGCCTGCCTTGGCCTCCCAAAGTGTTGGGATTACAGGTGTGAGCCACTGTGCCCAGCCTGAAGACTTAAATTTAAATAATGCAACTCAGGAGATAATATTGGCAGGACTTGGTGAGTGATTGGATGCTGTTGGTGAGAGAAAGAGAAGAGTCTGACATGATTATCAATTTTCAGTAGATGGTGCCATAATTCACCAACATAAACAATCAGAAGTTTTTGGCAAAAAATCATGAATTTGGGTTTGGAAAGCATCTTTATGATGCAAATCTGACATGCTCCCAGAAGCTGGATGGCCTCATTAGAGACATTGCAGAAGATGTTCCTGTCTACAATAGACAGAGGGACAAACAAGATGACTTCTCATGATCCCTTCATGCCTCACTCTCATAAAAAGTGCACCTCTGTCGTGTGTGTGTGTGTGTGTGTGTGTGTGTGTGTGTGTGTGTGTGTTTGAGACAAGCTCTGACTCTATCGCCCAGGCTGGATTGTAGTGGTGCGATCTCGGCTCACTGCAACCTCCACCTCCCAGGCTCATGCCATCCTTCCACCTCAGCCTCTCGAGTAGCTGGGACTACAGGCTCTCACTACCATGCCCTGCTAATTTTTGTATTTTTTTGTAGAGATGAGGTTTTGCCATGTTGCCCAGGCTGGACTCGAACTCGTGAGCTCAAGTGATCTGCCTGCCTCAGCCTCCCAAAGTGCTGGGATTACAGGTGAGAGCCACCTCACCCAGCTAAAAGTCCATCTCTTTTAACCTCATTTCCCTTCCTGCTGTCTGAAGCTCCTGTGATTTTGTTATGTCTGATACTGCTTTGGTACAGTTTGCTTCTATCTCTATGGGCCTTGTACAGAAAGGAGGGAATTTCAATACTTACATTTTATTGGCTTAGTCTTCACAAGTTAGAGATAGCTGCCCAATGATATAAAAGATGGAGTGGTGCTTATTAATTTCCTCCACAGTGTAGGAAGAAGGATGGAATCAAAGTCTATCTTTGTTTTTTGTTTTTTTTCAATAGGCGATTGCTACATTCCTAGTTTTTCTTTATCATAATCACCTTTACACTTCAAAGCTCGCAAAGTAGAGTCCAGCCTCCCTTGTCTGACCTAAAATGCCATGAACAACCTGGTTCAATCCATCTTTCTAGCCCCATTTTTTCCTACATCCTAATGTAGACCCTCAACTCTGATCAAAGTGGTCTGACCTTCAAATGGCAGACTGCAACACAGTGCCTGGCACATATCAGCCCTTAGAGTTGTTGAATTTTTGAAAGAAAATTTAGAGGAAATCAAGTGCCTCTTGTTTCCTCTTTTTGAAAGGATAGTTTTTTTCCCCCTTCTGGTTAAATAAGGTTTTCATGGTAAAAATTAAAACACACCCCAAAATATAAAGACTAAAATATGGCCGGGTACAGTGACTCACGCCTGTAATCCCAGCACTTTGGGAGGCTGAGGTGGGTGGATCACAAGGTCAGGAGTTCAAGACCAGCCTGGCCAAAATGGTGAAACCCCGTCTTTACTAAAAATACAAAAATTAGCTGGGTGTGGTGGTAGGTGCTTGTAATCCCAGCTACTCGGGAGGCTGAGGCAGAAAATAGCTTGAACCTGGGAGGCGGAGGTTGCAGTGAGCCGAGACCACGCCACTGCACTCCAGCCTGGGTGACAGAGCAAGACTGTCTCAAAAAAATAAAATAAAATAAAATAAAATAAAATAAAATAAAATAAAAATTACTGAGAATTTCATTAACTAGGGTTAACCATTGGTAACATTTAGGTGTTTGTGTTCTGAGTTCTGTTAAACATTTATCCTGAACTTTTCCCTGTATCTTTTTTTTTTTTCTTTTGAGACAGGGTCTCACTCTGTCACCCAGGCTGGAGTGCAGTGTCATCATCTTAGTTCACTGCAACCTCTGCATACCAGGCTCAAGTGATTCTCCTACTTCAGCCTCCTGAGTAGCTGGGACCACGGGCATGTGCCACCATGCCCAGCTAATTTTTGTATTTTTTGTAGAGACAGAGTTTTGCCATGCTGCTCAGGCTGGTCTTGAACTCCTGAGCTCAAGCAATCTGCCCATCTCAGCCTCCCAAAGTGCTGGGATTATAGGCGTAAGCCATTGTGCCTGCCCCACATATTTGAGTACTCAAGATAATATGCCTTTTAATTGTCTGTATAAATATCTTACTTAAGATTCTCTTTTTTTAAATTTTAATTTCAATTTTTTGTAAAGATAGGATCTTGCTCTGTTCCTAGGCTGGTCTCAGACTCCTGACCATGAGCCATCCAGACTTGATTTAAAAGAATCCTTGATTCATATAGCCAACCTGTTTTTTAGAATAATTCTGTCATTTATATTCTTACAAAATTGTATAAAATTATTTTTCTGGATATTTGGACATATATTAGGTTAAAAGCTGCTGTGGGGTTTTGCTTTGTAACGTTATTAAAAATCTAAATCAGTTGGTGGATAATTTATATTTAATGATATTTAAACTTCCAGTAGACTACATCTCTTTTCTTATTCCAGTGCTATTTTCGGTCCTTTAAATTTTCAAAGTTTTTTTCAACTATAAGTAGATTCTACATGTTTCTTGTTAAGTTTATTCCTAGATATTTATAATTTCTATTGATATTAAGAATGGGATACTTTTCTATTGTATTTTCTAATTAGCTACCTTTGCAACATAAGAAAGCTATTGATTTTTAAACATTCACTTATGTTTAAAATTTCCTTCCCATATTGTAAAGGAGGGAAAAAAGGAGATGTTTCAACTCTCTTCCAAACATGGCTTGCAATTTATTCTCCTCTAAATTTAGTTCATATGGTCTGGCTGCCCTAGGAAGCCCTTCGAATGCTTTTCTACCTAGGAAAATCGTAATAACGAGGAAGAGACTGTGGAGAGCCTTCCTGAACCCCAGGTTCTGCAATCACAAAGAGCACTGGCCACATGTGCTCAGGACCATTGCCAATGCTGTGTTCTCTCTGCTGTCAGGCTCTGTGGCTTCTCTGCAGATGGCAATACCAGCCACCAAAGAGGAAATGAAATGCCTGGTCATAGCTCACAACTGCTGGGCTCCCTGGTGGGCAAAAGCACCCACACTTGTTGGCCTTGGGGTCACAGAACACCAGCCTCTTTGTTTATATCCCTCCAGTCATCTCTATACTCTGATATAGTTGTGGTGTTTATTTATGGCCTTAGTCCATTTGGGCTGCTATAACAAAATGCCATAAACTGGGCGACTTATAAACAACAGAAACTTATTTCTCACAGTTTTGGTGGCTGGGAAATTCAAGATTAAGGGGCCGGCAGATTTGGTGTCTGGTGAGGGCCTGTTTTCTGGTTCATAGATGGCGTTTTCTCACTGTGTCCTCACATGGCAGAAGAGGCGAGGGATCTCTCCGGAGTTTCTTTTATAAGGGCCCTAATTCTATTCATGAGGGCTCTGTGCCACCTATGAACCAGAAAACAGGCCCTCACGAGACACTGAATTAGACCCCATGATCTAATCACCCCCCAAAGGCCCTGCCTTCTACCACCATCACCTTAGGGGTCAGGATTTCAAAATATAGATCTTGGAGAGACACAGCCATTCAGACCAGAGCATTCAGCTCTTGTCTTTCAGCTCCCAAACCGCTGTTCTATGGTCTGTTCTGTGATGGTGGGGTCGGGGTCTGCAAAATACATTTCCCAGAAACTCTTTCTGGTTGGCTCTCTATTAGCCAGTGGGAGATTAGCTAATAGGAAGAGGGAGATTAGACGATGAAAAGAGGAGGGACTTTTTCTGTTTCTAGCGTTGGTGTCGCTACGGCAAAAACAGCAGCAAAATGCAGCTATGGCTTCAGCCCCAGTTTCAGTTGGCACCCCCCAAACCAGTTGCACTATTCCCTCTTTGCAGAACCTGCACCGGCCAGTCACGCCCTTTCCTGAGGTCTGAGCACCAGCCTGTAGGTGGGGGCCCTCCTCTGACTTAGGGTTTAGACCTGTTCTCCTTTGTTTCCCTAACCTTTGACTAATAGCTGTTTCCAGTAGTTACGAATATTTGGGCTATCCATGCTTGCCTTTTTGTCTTCTTAGACTTCCAATTTTTTGCAACCAGTTCTTTGCAACCAGTTCTTTAATTGCCCTCTATTTGTAACATCCAGCTTGGTTTTCTTGGTTTCTGTTTTCCTGAATGGACCCCAGCTAATACAACAGTCATCCCCATTAGGCTGAGGAAGAGTCTGTGGTCATTTTGTTTGAACACAACCAACCCATACCTGGCTGCCCAGATACCATGAGACCATCTCCTATGATGAAGATGGTTCTGCTCCTATTTCATCAAGAAATTGAGGAAATCATACATAAGTTCTATAGACTTTTCCCTTCCTCACCAATTAATGTAACTGGAAAAGGAAAACACACTCTTCCCTGCATCAACTGCTGAGCTTTGGACATCCTATCTCAACTGCCTGGAGCCCTTCTTCTCCCTCTCCTCTCCTCTCCTCTTCTCTCCTCCCCACTGACACATGCAATACATATTTGTTAAATGAATGAGTGAATGATTTGGCTAGAATTGCCATTTCTAAGGCTATTAGTGATACAGTGTTCACCAAATTCAATGGACACCTTCAGACCTTACTCTGTTTCTCTGCTGGTGTTAGTGCTTTAATCCCTTGCTTTCCATGACTTCACTCTCTCCTGGTTCTTTTCCCACCTCTCTTGTGATTGCTTCTCAGTCAGCTTGGTAGCCCCCTTCATGGAGGTCTCATGATATCTCCATTTAATTTGCCACTCTAGGCCCTGAATACACCAAATGGATACTGGATGATGACAGTAGATTATTCAATGAATTTTTGCCTTTTCTCTAAGATGCAATATTGTTTCTGATTTACTCTTTTGATAGAGGAGAGGGCAGTGCATTTTCAGAGACCTCTCCTTGGCCTTACCCACTATGGTAGCTTTTATCTTATGGATCAAGGACCCAGTATAGAAGTTGCACCAACTTCCAAGTATATCAAACCCATTTATACATTCAAGGACAGGGAAAAGGACAACTGTGTGAGTTCATGGATCCAGTGAACACACTGTAAACTGGACCCTGACTAGGATTTGATCTTTTGCCTAGCCCTGTAGTCCTGCACCCTGAGATAGAGGGCATGGTGATGGTTCTGATTGCTAAGTATTCATGTCAACTCTGTCCAACAGCCCTTGAAATATTTGAGTATTTCTTTTTCTTCAGTGTGTAGCTATCTAAGTACATGGCCATAGGTGCCTTGGGGAAGGACTGGGGAAATGATGACCATGTACACTTGCTGTGGTGTTACAGAGTCCCTTCTCCTGGAGAACTGGCCTCCAGTTCAGCTAGTGAGTCTGAGTTTGAAAACAGATTCAAGTCCAGAAATTGGACAAGAGATTGTGACATTGTTTAGAGTATCTGCCCTCAGCCTCCTGTCATCTGTCCTTGATTTATTTGGAGGTAAATGCTGGTGATGACCCTTGTGGGCTGCCCATCTCTTTTGCCTCGATGAGCGCCATGTTCTGTTAGGTATTTCAGTGCATCTCCACAGGTTAGGCCCTCTTGGCTGCCACTGAGGCCATGCTTTCATTGTGATAATTGTGTCTACTTAACTTCTGGCGGTCAAGCTCCACCACCAGACCTTCACTGCTTTGGGGACCGCATCATACCAATTGCTTTGTAAGTCTATTTATGAAATAACCTCTCTTACTAGTACCTCCTTCTGAGGAGGGCTCTGGAACATTTTGTTGATGCTCAGAAGAATGGAAAGAGTTTTAAGCAGGGGTCAAACTTTTGATTCACAGAGGTTACTGTGGCAGCTTTCTGCCATTCTCACCAGCAGATTCCTTCTGGTCTTGGTAAATGGTCTTGGCCTTCTCATGAAACACAATCATTTAGTGAATCTTCTGGTTTTATTTACTATGTCCACTCCAGCATGCCTACTTCTCTGAGCCTTTTAATCACTTTTGCAACCATCTGGCACAGCAATTATGGCATTTTGACTTCATTTGATGTGGTCCATTGCTTGTTCCTTACTTTTAGGAGCTATCCTAGAAGGTGTTTACATCATCTCCTGGGGCCCTTGCCAGAAAGTTAAATCTTGTATTTTGTCAGAGTGCTCTGAAATCAATAAGCCCACCCCATTCAATCTTATGTTCCAGCCTCCTTGATCAAGCACCCTCAGAATTCAGCCCAGTACTGAGTGCCCAGCTTCTGCTGGTACATATTGACTATGTTTTGTAGTACCTTTGGGGAATAGTCCCTTTCCTCCCTTATCAAGCCTTGGATGGTCTAACGCTGGTGGGATTATATCGTGACCTGATCCTAGTTATAGGCCTACTGGTAAGGGAGAAATTGGGAACAGGTCCTGAGGGGGCTATATGTTGTCTTTCAGATCAGAGGCCTCTTCATTGTCTTCAAGCAAGGAGAAGTTCTTGCTCTTATTAGGGAGGAATGGACATTTCTCAGGCTGAAAGAATTCAGAGAAGTCTAGGAGTTCAAAATTTGAAGGGGCATTCAACCACATGATTCCAAGTGTTCAGTCCTATTTGTTTCCCAGCCAAGGCCCTGACCCTGCATAACAGATATGCTTTGGTTGGTCATTTAACCTTTTCTGGTGCTTGGCCACTTTGACCTTAACTTTCTCTGCCCTCTCACCGCAGTAGATGACAGCCTCATTATGAGCTGCTAGGGAGCTAATTTCTCATTATATCCTCACATGGAAGAGGAGCGGGGAAAGCTCTCTGGAGTCTCAGCTGCCGTCTCCTGACTCCACCATCAAAAAGGCCGGTTATCCCATGGCCCAGCTTCTAGATTTCCCGGCTAGGGGTCAGAATACAAGCCATGGTGGTATCTGCCAACATGTTACTCTCTCCATGTGGTGCAATGGAAACCCCTTGCACATGGCTTGAAATGAACGTGGTAGATCCCTGCATTGTTAACTCCCCATCTTCTGCCAACTCACATATAAACCCCTTTATAGAAAAGTGTAGGAACTCAAAGTGCTGTTCAAAAAGTCCTAGATTATACCTGCCACTTAGAAAAAGAGAAGCCTGTCAATTTTACAGTCACTAAGTATGCTTTCTACTTAGTTGTTGCAAGGTCAGAAAGACCCACTTATCCAATTAGTGGGGACATGAGACAGTGATGGCTCTGTCTTAAAATAGATAGAAAGGATGATGCTGGGAAAAGAATTCTGACCCTAATTTAAGAAAGATGCTATTAAAATAATGAGTCAGTGTTTCAAATGATGTATCTAAGGAGATGTTCTAGCCAGTCTTGTAGGTTCTGTTCTTAAGAGCGAGATCTCTTTAACAGAGACCACCAGGAAGAGTGAAATGCAAGGATGGAGAGCTCACTTGCTCACAATGACATCAATCTTAGAACTTTTATACTCACCAGGGAAATTTCTTTGCTGAAAAAGTGTTAGATGGAAGAACAGTAGAGGTTACTCAGGCAGTAGTTATTACTGTTGTTTTCAATCAGCTTTCTTAGGTTGAAAGTATGAATGAATTTTTTCTGTATGAATAAAGAACACTTATTTGCTAAAAAAAATTAGCAATTTTTTTTGAGGAGTCTCATGCATCAGGCACTGAAGAAAGAATAGTAAAGAAGATATTAAAAGGGGACTTATAGACTATTAGTAGAAGAGAATGTTAAGAATATACTTAAAGAAATCTGTAGCATCACCTGTAGTATTTTTCCAATAAATTTGCCTTGAAGAACAGTGATTTTGTATTTTACCTCTTAATATACAGGCTACAAGACAATCTCAATTCAAAAGACAGTGAAAATTATAATAATAATGCCATAAATTATAACTGTAATAATAATTTTATTTTGTAAGTAATATTTATCGAGCACTCACTATATACTAGACTCTATGCCAAGCACATTTGTAGATTAGTTTATTTAATTTTTATAACAACACTTTTAGATAAGTTTATTATTTTTCTGTTTTTATAGACGTGAAATTTAAGGCACAATCATGGGATGGCAGTCTGATTCTTAACCATGGCTTCATGCAATCTGGGAGTGAAAACACTGCACGGATTCCCTCAGCTGTAGATGGAATCAGTTGTAAATGGGATCTGTCCTCAGGCGATTAGAGCAGCTAGCCCAAGTTTTCTTGGTTACAAGGGAAAGGCTTCTGGCGCTCACCTCGATTTTGTGATTTTTCATGTGTGTAAATGATAAGAATCTACTAGATTTTCTCCTAGAGCACATTTGTTCCATTAGTATTATCACCTTGGCCTGCTTTGTGTTTGAAAAATCAGTGACATCCTGTTGTAAGCTTTCATCTTGCTTCCCTCATATGAAATCGTACTCAGAGCAGCGAGGCATTTGAAAGCAATGAACTTCAGGGAATTGTCTAGGCATCTGGGAATAACAAAGCCTTCGTGAAATATTCTCACTGCCCGTGGGCTATGTGAGCCCCAAATGCATCACACCCTTTACAAGGGAGCCTCTTCCTTGCCTGGCAGAACTGAGATCCGCTCCAAGAACACTTCCTTGACTCTAGCTGGTGCCCACTGGTGCTCTATTGGTGGTTCCAAAACCTCCTCTTTCAGAGGCAGAAAGAAGCTCATGGTTCCACGGTGGGGTGCCAAGTACTTCACCCCACTGCTACGTACTTGACCGCATGGAGATGAATTTCAGGAATATCTGCTAGGAAAGAAAGACAGGACCTCATGCTGAGAGAAAAAGTCCCCCAAGTTGAGTTGGCGCTCTGGAAAACAACTGGATATGTCATTAGTCTTTATTACAGTTTCCACAGACTAAAAAAATTGTTTATAAAACAAAAGCAGCCTACAATTTGGTATGGTAACATTTTTTAGAATTTTGTTTTTGCACAGCAGAAAACAGGGCCGATGTGGTCATGGTGGAAATGAAGCCAGTTCTGTTACCCCAAAGCACCTCTCCTAAAACACTAATCTGAGTAAGCCAGGCCCGACGTTGCCAGGAACAGCCGGCAAGGCTCTTTGGAGAGACTTCCGGGACAAAACGCTCCAAACAACCACAGCAAAGCCCCACACCATGCAACAACTTGTACATGGCACACCCAGGCTCTGATGGCTCACATTTTTAGAAGTAGAAGAAAATCTACCAGTTCCCCTCCTTTCTTCCATTCCAGTGGGAGTTAATCACAGTTGTTATTTCCTGGACAGTATCTTGGTATACATGATTCTCGCCTTTCCTCTACCACGAAGACGTCCTAGGCAAATGGAGACATCTCTCTTGTTTGCAGTTCTTTGGTTCTCAGTCAGTGAAATATGCCAAGTGAAACATCCAAGTTTCCTGCTCGATGCTTTGGGCCAGATCATGTGAAAACTAAAGAAAATCCATGTTTCCTGGCTTGGAGAACAAGAGTAACCAGCTACTTATTAATCGCAAAGGAAGTGTTACAAAAAGGTTAGACTCATGGTGAGAAAGCAAAACTGTTTAGGAAATCTATTAAAATTTGGGGGTTGGGAGACCTCCTTTTGGTTTTTTCTTCATTTTCCATGTGACTAGAATAATTTATTTTTCCCTTTCCTGTCATTCTGAAATTAAATTCAGAAGTGCCTGCCGCAAGCAAGAAATTTTAGGGAACGTTCTTATATTTTAGAGGCTACTGTACTTTGGAAACTATTTGGATAGTTCTTACACCTATATTTTCTCAGGAAAATAAAAATAGATTCTTCATTTGTCTGATTCATTCAATGGCATGATGACTCAGGGCTGAACAAGGACAGACAAGTCTCTTGCCCTCAGCAATTTGTATGTTATAAGTGGGGGAGATATACAATCAACTTGTAAATTCAAAAATCTATAATTTAATTTCCAACAGCAATAACACTTTAAGGAAAAATAAGGCACTATATTAAGATAAGGATATAGAAAATGAATAGGTAAGGTGATTAGAGAAGACTTCTTGGAGGAGAAGATACCTGAGCAGAAAGACTGGAAGGAGTGAGCCATACATAGTTCTAGAGGAAAGGCATTCCCTAGACAGGCAAAGCCAGTGGCTGATGCCAGTGTGGAAGGGGAAGTGGTGGTGTTTGAGATTAGAAAGGTAAGCAGAGACCAAAGCCTGTAGGCTCCCGTTTAGCATGACAAGGCATTTATATTTTATTCCAAGTGTCATGGGAAGCTTTCGGGAGACTTTGTTTATTGTTAACTTGTTCTCTACTCAGTTCCAAAAAGAGGTAGAAATACTTTTATTTATTTATTCAGCAATTATTTATTGAGTATTAACCATATATCACCTGGGTTCAGTGCTAAAAGAGTTGTGACCTCTGTAACCAAATGACAGAATAAGAAAATAACATGAACAACTAGAAAAAAGTAGAATGTGGAAAGTTCCAGAAGAGAGGGAAAAATACTACTACTACTACTACTACTACTACTAATAATAATAATAATAATAATAATATAACAAGAACATGAACTACAAATATCAATGGAGTCCTTTTTGTGTATTCGGTACTCTATGTATTATCTCATAATGACTCAGTGTCTTATGTACTATTATTATTATTCTCTGAAGTCAGAAAAGCAAAGTAATACTATAGGTTAGAAAGTGAACAAGTCAAGAAGTCAGGATTTGAATCCAGGGTTGTCTGATTCCAAAGCACAAGGTTGACCAACTTAGAGGAAGGAGCTAACGAGATAAGCAATTGTGTTCTCCAATATTTCCTGAAAATAACAATGATCCTAAGTTTGGGAAACTCAATATGTATAGCTGCTGCTCATAGGAATAAAATATTTTATCTACTGCATGGGGGCCAGATTGATTTCAGGTATATATTCCAAAATTAAACAAGTATGGCATTGTAAAGATGAGTATTAATTTCTTTAAAAAATGATTACAAAACATTGCAAGGAAAACCGCCCACAAACTGTTATTTTTACTTCATGAAGCATGTTGCAATCTGTAATAACTGTGTCCTTTTTGTCCTTTCCTCATTTTTTTCTTTCCTCCCCCACTGTACTGTAGTCACCATAAGGGTAAAAACTAGGTCTTTCTTCCCCATGGTATCTCCAGAGCCTAACACAGTGCCTCAAACACAGTAGGGGCTCAATTACTATTTGTTGGATGAATGAATGAATGAAACTTCATTTCATTTCTTTGCAAGGCCTGCTTTTACTGCCATGTGGCACTCCAGATAGCATGCAGAGATGGCAGAGAGACTAATAAACACCTGAGGTATTTTGCGATTCATGGCTGACCAGTGCTGACCCTTTATTTAATTAAATCTTTCACTTGTGAGTGAATCATTTCTTCCATTAATTAAAATAGGATACACATGTGTCTCTGTAAAGTATGTGTCAAAAGAAAGCATTCCACCTAAAATATACAGGAGGCGCTGACCACCACGGCGAGTCATCCATCATAATCTGCTAAAAAGATGGGCTCTGGAATTAGAACTAACACAATCATCTTTTATGCCCTCAAAAATATTAGTTGCAGCTTCTCAACCAATCTATCAGCTCCTGCATTAATATAAGGAGGAATGCATAGGGTGAAGCCATAAGAGAACTGTTTAGTTTGGAGGGCAGAGCATGCCCCCCAGCACTCCAGGAATGCCATCATCTCTAATAACTGCTTGGAGCCCTCGCTCTCTGGAGACTAGCATCTTGACAATTAGAGCTGGAAGACAGCAGGGACTGCACTGTTGCAAGACAACACGTGCTTCTTCAAACCCTCTGGAAGTAAAAAAGATGCTAGCAAGAACGGATGGTGCTGTTGAAGCGGCAAAAGCAAGTTTATGTTCCATTCACCTTATGGTTGGTCTTCCCCTGCAAGAAACCAGATGCATACATCTATTTGCAATCTTTAATTCTAGGAAACAGCATGTGTATCCAGCCATCTTTCAGAATATTTTGTCTCAGAGCAAACTACTCACTGGCCAAACTCCAAAGGTCTCGATTAAGTACCTTAACATGTATAAAAATCACCACTGGGGATTCTCTACGTAAGATGAAATGGAAGGAGGAATAAGGCATTGAACAACTCCACCCACTTCAAAGTGCCTCAGGTTCTCTAAAAGCCATTTTAAACATCCTGCAAGATTTCAATGCAGGCATTTTTGAAAAAGTAAGAAATTATAAAGCTCATTCTCTCAGTGAAGTGTCAGGCTCCTTAGGCGCAGGAATGATAAACACTCCCCTTGCATATTTAGGAGGTTGTTTCAGAGGAGGCCAAGTGATTACTAAACCAGTCGTGGCAATTGAATGTGTTTTATTACTATACTTTATGTTGAGTACTAACCACTCTTTTTTCTCGAAATGAATCCTGTAAGGCAGGCACGAGAACATTGAAGGCATGATAAGGACCTTTGTGATCATCGATGCTATTTCCAATGGTGAAAGAGAGGCTCCTAAAAGTCAAGTGGATAGTCCCAGCCCGTGTGGCAGGCTAATGGCAGAGCCAGGGCTGCCAACCATGTCTCCTGTCTCAGAGTCCCGGGATCTTTCTCCTGGGAAGATGTACGATGTATTTCCCCAGCACAATGCTAGGTACACTGCCAGTGAGATTGATTAATACGTTGATTGTAGTAGAGTAAGAGAATCAAAATTACTTGATGAATCAGCACTCAGGAAAAAAATTATTAGCTTTTCTTAAACTGCAAGTCCAACTCATTTGGGTTACTACAGATGTTGGGCTCACTCACTGTTATTTTCATGTTTCTTGGTAATTTTCTCCTGCTTTCAACACGGGTCATACACATCTACCTTTTCATATATATAAGTGAAAAGAAGTGGTATGTATGTAGGCGATTCAACATATATTACAGGTGGATAATAACATTGGCAAATTAATCGTTCACGTGGTATAGAATAGTAATTAATCTTGAGTTGCTCTGGGTCCAAATGCCATCTTTGACACTTAGAAGATGTGTGATTTCACATCACTTATCTTGGGTTTTTTAAATCACTGAGCCTCAGTTTTCTTCTCTGTAAAATGGGAGTAACAGTACCTACTTTATAGGATTGTCATGAGGCTAAATTTTAAAATCTGAGATTACTCTTGGAACTCCCATTTATATGTGTAATTTAATTATGTATACACATATGCAAACATTAATATTAGAACATGAGCAATGAAAAAATTAGACTAATGAATTTTCTTTATATTGATCAAAGCTCTTATGATAGGTCATTTTCAAGAGCATCCTTGCGCTATGAGGTGGTGCTATTTCCTTCTCTCTATGCCCGCATCCCACGCCACCCCCATTTGGGCACTTACTGTCCCTTGTCTGCAGAAGCCTCCTTTCTGCCCCACCGCCCCCCACCGCCTGTTTCTCTTTTCTCTACTGCCAGTCTAGTTCTTCTTGAGTAACTTTTTTAAAGCACATATTTGGCTATACAGTCTCTTGATTAAAAGCCTTCAATGAGTCCTGTGGCTTATAGGATAAGGCAGTAGAATCTGGTCTCAATCTACTATGATACAGCCTCATTTCTACCAGCATCATCTCCACACCCTGTGTTCTCACCAAACAGGACTACTCACTGTTGTCTCCATACCCCACATGCTTACACACCTCCGTGCCTTTGCTCATGATGTATTCTTGGACTAGAATCTTCTTTCCCCACTTCACCACCTACTGGATTCTTAGTCATCCATCAAGGCCCAGCTACAATTTAGCCTCTTCAGTGAGGTCTTTCCTTACTCTATTTCCCTCGTGGCAAAATTAATTAACTCCTTTCTCTGCGCTTTGATGTGACTTTGTTCTTATCTCATGAATAGCATTTACCACATTAAATTATATTTTGTTTTATATGTGTCTGTCCCCAGCTAAACCTAGTTGAACGAACATTCAAAGCTATTCCTTCTTTCCACGTCTATGGCTCTTTTCCCCACTGGATTCAAATACTGCCTGGAATTATTTTTAACCAGTGCTCTGGGCAACCCTCTAAATCCATCAGAGTTGACACCAGAGTGAAACATATTTGCTGTTCTGTAGGTACACTGTGTATGCCATGAGTGCGCAGACCGTGTCTTATTTATCTCTCTACTTCCAGTACCTAACGCAATGCCTAGTGCTTAACAAATATTTGTTAAATACATGAATGGCAAAGCATGACAGCACTGAACTATCACATGTGAACTCTGAGGAACAATTTTTGGTGCTGAGAGTATGGAATCAGACCCAGGCTGTTAATACTTGACACCATACTTCATACTCCAGACTCTGGGATATGGGAATGTAAACTCTGGTGGTAAAAGTAGCTCAGATTTGGGAAACTGTGGCAAAGTACTTAGTCTTGCAATACCACACGGGGCAGCGTGCGTGGTTAGGATTTCAACCAGGATTTCATATGAATTTGGGAGAAATGTGACATTCACATCATAGCAGTACGTAAGCGTTTTACACACACACACATGCACATGTGAGCGCACACACACACACAGACTTCGTTGGTAGAAAATAAACTTCCCATGTACAAGTAACTTTTCATATTATATGGAATTTATTAGACCTGTGGTAGGATATTTATCTTCTTTGCCAAATATTTTTAAATAAGTTTTTATATTTAGGAATTTTTCCATTTTTTTTTAATTGTGGCAAGATACACAGATCATAAATTTACCATCTTAACCATTTTAAATTATACAGTTTAGTGGTATTAAACAGACCCATAACATTGTGCAACAGTCACCGCCATTCATCTCCATAACACTTTTACTTTTGTAAAACAGAAACTCTACACCCATTAAACAATAGCTCCCCAATTTCCCCCTCCCTCTCAGCTCCTGGCAATCACCATTCTACTTTATGTCTCCATGATTTTGACTGCTCTATGTACCTCATATAAAGGCAATATGTATTAGGTTAGTGCAAAAGTAATTGTGGTTTTTGTGATTACTTGTTTTTTTAAAAATAGCAAAAACCACAATTACTTTTGCACCAACGTATAGTATTTGTTTTTATGTGACTGGTTTATTTCACTTAGTATAACGTATTCAAGTTTCATCCATGTTGTAGCATATGTCAGAATTTGCTTCCTTTTCAAGGCTGAATAACATTCCATTGTATGTATATACTATATTTTGCGTATCCATTCATTCACTGATGGACATGGGTTGTTTCCATGTTTTAGCTATTGTGAATGATGAGAACATCGATGGGAAAATATCTCTTCTGGACCCTGATTTCAATTCTTTTAGTTACATACCCTGAAGTGGAATTGCTGTATCATATGGTAATTCTATTTTAATTTTTTGAGGAACTGCTACACTCTTTTCCTTAGTGGCTGATCCATTTTACATTTCCACCAACAGTGCACAAGGATTCCAATCTGGACATCCTCACCACATGTATTATTTCCTGTTTTTTTTTAATACTAAATATCTTAATTGGTGTGGGATGGTACCTCATTACAGTATTTGGATTTTCTATTTTTTCATAATTTAGTGCTGGTAGGTTTTGTGCTTCTAGAAATTTGTTCATTCATCTGGGTTATCCATTTTGTTGATGCACATAGTATTCTCTTACGATCTCTTTTATTTCTGTAGAATCAGTAGTAATGTCCCGCATTCATTTCTAATTTTGGTAATTTGAGTCTTCTCTTTTTTTCCAGCCCATCTACCTAAAAGTTTATCAATTTTGTTGATTTTTTAAAGAACCAACTTTTGTTTTCATTGATTTTCAAATATTGTTGTTCTACATTTTGTTTATCTCTGCTTTAATCTTTATTATTTCTTCTCTTCTGCTAGCTTTGGGTTTTGTTTATTTTTCTAGCTCCTTAAATTAGTTGTAAAGTTAGGTTGTTCATTGGAAATCTTTCTTGTTTATAAATATAAGCATTTAGACTTATAAATTTCCCCCTTAGTACTGCTTTCACAGGGTCCCATAAGTTTTGATATGTTGCGTTTTCATTTTCATTCATTTCTGAGTATTTTCTAATTTCCCTTGGGATTTCTTCTTTGACCCATTGGTTGTTTATGGATGTATTGTTTAATTTCCACAAATTTGTGAATTTTCATTTTCCTCTTTTTTGAATGATTTCTGACTTTATCTTGTGATTAGATTTATGATACCTGTCTTTTCAAATCTATTGAGATTTAATTTGCGACTTAGCATATTGTCTATACTGAAATGTTCTGCATATGTCTAGTAGACATGCAATTATGTAGTTTATTGTGTTAAGTTCCCTGTTTCCTTACTTTCCTCTGTTTGTTCTATTCATTATTCAGAGTGAAATACTGAAGTTTCCAATTAGTATTGTAGAACTGTCTGTTCTGTCTTCATTTCTGTCAGTTTTTTGCTTCATGTAATTTGATGGTGTGTCATTAGGTATATAAATATCTATAATTGTCATATATTCTTATTGTATTGAACTTTTAATTAACATGTAATGTCCTTCTTCGTTTCTTCTAAACTTTTTCAATTTAAAGTCTGTTTTGTGTGATATTGGTATAGCTACCCCTGCTCTTTTGGTTACTACTTGCATGGATTATATTTTTCCATCCTTTCACTTTCAATGTATTTGTGTCTTTGGATCCAATGTGAATCTCTTGTAGACAGGAGATGGATGGATAATAATTTTTATGCATTCTGTTGATTTCTATCTTTTGATTGGAGAGTTTAATTCTTTTATATTTAAAGTAATTACTCATAACGAGGAATTTGCTTCTGTTAGTCTGTGATTGGTTTTCTACGCCTTGTAGGTTTTTGTTCTTTTTTTTTTTTTTTTTTTTTTGAGACGGAGTCTTGCTCTGTCGCCCAGGCCGGACTGTGGACTGCAGTGGCGCAATCTCGGCTCACTGCAAGCTCCGCTTCCCGGGTTCACGCCATTCTCCTGCCTCAGCCTCCCGAGTAGCTGGGACTACAGGCGCCCGCCACCGCGCCCGGCTAATTTTTTGTATTTTTAGTAGAGACGGGGTTTCACCTTGTTAGCCAGGATGGTCTCGATATCCTGACCTCATGATCCACCCGCCTCAGCCTCCCAAAGTGCTGGGATTACAGGCGTGAGCCACCGCGCCCGGCCTTTTGTTCTTTATTTCCTGCATTACTGTCCAATTTTGTGTTTAGTTGATATCTTGTAGTGAAACATTTAAATTCCTTTCTCATTTCCTTTTGTTTATATTCTATTGCTATTTTCTCTGTGGTTACCATGGGGATTACGTTTAATATCCCACAGTTGTAACACTCTAATTTGAATTAATACGAGGGTAACATTGGTAACATACAGAAACTCTGCTCTTTCACAGCTCCATCCCCACCCCTTTCGGCTGTTAATGTCACAAAATTATATCTTTATACATTGTATTCCCCAAAACATAAACTAATGATTCTCTTAAATGCATTTGTTTCTCAAATTATGTAGAAAACAAAATGTGGAGTTACATTCCAAAGTTACAATAATACTAGCTTTTAGACGAATACTTTAAACATATGTTAGTGTCTTACATCATATAGAAAAAAAGGGAGATAAAAATGGATGTTATAGGCCGGGTGCAGTGGCTTATGTCTGTAATCCCAGCACTTTGGGAGGCCGAGGCAGGCAGATCACCTGAGGTCAGGAGTTCGAGACCAGCCTGACCAACATGGAAAAACCCCATCTCTACTAAAAATACAAAATTAGCCAGGCGTGGTGGCGCATGCCTGTAATCCCAGCTACTCGGGAGGCTGAGGAAGGAGAATCTCTTGAAGCCGGGAGGCGGAGCTTGAGGTGAGCAAAGATCGCACCATTGCACTCTAGCCTGGGCAATAAGAGCAAAACACTGTCTCAAAAAAAAAAGAAAAAGATTGTTATAATACTTCTAGCTTTTATAACTTTCCATTTATTTCCCATTATTGAGATCTTTATTTCTTCATATGGTTTCAGATTATTGTCCAGTGTCTTTTCATTTCACCCTTTAGTACCCTGTTGAGCATTTCTTGCAGGGCAGGTGTGATGGTAACAACCTCTCTTAGCATTTATTTATTTGGGAATGTTTAATTTCTCCCTCACTTTTGAAGGACAGTTTTGCTGGATATAGAGTTCTTAGCTGACAGATTTTTTTTTTCTTTTAGTACTTTGAATATATTAGCCCATAGCCGTCAGGCCCTTAAAGTTTTTGATAAGAAATCTGATGATAATATTATTGAATTTTTATGTACAATCATTTGTTGCTTAGTGGTAGGGATATATTCTGAGCACTGCATTGTCAGGCAATTTTGTCATTCTGTGAACGTCATAGAGTGTACTTACACAGATAGTATAGCCTGCTATACACCTAGGATATATGGTATAGCCTATTGCTCGTAGACTACAAACCTGTACAACATGTTACTATACTGAGTACTGTAGGCAAGTGCAACACAACGGTGATCTCAGCTCACTGCAACCTCCGCCTCGGGGGTTCAAGCTATTCTTCCGCTTCAGCCTCCTGAGTAGCTGGGACTACAGGCACTGACCAAAACGCCTGGCTAATTTGCAGTAATTTCCACTGTCCTATCTTCAAGTTTGCTGATTCTTTCTTTTGCCTGCTCAAATCTGCCTTTGAATACCTCTAGTACATTTTTTTTTGGTTCAGTTATTGCACTTTTTAGCTCCGGAATTTCATTTTGGCTTCTTTTGGGGTTTTCTATATCTTTATTGATATTTAAATTTTGTTCATACCTTGTTTTCCTGACTTTCTCCACATCTTTAGTTCTTTGAGCATCTCTACAACAGTCGTTTTAAAGTCTCTATCTAGTAGATAGACTATCAGGTATTTTTCAGAAACAGTTTGTATTGATTTTTTTTCTTTAAATGGGCCACACTTTTCAATTTCTTTGTGTGAGTTCTGACTTCTTTGTTAAAAACTGGACATTTGAATTTAATAATGTAACTCAGGAAATCATTTTATCTTTCTCCTCCAGAGCTTACCGATTTTTACAATTGTTTTTATTTATTGTTTTTGTTTTTGTCTGATATTGTAGGCTATCTCTGTGCCAAGGTTCAGTCTAAGGTATACATTTAAGTTCTTCTTAGGTCTTTTCTGAGCCTTGCCTTTCCCTGAGCATGCATAGTCAATTTCTAATTTTCCCCATATATGCAGTTGTTTTGAATGCCCTATTCTTTAATGTCTGGCTTCCAAAAAGGGTAAAAGAGAAAAATGAAAGGGGAGAGAGGGTGCTAGCCCCTTAAATCCTATAGAAGCCACCTCAGTTGGAGGACAAGGGGCTTGCAACAATGTGGGGAGGTGCAACAACAGTGACTTCCAGCCTCTTTGTAGCTCTGTGGTTGGAAGCAGCAACCAGTTATCAGATAACAGATTTATGATATTTGGAGGACAGGTGATTTTTCCCCACCACGGTTCCTGTAAGCTGTGTGTAAGGGAGGTGGAGGGTGATGAGTAGCTACTACTGTGATAAGAGTTGAAATTGATTGATATTAACTACAATTACCCTCCAAGCCTTCCTCTGAAAGTCACAAACCTTTAACAGATTCCAGTCAATAGATTCCAGAGTTCCAAAATAGTTGCATCAGACAGATTCTGCCAGTATAATTGTTGTCTAAGCAGAGAGACAGATTGTTGGTGCTCCCTACTCTGCCATCTTCCCAGAATTCTCCTATATCCAGTTTTACAAGAAAAAATACATACAGCTTTATATTGTAAGTTAACAGGAAAGTACAATTCCCTTTATAGAAAAGACAATTATTATTATTGTTATTAATACAAACATTGATTGGATCCTCGCTGTGTACCAAGAACTGTCTTAGCTCTATGATATGCATGGTCTCATTTGGTTCACACAACAGTGCTATGAGATTGGTACCGTAATAATCTCCATTGTAACAGAAGTGAGATTCAAAACAAGATATGGAGGAGCCTCTCTGAATCTATTCTGGTTCAGGGGCTGCCTGATTCAAAACAAAAAAATAAGAGATAGGCTACACTTTGAAAACCACACTCTTTTTCTTCTCTCTTTTTAAAATGTTTACCCTACTTTCAAGCTAACAAGTTGAAAAACCACACACTTGGTCAGGCGCAGTGGCTCACGCCTGTAATCCTAGCACTTTGGGAGGCTGAGGCGGGTGGATCACCTCAGGTCAGGAGTTCAAGACCAGCCTGGCCAACATGGCGAAACCCCGTCTCTACTAAAAATACAAAAAGCAGCTGGGCATGGCAGCAGGCATCTATAATTCCAGCAACTTGGGAGGCTGAGGCAGGAGAATTGCTTGAACCTGGTGGGTGGAGGTTGCAGTGAGCTGACATCTTGCCACTTCACTCCAGCCTGGGCAAAAGAGCGAAACTCCATCTCAAAAAAGAAAAAAAAAAAAAAACCAGCCACACTCTTAAACATGATGTTATAGTATCTCACAAGAATCCATATTGCATTCTGTATTAGTCAGCTTTTTCCACAATAATGCTACGTAATAACTACCTTAAAACTCAGTGGCTTAAAAACAACAAACATTTATTCTGTGTTCAAAGGTTTGCAGATCAACCAGGATTTGGCTGAGTTTGGCTGAGGTCATCTGGGAAGTTCTGTGCTTGTATTTGCTCCATATTTGCTTTTTTTGGTGTCTAGGCTAAAGAAACGGTAGCTACCCAGGGCATGTGCCTGTCAAGGCAGGCCACCAGTGCACAAGGTTGAAGCTAAGCCAAGCATGCACATTTAAGGCACACGTCATGTCCACGAACACTTTATCAGTCAAAGCAAATTGCATGGCTAAATTCAACATCAGTTGGGGGAGAGAGGTACCCATGGTGGCAAGAGGAGGGGAGTAGATATTTATTAAATAACAGTACAAAGTATTGTGCAGTCTTTTTATTTATTTGTTTTTCATAACGTTTGAGTCAACTTAATCCTTTTCATTTGGGCAGGTATTATTTCAGTTTTACTACTGTGCAAAGATGCAAAATTCCAAAGCTGCTACTGAAGATTTCAGCCCTTCTAGCCTTTAGGTGGTTCTATGCTGAGTCCTAAAATGCTGGCTATTGAACTCTTTAGAATGGTGCCATTGTTGGCAGATCTGAAATCCATACTATTCTTCACTTGATTCCCTGCCAAGTCCATAAAGGTGTTTATATTTTTTAAAAACCCCACAATAAAAATTTGATTCCCTCAAGAGCAATGTATTTTCGGAAACCCAGAAGCTTTTTGTGAATAGCTCTTATAAAGAATCAGAATAAGATCATCGTGTTTTAGAGCAGCCTTAAGAGGGCACTTAGTTCAACCTTCTCATTTTACAGATGAGGAAACAAATAGTTTCAGTTTCAAGCTTTCAATTGTCATATACAGTGGGATAAATTATTTTTCATGTAAATAAAGCAATGAGAAAAAAATGTGGGGTGATCTTTTCACGTCTTACTGCAACTATAATTCTGCAACAGAGATCTCTGTTCAGTTGATTTTATGAGAATCCTCATAAATCAGGCAACTTCCCTGATTGCCTATGAAAAACAAAAATTAAGTCTTTATAATCATGGGGATCCTCTGCTTTTAGAGCCAGCAGAATAAGCGTAGAGATATCTAGTCACCTCCTCCAGTGTCCTGAGGCCATCTAGGACTGTTTTCTCCTTGGAGAGGCACTAAGCCCCATTTTTCAGAAATAGAGTTACAAGCATCGTTTCAGGCCAGAAACTTCCACTATTGAGCTAATGTTTTCCCATATTATAACTGTAAAGTTAGAATGAAGTGTGTGCTGGGAGTGAGGCTAAGCGCAAAGATTAGAAAAACCTAAGGTAAAAAGTATAATTCATTAGATAAATATATTGAATACCTCCCATGTTGTCAGGTCTGGTGCTAAGGCACTAAGGTTATGCTGTGAACAAGACAGAAAAATCCACTGTGCTCACGATGCTTCCAGTCTAGCCTGGACATGTAACTAAAGTGTTATGGAAGCAAATGTACAGGGTGTTATGGCAGCGGGCAGTGTGGGGTTTAACCTGGTGTATGTGGGGGCCTGAGGGGAGAGAGCTTTCCAGGCAGAGAATAGAGCACATGCAAGGGCTTAACAGAACTGAGAAATGGCCAAGAAGACAAAGCTTAGCAAGGAAGGGGTGACTAATAAGAGGGTGGACAGGTCGTCAGGGCCCAGGCTGTGGGAGGGGACTTAGAGGACAAGGGTAGAGCTTTGGACTTTATTCTAAGGATGAAGAGGAGACATTCTCTGAAGGCTCTGAAGTAAGGGAAGGATATACAGTAATTGCATTTACTTTATAAAAGGAACATCCTGGCTGTAGTGTCAAGAATAAATTGGTGAGGGGGGAAAAGAGGGAACTGGGGGAATCTTAGAGAATTCCATCTAGAACAAAATAAGAATCTGGCTGGTGAATCCAAATATTCCACCCAGGTTGGCTGTAGATTTTGTAGAGAAAATAGGCAGCGTGAGTGTGTTTGTGTGTGCGAATGTGCATCCATATGTTCATATACTAAATAAAGCATATTGAAGGCCCTCTCTTACGGTGTATGTATATATATATATTTTTTTTTTTTTCTTTTTTTTTTTCAAGAGAGGGTCTCGCTCTATCACCCAGGCTGGAGTGAAGTGGTGCAATCTTGGCTCATTGCAACCTCCGTCTCCCAGGTTCAAGCGATTCTCGTGCCTCAGCCTCCCAAGTAGCTGGGATTACAGGCGCACACCACCACACCCAGCTAATTGTTGTATTTTTAGGAGAGTTGGGGTTTTGCCATGTTGGCCAGGCTGGTCTCGAACTCCTGACCTCAGGTGATCCACCTGCCTCGGCCTCTCAAAGTGCTGAAATTACAGGCGTGAGCCACCATTCCCAGCCTCTTATGGTATATATTTAAGGTGTAAAACATGATGTTTTGATATACATATACATAGTGAAATGATTGCTAGCAAATTAATATATCCATCTCCTCACAGTTACCTTTTTTGGGGGAATGGGGACGGTGAGAACATCTAAAATCTACTCTCTTAGCAAATTTCCAGTATGCAATACAGTATTGTTGTGATTAATTTTTTGAAACGGGGTCTCACTCTCATCCAGGCTGGAGCACAGTGGCACGATCATGGCTCACTGCAACCTTGACTTCAGCTCAAGCGATCCTCCCGCCTCAGCCTCCTGAGTAGCTGGGACTACAGGTGCGTGCCAACATGCCTGGCTAATTTTGTTTTTTGTTTTGTTTCGTTGGTAGAGGCGGAGTTTTGCCATGTTGGTCAGGCTGGTCTGGAACTCAAGCGATCCTTCCACATTGGCCACAATACAGTATTCTTAACTAAAGTTCTCATGCTGTGCATTAGCTCTCTAGACTAATCCTACATAGCTACAACTTTGTACCCTTTGACCTATGTCTCCCTATTTCCTCCTCCTCTCCACCCCAGTAACCACCATTCCATTCTCCGTTTCTATGTATTTGACATTTTTAGATTCCACATATAAGTAAGATCATGCCACAGTTTTCTTTCTGTGTCTGGCTTATTTCACTAATGTCCTTCAGGTTCAGTCATGTTGTTGCAAATGGCAGGGTCTTGGAAGGGACTCTCTTGTCCTAAACTTACCCAAAACTTCCAGATAACCCAGGGATAGGATGACTCCTTTTGGGTTTGAGAATGTCTCTGGAACATGCTGCTTAAAACACAAGAATGGCCTTAAAGGTAAAGCTGGAAAATTGGACACATGTATTTAGCTCTCTTTCTTCCTGAAACCCACTAACACAAAAACAAAGAAAGTGGAAACAAAGAAAGCAGCAAAATGTTGAAAGTTAAAATGCTGTGGAAGACTGGCGACCGGCCTGCCAGACCCCATCAAACTGCACACGGAGCCTGCAGTGGGAAACGCCAAAAGCAACTCGGTTCACATTCAGAGCAGTGAAACAGCGCAGGACTGGTGGCATCTGGTACCTCTGGAGGTGAGAGTGAAGATGGGGCTGAAAAAGGAGGGTGGGTGGAAAGGGTTTTAGAAGCAGTTAGATCTCTCCCCGTGCCCTATCCCCTCATGCCACGCAGTCACATGGCTCCTTCTCCACTGCCGTAAATGGTAGGAGAGATTTATTTTCTAGAGACAGTAACCAGGGGATTTCTGAACTAGAGAAGCCAGAGAGTGCGGAGGTCTGGGAGGATGCTGTACTGAAAACAGAGGGATTAAAGACTACAGAGGAGCAGACTGAATATTTGGGTTCCAGCCTTCTTCTCACACTTGGCTCCCGGAACACAGCAGCCAGGCACACACATTCTTCAAATAGGGGATTGAAGAGTCTTCTCTGGGCATCTGACCAACTCAAGAGGAGAAGCCTAAAGTGAGGGTTCCCTAGAAAACAGTCAAGTCATGTCACTCCCAGTGCCAGGAAGAAAGCTATGTGAAAACGAAGGCAGAGATCAGGGCGATGTGTCTACGAGTCAAGGAACAGCAAAGATTGCCAGCGAACCACAGGAGCAGGGAGAGGCGTGGAACAGAGCCTCCCTCACAGCCCGCAGAAGGAATCAACCCTGCCTCTGGAACTGTGAGACAACACATTGCTCTTGTCTAAGCCACCCAGTCTGTGGTACTTTCTTTTTTTCTTTTTTTTTTACTCGTCGTATTTTTATTTTTTTTAACTTTTATTTTGAGTTCGGGGATACACGTGCAGGTTTGTTACATAGGTAAACACCGGTAACAGGGGTTTGTTGTACATATTATTTTATCACCCAGGTATTAAGCCCGGTATCCAATAGTTATCCTTTCTGCTCCTCTCCCTTCTCTCACCCTCCCTGCTCAAGTAGACCCCAGCGTCTTTGTTTCCTTCTTTGTGTTTATAAATTCTTATCTTTCAGCCCCCACTTACAAGTAAGAGCATGTAGTATTTGGTTTTCTGTTCCTGCATTAGTTTTCTAAGGATAATAGCCTCTAGCTTCATCCATGTTCCTTCAAAAGACATGATCTTGTTCTTTTTTTATGGCTGTATAATATTCCATGGTGTATATGTACCATGTTTTCTTCATCCAGTCTCACTGATAGGCATTTAGATTGATTCTATGCCTTTACTATTGTGAATAGTGCTGCAATGAACATTCGTGTGCATGTGTTGTTATGGTAGAATGATTTACAGTCCTCTGGGTACCTACCCAGTAGTGGGATTGCTGAGTCAAATGGTAGTTCTGTTTTTAGCTCTTTGAGGAATTGCCACACTGTTTTCCACAATGGTTGAACTAATCTACACTCCCACAAATAGTGTATAAGCGTTCCCTTTTCTCCACAACCTTGCCAACACCTGTTATTTTTTGACTTTTTAATAGTAGCCATTCTGGCTGGTGTGAGATGGTATTTCATTATGGTTTTGACTTGCATTTCTCTAATGATCAGTGATATTGAGCTTTTTTTTCATATGCTTGTTGGCCACATGTATGTCTTGTTTTGAGAAGTATCTGTTCATGTCCTTTGCCCACTTTTTAATGGGGTTGTTTTCTTCTTGTAAATTTGTTTAAGTTCCTTATAGATGCTGGATATTAGACCTTTGTGTGGTATCTTCTTACAGCAGGCCTAGCAAACAAATACACATGGTATGTGGGAGCTCATTTCCACATGCTCCATGAAGGAAAGACCTGTGTCTCTGAATCTTCCTCTGAAGGAAGGAGGAAAGGAAAGCAGAAAAGAAAAAAGGGAGGGAAGGAAGAAAAAGGGTGGGTCACAATGCGCCTGCACCTGCCTTGACCCCAGCTGGAAAATCTGCCTGTGAGCAAGGGGGCTTATACTTCTGTATTTAATCCTTATATAACCAGAACATGTTTGTGTATAACATTGGTAGTTGAAAAATAAATACAAACATATATACATATCAAAGAAAAGCAGAAAAGAAAATTCTTCTTCTTTCTCCAAGTCTCCAAATGGGAGAGTAACTGCTTGGTAATGTTGAGGTTAATAAAAAGAATACTGAAGTCAATAAAGGATGAAAAATGTTTCATTTTAATTTGTTTACTCCAACTTTTTCCTCCTGACCAAATAAGATAACTGCTTTGGGGCGGGCCGGCTCTTGTCTTACTTCTTCCTAGGAATTCACAGAGCCAGAGAGACACTGATGGAGGATGTCCTTTCTGGATTTGCTTGAGAACATTTAGAAAAGTTTCCAATGATTGGCCCTAGATGGATGGCGGCAGTAAGGTAATAGCTACCATTTCCACTCAGTTGTCTGGGCTCCAGTACATGATACATAAACCACACGCAGCCTCACTGCGGTTCGGAGGTTAAAAGTTATTAACTGAAATCAATTGAAATAAAAAGAGCCACATCTGCCTTGGTACACAATTAACTTCTCCAGACGGCTTTGGCCTGCACTGCAGGGGACACACACACACACACACGCGCGCGCGCACACACACACACACACGCATGCACACATTCTCACTCAGTAACCCTGGGGGAGAGCAGAGGCAGCTGCGGGAGCCAAAAACCTCCCCAGTCCTAATTAAACCCTCAAAGTTTCCAGGCAACACAGCCAAGGAAAAAATCATTTCCAAGCCGAAGACCCCCAGCCCCCAGCCCCGGCAAAGGAAACGGGTCGTTTGGTTTAATCAGCCCATGTGCACATTCTCTCTCCCCAGGTTGCCAAGACGGGCCTGTACCTAGCAAAGGTATTTGTGTAATCAAAGCTTCTGGAACTTTCCCTGCCAAGGCTACCAATGTGAATAGGCTCCTGAGGTAAAAATGTTCTCCCCGCTGGGGACGGCGCCCTTGAAGTCTACATCAAAATCAAGCCAGGGTCACAGCTGTTGCGGCACCCCACAGTGGAAAACTTGCAAGAAATCCCAGCCTGAACTACTGCTTTGCCTCAGGTCTACAGGAAACAGGCCCCAGAGAAGGGGAGAGAGAGAGAGAAAGAGGAGAGAGGAGAGAGGAGAGAAGAGAGAGAGAGAGAGGGGGAGACAGAGAGAGAGAGGGAGAGAAAGAGAGAGAGAGAGAGAGAAAGAGAGAGATAAACTTTGGGGGTGGGAAGACAAAGCCACTTGAGAACCTTGTCCTCTTCATGGAGACAGTCCACACCCACCCCATTCACCCTCACCTTATGTGAGCTGGGGTTCCCGCAGGTTGGCCAAGAACCACTAGGTGGCAGCAGATTAACTCTTCAGCTGCCAGGATGAGCTGGGGGCAGTTAGGAGCTGAGTATGAAAACTTTGTATCTGTCACTTCCCTCAAAGGAAAGAAAAAAAAATGACTTTTTCTGTACCCCAAAGATCCTTGGCTTGCAGATTAGGTATTGGAGAAAAATCTTTGAGGGGTTGAGATTGCTTCTTGGGTCACCTGTTCTTAGGCTTGAATTAGAGTGAAATGCAATTGTATGTACTCCATGTTGTATAACTTGGATGACACTTGGTTCACACTTTGTTCAAGGGACTGAAAGATCCTTTAAGAAATTTATGCTCACATTCAAATTCCCTTCAACAAATGCTAAATATAAGAATTAATGAGTGTATTCCATTTTCCAGGGACAGTGCTAATGGTCACCTAGATGGCCAATACCCCTGCCCTCTGGGAGTTAATGGGGAAGACAGGCATTAAAAAAAAATAGCATTCTTGCACTTAACCACTTTGGATGAGTCAAGGAATCCAGACTTAAATCTGCTATGGATAAAGAAGAAAAAAATAAGTTAAAGGAATACAGGCTTATGAAAGTCATTTACATTAAGCTTCTGTTACATGGGAAGGTAACAGGTTTTTAGGGCTTAGGTTTTTAGGGTGGCCAGTAACCTAAAATATGGGAGCCACCAGAAAGAAACTTTACCAGCATGGTTTATATATGCTTGCTGTTCAAATGACAAAGAAAACAAATCTTTCTCTTGAGTGTTCTAGCCTCTGCAAAGCATCCCCTTGTTCTACCTATTAAACCTCTGCCACAAATATAAAAATAATGTGGTGTTGATTGGTGTAGGGGGGCAGAAATGTGAAATTGATTTACTTTAGAAAGGAGAGAGATCTACTAGCCACCAGAGGAATAAATCCAGAAAGCGGGGAATGGGGCTGGGGTGAAAAGACAAGTGTTCTTGTAGTTGAGCTTAAGAGAGTTTGGGAGGAATATGGAAAGAGGGAGGAAAAAAATTAGGAGGAGAGAGCCATAAACGTGTGATATATATGACTTGAGAGAGATAGGGAAAGGCAATTTTAAGATGTTTTGCTGTGCATTTGGGATTCCGTTTGATAGGCTTCAAGAGAGTTCAGTAAAGATTAAAATTGCCTTACAATTATTTGTATTTCTTCGACTGGAAAGCCGCCTAAGTCACAAGCACACACTGTTGGTGGAATCAACCCCCTTTCCTTTCCCGTTTGTCTAGGTGGTAAGGTAGGACTCAGATAATTTCTTTCAGGAAAAGCCATCCCAGTGTGTCCAGTAGGTTACACAAAACATAATTAGCATGCTAACCCTCATATGCAATTTCTCATTCCTAATGGGCAGCCTCAGACTTTTTGAATTTTTTTCTGTAAGTTCACCAAAAATTAAGCATCACAGTAAGACAGCTCTCTGATCCGCAGCAACTTGGGATGGTGATATCACACTGTTTTCTTGTATCATCCCCTGTGCTTATGCTGGGTGCATGACAGGGCTAGGAGGTGTTTGATGGAATTGGGGCTCCTAGTGGCCTACTCTCCTAGTGTCTTACTTGAGACAAGAACTGTTATGTCTTGGAGAAACTTATATGAGTTTGATCCTGGGGTCATGACGATCCCACAGGCCAGCCAGTTCATGCTTCCATGCTTGTATGCATACTTTTCCTTCTGCTGGACTCCCCTTACCCTGACCCATCTCTTTGCCAGCCAACCAGACTTCTGGTCTTCTTAGCAAATTCCTACTCTAAAGTGAAGACTGTTGACATGTCCTGGCCTCTGTGAAACCTGCTCTGGCCACTCACCCACACCCTCTTGTACATAACTCACCCCTAGTACAGCTATGTTGTGTTCCTATCTACCTTTCTTATTTTTTTCTTGTTTATTATTATTATTTTTGAGACTGAGTTTCGTTCTTGTCACGCAGACTGGAGTGCAATGGCATGATCTTGGCTCATTGCAACATCTGCCTCCCAGGTTCAAGTGATTCTCTCGCCTCAGCCTCCTGAGTAGCTGGGATTACAGGCACGCGCCACCATGCCTAGCTAATTTTTGTATTTTTAGTAGAGGCGGGGATTCATCACATTGGCCAGGCAGGTCTTGAACTCCTGACCTCAGGTGATCCGCCTGCCTCGGCCTCCCAAAGTGCCGGGATTACAGGTGTGAGCCACCATGCCTGGCCCCTATCTACCTTACTACAGTGAAGACACGAATTATCTTTCCATCTTTGGTGCCCAGCACAGTGCCTGATACGCAGGTGATGCTCAGTATATGACTGGACAAAGAGCTGTTATGTGACTTGTCATTCCATGCTAGGGAAGCCCAGCTCTCGAAAAGCCATCACTTTCCAAGAACTCTACCTAGAATTCAAACTAAAGGAAGTGCCAGGGAATTCAATCAATAACTCATGCTACTGGTTACAATATGTATGTCCCAGTCTTCAATTGCATTCTTGGAAGGAAGCTCACTCAAATTCACAGAAAATGGAGGAAAACATCCCAGTGAAATGACTTTCTGTTCATTAGAGCTGCAGGAATATGGTTCTCAAAGCCTCCGGTAATGGAAATTTCTGTCCCTATACTTCTGTTTCTGCCATGAATTATCCTTTGAATTAAAACATATATATATATATATAAACATATATATAAACATATATGTAAACATATATATATAAAATAGTACTCAATGCTCATTAAAGAAAATTCACAAAATAGAGAAAAGCAGAAAATAACAAAATAGTTTTCAATCAGTCTCACTATTTACATAGTGTAACATTTTAGAGTGTGAATTACTCTCTTACTTATGGAATTTAATAAAAACCAGATGACAGCTAGTGCTGTCTGCTAAAATCAGGGCCAGATTCACTAGAAAACACATAGGTGGATTTCATAGTTGGTTCCTGCAGCCACATGCAGGGAGTGCCTGTGGGCACACCCTGGCAAGCAATACTGGGCGGGGGAGCTGAGTTCCCGGAAAGGGTGAATTAGCACGGTTGGGTGCCTTTGCGTGATCCTTATGGGGCTTTGTACGGTGCCAACCCCTGAAGTCATGACAAGCCTCAGACCATAGTTCCTTCCAGATCCCATTCATACAATTACTAGTCAATCCTCCAGGCTTCAGTGATGGACACGAAGCCCTTCGTAAAAATCAGACCTCCCTAACAGCCTCGTGAGCTTTGTTACCTGTTTCCTAGACTGAACTTGCCTTGTGCTGCCACAATCCATGAACACTGGCATCCAGCACAACACTTTTCCTTCGGACCCTTAGTGGCAACTCAAGCACTATCACTTGTTAAGGTAATGGGACACACAGCGCACCAGAATGAAAAAGAAAACATGGCAGAAAGATGAAACCTTGTTGAAGTAAACAAATCAAGGCAGCTTTCAGACTGAGAGAGTGGCCCACCAGGATGCCTTGCCAGAGAGTTGGCGCTTCTTTATGTGCATGGGATGACCAGCCCTGAGAAAGCACACGCTGACTTGACACTACAATGGATTTATGCATGTGCATATATACTTGTTTTATTTAACCTAAGAAGTATTTCTGAGCCCAGAGTAATGAATCAGCACTGTATGTAGACAGAGTTTACCTGTCTCTTTCCCAGGTACTTTAGCACTCTTTGCCAGGTACTGTACTAGTAGCTGGGGACACAAAGATGCATATATGCATATGACAGTCCAGCGAGGGAGGCAACTGTGCAACTGTGTGGAGGGAAAGGGATCGCATATTTATCGAATGCTTACTCTGTGCCAGGCATTGTGCTAGGTGTTTTATAAAATTAGCACATTAAGTCTTCTCAACAAAATGTGAATCAGGCATATTTCTTTTTATTTACAAAAGAAGAAACTGATGCTCAAAGAGCTATTAACTTTCCCAACTCATACTGCTGGAATTTTTATTTTGTTTTGTTTTTTCAGACAGGGTCTCGCTATGTTGCCCAGGCTGATCTCAAACTCCTAGTCTCAAGCGATCCCCCTGCCTCAGCCTCCCAAGTAACTGAGATTACAGGAGCATGCCACTTCACCCATACTGAATTTTTAGCAAAATCTCAAAACCCACGACCAAGTCCATTTGATAGAGTGGCAGTGGGAGGTGTTTTAGTGCAGATGGGCAGGGTTTGAGGTATAGCCTCATTGCTGTCTTCTTTGCCTTGTTTTCTAAATCAGCTATGGCTCAGAAGCGACAGTGGCCTCAAAGAGCTGTTCAAGTCAACTGCAGCAGGCTGCCTCCCAGACAGATAGGACTATTTCTCTGCTTTGCAGGCTTCTTGTTTTGAAGGAAGCATTTAAATTCTATCTATCCTTCCAGCTAAGCTTCAGTCTTCACTTTCCTCCTTCCCTGACAATGCAAAGGAGTGAGTGGCGGGATGGATTTGATCTGCAGACTCCGATGGATTGTGCTATCAGTTGTGAGCTGCAGGTACATATTTTGATGTTTTTGAGTTCTGGTTCCTCATCCATACAATGGGCACAAAAGCTACCTCACAGGGTTATGATTATGTTTCTTGAGATGTAAAAAGTGGTGGCTCACCCAGCACATGAGCCTTTCAATGTTGATAAACATTAGCTCTTGTCCCTTCACTGCTTCCTGAGCTCCACTAGCACAGACCTTCATGTTCCGCCCATTCCATGTCTTAAAAACTCTGTTTTTCTCTGTGCATCTTAATCTTTAACCCTCCACTGCCACCACCACCACTGCTCCTCCCTGTTAGCCTTACATTCTTTGAGGAAGAAGACCATGTCACCTATGAGCACTTTTCAGAATGTGGGACCCATAGCAAACATAAAACAAGAACAAACAAACAAATTAAATATATGATGGACTGATCAATTTTGTCTTGACACTGTATGCTGACTGCCAAGTGACAAGCTGGAAGTGGTGTGCAGGAGTCACCTCATACTGGCTTGTGAGAGCTGTGTTACATTTTCAGGAACTAACTCACAGTTATTCAACCGTGGGTAGCTTAAAGTTTGCCATGGTAGGAGTAATTACACCACAGTAATTGGCAAACATTACAAATTGGAGCTTTGCTCCCTCGCCTCCCCACTCCCAAATACATGCACAGAGCCAGTTGTGTGCTACATTTCTTGATAGTCTAATTTCTGGTGCATCACAATTTGCTAGCAAGCTTCCAGATGATATTTAGCTTAATTGGACCAAAGTAGAAGCCTGCAGAGTTATCTTTAGTCTCCCAATACTGATAATAGGATTTCTAGCCTAAGAGTTGAAAATATAAAGATTTCACTTAATTAACCTTCCTGCCACAGGAGAAGTCTCTTCTATAAAGTTCCTGATGAATGCCCATCTGGTTTCTACAGAACACTCTTAAGGAAAGGGAGCTCACTTATTATCTTCCAAGGCATGCTTTCTCGTGGAGAGCTCCAAGATTATTCAACAAATTTTCATAATGATCTGTTCCTGCCTTCCCTGTAACTCCCCCCAGTTGTTCTTGGATCCACCAATTTTTTGCAGCAAAGCAGAACATGTGTACCCTCCAAGTGATGGCATTGAGCATAGCTGTCAGGTTGTTCCCAGAGCTCCTCTTTGTTGAGCTGCATGGCTTTCATTTTCTAATTGTTAACACCTCCTCACCATTGTGGTTATCCAAGAACTGAACAAAATATTCTGGATTTAGCCAGTTTAGTACAGTAAACTGAGACTACTGCTTCCCATACTTCTTCACAAGCATACTACACATTTAGTTTGTGTTGTACTTTAGAAAAAAAATAATTCTTTTTATGCACATTATTTTCAAAGTGGGCCAGCTTAGTGCTGTACCTACACAATTCATTTTAGGAACTCAACATTTTACTTTGATGGTGGTTATATGCCATATTCTTATTACTGATGCATTATTTTTTGAGTACCGATTTTGATATTGATCATATTTATTTAGCTAATTTTTAGTTTTGTGATCTCTCCCATAGACCATCCTATAAGTAGATTTTCAAGGTTATCTATAATATTTACAAATATTCAACCAGTTGGGTTTTGCCAGCTTACTATTACACAATACAAGTTTCTGAAATTTGGCCACAAACATACCATAAGAAGGTTTGTCCAATAGCTTGCTGAAATCAGGTATGTTTCTATAATTCCTTAGATGTGTCAGCCCAGTCACTTAATCAAAAACGGTAATGAATTTAATGTGGTATGCCTTGTTTTTAGGGAACTCAGCCAGTTTCTGGTAATCATCTTCTTATTTCCTAACTTGTTCATAGATGTATTTAGTAATCGATTCTAGAATTTTTCCCTGAAAAAAAACCTGACCAGTAATTTCTGATAGCTGTCTTTTCTTATTTGTTGAGATTCAGAATAACATTTTCTTTTCTTTTTATTTTTATATATGTTTTTAAATTTTGTGTGTTTTTTTCCCTGTGGTGTCAGGATGACATTTTCTTAGTAACCTTTTTGATATTTTTGCTGTTTACTTTAATGTCACATGGATTCCGAGTCACAGAATCTTGCATGTCCCAATCATATCTTGTGGAATAATTTTTCTTATCTTCTAGTATACCGCTGTCCAATGAAAACATGATGCAAACCACAAATGTGGGCCATGTATGTAATTTTACATTTTCTAACAGCCATGTTGAAAAGTAAAAAGAAATGGGTAAAATTAATCTTAACATATATCATTTAACCTACTATCTCCAAAGTATTATCAACATACAATCAATATAAAAGTCATTAATGAGATATTTTACATTTTTATGCTGTCTTTAAAACCTAGTGTATGTTTTATACTTATAGTAAATCTTAATATGAACTAGCCACATTTCCAATGCTCAAAAGCCACATGAGGTTAGTAGTTATTATATTGAATAGCATAGGTATAGACTTAGACTCATTTCAAGTGTCCAGACGTTTTATGATAATGATATTTTACTTTATCTTATACTTCAATCTCGTGTTCATGGTATTCATTATTCCCACTTCGGCATGAAGTTCTCACTCATAGTCAAGCCCTTGCTAAATACGAGTGGAGTGGCCTTGCTTTCTCTTTGTCTATTAATATTAACGAGGGTACCTTTTACAGTTAAACACCATAAAGAAAGCTCGTTAAGGGCAACAACATCCCCTAGCACACAAGTCTCCCTAGAACCACAAAATGGGTATGGTACAGAGGCCTGGGAGCTAATTCTCTCCAGATGTTTGCAAAGCGAGCAAGACCAAAAGGTGGAAACTGAAATTACTAAACACTTAATAAGGAGCTGATGGAACCAAGGCCCCAGGGTTGGCTCAGCAATAAGTGAAACAGAGACCCTGTTTGTTCAGAGGAACTTCAAAGTCCCCTATAAACTCCCAAGAAAGGTGAGAGGCAAAAGCACTACAGAGAATCCAGCATTCCTGCAAAGTCAACTTGAGATGCTTCCCTTGGTGCTTAAGAAGAAGACTTAGGGGCAGGTCTGGTGAGCAGATGTTTGACTTTTGTTTACGCCCATTATTACATACTGTAATGTGCATGTCAGCTATAGGCATTTCTCTAGCTAGGCCAAAGGGGACTAACTAATTAAACATTCGGTTGTGTTGTGTTTTGTTTTGTTTTTAAAGAAAGAAAAACTGCTTTTTCTGTACTAAGTATCACTCTATACCAAAACTATAAAATTGCTAATGAGACATAGCAGATCCAAATAAAATTGGTTATATTTATCTTCATTTCTTCTTCCTTCTTTCCCTCTAACAGTAGGATGAACAGCATGGAGTTTTGGCTAAAACCATAATTAAAAAGGAAGAAAGACCAATTAATTAAAGAGGGGAAAGACCAATTAATCAAATGTGGTAGCAGTTGAAAGTCTGACAAGCTATCTCTTTGGTCACTGTTATCTGGCAGGAGAAAGGCTTCCAGGATCCAACTCTATAGCTGGTGTTTTTTGTGGGGTTTTAAATTCTTTTTTTTTTTTTTTTCATTGCTAATAACTATGACCTGGCAGGTATATTCTGTTGGCCTCTTATATCTTTCTTTGGGATTCAGGGAAAGAATGAAACAATGGTGGCCAAAAAGGAAGACAAGAAATGTGATCAAAAGTGACCCATCTTCTAAGCAAAATAGCTGCCCTAGGTAAGAGTGGAGAAGGTGACTCTCATTCAATAGTTACCAACAGAGAAAAGGACAACCCTTGCCTTATTGGAAATGGAGGCAAAATCCCATCTCTTTGGACTTAGATATACCTAGGTTGGATTCCCAGTGCAGTCACTTACTGGGTGTGTAATTTTAGGTTGCTTAACCTTTCTTGGGTTTCAGTTTCGTCATCTCTAAACAGGGCATGAAAACAGTACCTCCTTCCTAGGATTGTTGCAAGGATTAAATAAGGCAATGTATGCAAAATGCCTAGCGCAAGGTAAGGGATAACTAAAGGTGATAGCCTATTTGTTACTCACCATTCCAAGTTTCTGTTAGCTCTCTTCCTGCAGGAAGATGCTCTTTTGGTATACATAGCTTTTGGTAGATTCCATGATTTGTGGATAGATCCGTTTCCTTCTTAACTGCCAAAGAGTGGATTCATCAAGGTTGCTCCTTGGGCTAATTCTCTTCATACAGAAAAGGGACAGTCTCACTGAGTCACACACTTGATGTTTTAACTCTGGGCACTTGCTGGAATCATGGCTCTCAGAAATGGTTTTCTGAGATGGATCATTGGCTATGCATTCATGTGTCACCCTGTACCCACACTTCCCTCAGTTCTCTTTCTTAGCACTGTTGTGCAAATGATCAATCACCATAATAAAGCATTTTACAAAGTCATGATTTGACAAGAAAAAGATAAATGTAAACACTATCCAGACAACACACTGTGAGGAGAAACATCTGGATGTCCACAGCTTGTTTCCTGTTGAGAGAGTTTGGGAACTTGGGGATTTTAACAGTTGGACCAGGGCTAATTTTGGAAAGTATTTCACATTTGTACAAAAATGCAAAGCTCACATTTATTACACTTCACTCATCAGATGAGACAGACTGGCGGTCAACTTCCCAGGCTTCTCTGAGAACAAAAGGGACTGAATTAGGAATGGAGTGGAGGGTTTTTCTTTTCTTCCCACTCACTCAGGTTTAGGGCACCCCTTCTTCTCCCTCATCATGACTTGGGTTTCCTTGATTTCCTTTCACTGATCTTCCTTTCCTTCTTACATTCAGTTCCCTTTTAGGTGCTAGAAATCTTGACTTGGAATTCTGACTTGGCCACCAACTGGATTGCTGCTCTTTGGTAAATCCTATAATCTCTCTAAGCCTCTGTTTCCTCCTTTGAAAGTAAAATCAATAATAATAATAAGTACTTGGCCTTGCATTTCATGCGATTGTATATATCAGGTCTCTGTGACACCCTCCCAAGTTCTTTGTGTATTTAGTGTTCTTTCTTGCCTATGTATATTTCAATATGAGGGCTTCCTTTTGCCTTCCCTGGAAAACTGTGACTCACCCTTTTAGACTCAGCTGAAATATTATCGATGCTGTGAGGACTTTAGGTCTGCCTCTCACCACTTTTAAAAATAATATTTCAAAGCCCAATTTGTAGCATGGGAAATATTATAACACATTCTTAAGTTTAAGAAGTGACTTATAAAATAATATGGTCAAAGATGGCTGAATAGGAACAGCTCCAGTCTGCAGCTCCCAGTGCGATTGATGCAGAAGACAGTGATTTCTGCATTTCCAACTGAGGTACCTGGTTCATCTCTTTGGGAATGGTTGGACAATGGGTGCAGCCCATGGAGGGTGAGCTGAAGCAGGGCAGGGCATCGACTCACCCGGGAAGTGCAAGGGGTCGGGGGATTTCCCTTTCTTAGCCACGGGAAGCTGTGACAGACAGTACCTGGAAAATCGGGACTCTCCCGCCCAAATACTGCGCTTTTCCAATGGTCTTAGCAAACGGCACACCAGGAGATTATATCCCACACATGGCTCAGTGGGTCCCATGCCCACGGAGGCTTGCTCACTGATAGCACAGCGGTCTGAGATCAACCTGCAAGGCAGCAGCCTGGCAGGGGGAGGGATGTCCGCCATTGCTGAGGCTTGAGTAGGTAAACAAAGTGGCCAGGGAAGCTCGAACTCCAAGTAGGGGTTGACTGACACCTCATACAGGTGGGTGCCCCTCAGGGACAGAGTTTCCAGAGGAAGGATCAGGCAGCAATATTTGCTGTTCTGCAGCCTCCGCTGGTGATACCCAGGCAAACAGGGTCTGGAATGGTCCTCCAGCAAATTCCAACAGACCTGCAGCTGAGGGACTTGACTCTTCGAAGGAAAACTAACAAACAGAAAGGACTAGCATCAACATCAACAAAAAGTACATCCACACCAAAACCCCATCTGTAGGTCACCAACATCAAAGGCCAAAGGTAGATAAAACCACAAAGATGTGGAGAAACCAGAGCAGAAAAACTGAAAATTCTAAAACACAGAGCACCTCTTCTCCTCCAAAGGAATGCAGCTCCTCACCAGCAATGGAACAAAGCTGGATGGAAAATGACTTTGATGAGCTGACAGAAGTAGGCTTTGGAAGGGCGGTAATAATAAACTTTTCTGAGCTAAAGGAGGATGTTCGAACCCATCGCAAGGAAGCTAAAAACCTTGAAAAAAGATTAGACGACTGGCTAGCTAGAATAAACAGTGTAGAGAAGACCGTAAATGGCCTGATGGAGTTGAAAACCATGGCACAAGAACTACGTGACACATGCACAAGCTTCACAGCCAATGTGATCAAGCAGAAGAAAGAGTATCAGTGATTGAAGATCAAATTAATGAAATCAAGTGAGAGGAGAAGGTTAGAGAAAAAAGAGTAAAAAGAAGCAAACAAAGCCTCCAAGAAATATGGTACTAAGTGAAAAGACCAAATCTATGTTTGATTGGTGTACCTGAAAGTGACGGGGAGAATGGAACCAAGTTGGAAAACACTCTGCAGGATATTATCCAGGAGAATTTCCCCAACCTAGCAAGGCAGGACAACATTCAAATTCAGGAAATACAGAGTATGCCACAAAGATACTCCTCGAGAAGAGCAACCCCAAGACACATAATTGTCAGATTCACCAAAGTTGAAATGAAGGAAAAAATGTTAAGGGCAGCCAGAGAGAAAGGTCGGGTTACCCACAAAGGGAAGCCCATCAGACTAACAGCAGATCTCTTGGCAGAAACTCTGCAAGCCAGAAGAGAGTGGGGGCCAATATTCAATATTCTTAAAGAAAAGAATTTTCAACCCAGAATTTCGTATCCAGCCAAACTAAGCTTCATAAGTGAAGGAGAAATAAAATCCTTTACAGACAAGCAAATGCTGAGAGATTTTGTCACCACCAGGCCTGCCTTACAAGAGCTCCTGAAGGAAGCACTAAACATGGAAAGGAACAACTGGTACCAACCACTGCAAAAATATGCCAAATTGTAAAGACCATTGATGCTAGGAAGAAACTGCATCAACTAACGAGCAAAATAACCAGCTAACATCATAATGACAGGATCAAATTAACACATAATAATATTAACCTTAAATGCAAATGGGCTAAATGCTCCAATTAAAAGACACAGACTGGCAAATTGGATAAAGAGTCAAGACCCATCAGTGTGCTCTATTCAGGAGACTCATCTCACGTGCAGACACACATTGGTTCAAAATAAAGGGATGGAGGAAGATCTACCAAGCAAATGGAAAGCAAAAAAAAGCAAGGGTTGCAAATCCTAGTCTCTGATAAAACAGACTTTAAACCAACAAAGATCAAAAGAGATAAAGAAGACCATTACATAATGGTAAAAGGATCAATTCATCAAGAAGAGCTAACTATCCTAAATATATATGCACCCAATATGGGAGCACCCAGATTCATAAAGCAAGTCCTCAGAGACCTACAAAGAGTCTTAGACTCCCACACAATAATAATGGGAGACTTTAACACCCCACTGTCAATATTAGACAGATCAACGAGACAGAAGGTTAACAAGGATATCCAGGACTTGAACTCATCTCTACACGAAGCAGACCTAATAGACATCTACAGAACTCTCCACCCCAAATCAACAGAATATACATTCTTCTCAGCACCACATTGCACTTATTCCAAAATTGACCACATAGCTGGAAGTAAAGCACTCCTCAGCAAACGTAAGAGAACAGAAATCACAACAAACTGTCTCTCAGACCACAGTGCAATCAAATTAGAACTCAGAATTAAGATACTCACTCAAAACCACACAACTACATGGAAACTGAACAACCTGCTCCTGAATGACTATGGGGTAAATAGTGAAATGAAGGCAGAAATAAATATGTTCTTTGAAACCAATGAGAACAAAGACACAGTGTACCAAAATCTCTGGGACACATTTAAAGCAGTGTGTAGAGGGAAATTTAGGCACTAAATGCTCACAAGAGAAAGCAGGAAAGATCTAAAATCAACACCCTAACATCACAATTAAAAGAACTAGAGAAGCAAGAGCAAACACATTCAAAAGCTAGCAGAAGGCAAGAAATAACTAAGATTAGAGCAGAACTGAAGGAGATAGAGACACAAAAACCCTTCAAAAAATCAGTGAATCCAGGAGCTGGTTTTTTGAAAAGATCAACAAAATTGACAGACTGCTAGCAAGACTAATAAAGAAGAAAAGAGAGAATAATCAAATAGATGCAATAAAAAATGATAAAGGGGATATCACCACTGATCCCACAGAAATAGAAACTACCATTAGAGAATACTATAAACACCTCTATGCAAATAAACTAGAAAATCTAGAGGAAATGAATAAATTTCTGGACACATACACCCTCCCAAGACTAAACCAGGAAGAAGTTGAATCTCTGAATAGACCAGTAACAGGCTCTGAAATTGAGGCAATAATTAATAGCCTACCAATTAAAAAAAGTCCAGAACCAGAAAGATTCACAGCCAAATTCTACCAGAGGTACAAAGAGGAGCTAGTGCTATTCCTTCGGAAACTATTCCAATCAATAGAAAAAGAGGGAATCCTCCCTAACTCATTCTATGAGGCAAGCATCATCCTGATACCAAAGCCTGGCAGAGACACAACAAAAAAAGAGAATCTTAGACCAATATCCCTGATGAACATCAATGCGAAAATCCTCAGTAAAATACTGACAAACTGAATACAGCAGCACATCAAAAAGCTTATCCACCACGATCAAGTTGGCATCATCCCTGGGATGCAAGGCTGGTTCAACATATACAAATCAATAAATGTAATCCATCACATAAACAGAACCAATGACAAAAACCACATGATTATCTCAATAGATGCAGAAAAGGCCTTCAACAAAATTCACAGCCCTTCATGCTGAAAACTCTCAATAAACTAGGTATTGATGGAACATATCTCAAAATAATAAGAGCTCTTTATGACAAACCCACAGCCAATATGAATGGGCAAAAACTGGAAGCATTCCCTTTGAAAACCGGCACAAGACAGGGATGCCCTCTCTCACCACTCCTATTCAACATAGTGTTGGAAGTTCTTGCCAGGGCAATGAGGCAAGAGAAAGAAATAAAGGGTATTCAATTAGGAAAAGAGGAAATCAAATTGTCCCTGTTTGCAGATGACATGATTGTATATTTAGAAAACCCCATTGTCTCAGCCCAAAATCTCCTTAAGCTGATAAGCAACTTCATCAAAGTCTCAGGATACAAAATCAATGTGCAAAAATCACAAGTATTCCTATACACCAATAACAGACAAACAGAGAGCCAAATCATGAGTGAACTACCATTCACAATTGCTACAAAGAGAATAAAATACCTAGGAATCCAACTTACAAGGGATGTGAAGGACCTCTTCAAGGAGAACTACAACCACTGCTCAAGGAAATAAAAGAAAACACAAGCAAATGGAAGAATATTCTGTGCTCATGGATAGGAAGAATCAATATCGTGAAAATGGCCATACTGCCCAAGGTAATTTATAGATTCAATGCCATCACCATCAAGCTACCAGTGACTTTCTTCACAGAATTGGAAAAAACTACTTTAAAGTTCATATGGAACCAAAAAACAGCCTGCATTGGCAAGACAATCCTAAGCAAAAAGAGCAAAGCTGGAGGTATCACGCTACCTGACTTCAAACTATACTACAAGTCTACAGTAACCAAAACAGCATGGTACTGGTACCAAAACAGAGATATAGACCAATGGAAAGGGACAGAGGCCTCAGAAATAACGCCACACATCTACAACCATCTGATCTTTGACAAACCTGACAAAAACAAGAAATGGGGAAAGGATTCCCTATTTAATAAATGGTGCTGGGAAAACTGGCTAGCCATATGTAGAAAGCTGAAACTGGATCCCTTCCTTACACCTTATACAAAAATTAATTCCAGATGGATTAAAGACTTAAATGTTAGACCTACAACCATAAAAACCCTAGCAGAAAACCTAGGCAATACCATTCAGGACATAGGCATGGGCAAGGACTTTGTGACTAAAAACACCAAAAGCAATTACAACGAGAGCCAAAATTGACAAATGGGATCTAATTAAACTAAGAAGCTTCTGCACAGCAAAAGAAAGTACCATCAGAGTGAACAGGCAACCTACAGAATGGGAGAAAAGTTTTGCAATCTACCCATCTGACAAAGGGCTAATATCCAGAATCTACAAAGAACTTAAACAAATTTACAAGAAAAAAACAAACAACCCCATCAAAAAGTGGGCAAAGGATATGAACAGACACTACTCAAAAGAAGACATTTATGCAACCAACAAACACACGAAAAAATGCTCATTATCACTGGTCATGAAAGAAATGCAAATCAAAACCACAATGAGATACCATCTCACACCAGTTAGAATGGTGATCATTAAAAAGTCAGGAAACAACAGATGCTGGAGAGGATGTGGAGAAATAGAAACACTTTTACACTGTTGGTGGGACTGTAAACTAGTTCAACCATTGTGGAAGACAGTGTGGCGATTCCTCAGGGATCTAGAACTAGAAAAACCATTTGACCCAGTGATCCCATTACTGGGTATATACCCAAAGGATTATAAATCATGCTGCTATAAAGACACATGCACACGTATGCTTATTGCAGCACTATTCACAATAGCAAAGACTTGGAACCAACCCAAATGTCCACCAATGATAGACTGGATTAAGAAAATGTGGCACATATACACCATGGAATACTATGCAGCCATAAAAAAGGATGAGTTCATGTCCTTTGCAGGGACATGGATGAACCTGGAAACCATCATTCTCAGCAAACTATGACAAGGACAGAAACCCAAACACCGCATATTCTCACTCATAGGTGAGAATTGAACAATGAGAACACTTGAACACAGGGTAGGGAACATCACACATGGGGGCTTATGGTGGGTTGGGGGGCAGGGGGAGGGATAGCATTAGGAGAAATACCTAATGTAAATGATGAGTTAATGGGTGCAGCAAACCAACATGGCACATGTATACCTATGTAATAAACCTGCATGTTGTGCACATGTACCCTAGAACTTAAAGTATAATAATAATAAAAAAATAACAATATGGTCAAAGTTTGGTAAAATAGATCTGTGTGTGTGTGTATATATATATATATATATGCATATACTTTTTTTGAATAAATTTACCTCTTCTTGTCTTGGACTCTAGGTTACAGGTGTAAAGTTAAAAGCAATTGCTGCAAGGGTAATCACATTATGAAGAGGAGATGCTAGGCATATACCTGCAGAGACTATTAAAAGGTGGACCAGATAGTCTTATGATGCCCCATCAGCCCATCGGCCTATGTGAAAAAAGACAAAAAACTCAAACTCAGTTTGCTAAAGTAGGAACTTCATAGAAATGAGTTGTTGATTAAATGGGGACTGTTGTGTCATCGCTCCTGCCTTTTCCTATATTTCCTCACCTCACAGCCTAATGAGAGTAGCTCTAAGAGAACCATTCCAAGAAGCTGGTGCTGCCTACAAGAAAGAGAGTCTGGCCTCTCACTCTTGGCCAGACGCTGGCTGAGTTATAGACACTCCCAGGCCCATGCAGGTGCTGCTTCTCAGGCAGAAGAGAGCAAGAAGGTTCTTGGGGGCTTGAAACGTGGTCCTTTCCCTGGAGGTGGGGCACATGAGAACACAGAATTGTGCCTACTTCTTGTCTTAAGCAGCGTGAAGGTGGGAGGCTGGATGAGCAGCTTGCAGCAGCAGGGCAAAGAGAAAGAGCAACAGAGGAACAATCTGGCTCTACCATTCAGCATGGAAGGGATGCATGAGTTTTCCAAGTGCCAAGAGGATATTTCAGAAAGTCACTGGGTTTAAAGCTCCTTGAAGGTCACTCCAGCAGAAAATGGCAATAGGGAACCTGCAAAAGCTGGAGTTGGAGGACTGGAAGCTATGAGCTGGAGTGTGTGTTGCTAAAGCCAATGTCAGGGAGCTGCTCAGTGTGTAGGTTCTCAGGGTGCCTCAGTGTAATCCACACATCCAAACATCCTGAAGACCCAGGGTATAGAAAACTCCAATGGGAAACAGGCAGTGTTAGCCAAAGGAGACTTAAAACAGCAGCCATAGCTTAAAAGCAATGTTTCCTCTCTTCCTCTTTCTCTCCCTTCCACTTCAAATTTGGAGAGCCAGTAGAGGGAGGAGAACAAACCCAGCAACACACGCCCCACTCCCCACCGAAAATTCCTGACCATGACTCAGGCCTATGTTGAGGGTTGCATACTGGGGGATAATGGGCAGAGTAGAAGTTTTAAACTGGAAGTGAGATTGAAACTTTGATTTAAACTCAGTGGAACTCGTCATTATAACTGAAAGTGACATTATCCTCAGATCCATTTTAATCTCAAGATCCCATTCCTTATGATGGAGGGGAAAACTTCAGACTTGCCAGTGAAAGGTAGTGCAGTCTCTTTAAGTTTAAAATGGTTTCAGGTAATATTAGCGGATTCCATGAATAGGGCTATCAGGACGGCCTCTTCTATCTGAAGGTGGTTTCCCCTCTTCCTTCTTATTTCAGATATGATGTCTGAGTTTAGGCAGAAGCTTATATATCCTCTTCACAGTGGGAGAAGTCTCTAATCTACACACCATTGCCTTCCTTTTACAGATGAGAAAACAGAGGTTAAGTAGCCTGCAAGGGCTCCGAGCTAGTGAGTGGCAACTCTACCTTTCTGTGGGTGAGCAAGTGTTGGTATACATGAATGAAAGATCAGCAGGTGAATGGAGAAGGCAATTGAAATATTATATTAGAAAAATGAGGAGCACGCTGGCTCCTCATTGTTGGGTGATTGAGGTGCCAGATCTTGACACACTTATCAGGACACTCCTAGACTCACATAAAACATACCAGTCTAACACAACTGAATCTCATTTATATTTCTGGATGATGGACATGCTAAAGGACCTAGGACTTCACACGGTTCAAAGTAAGATTGATAGTGTTTGTTCCATTCACTTATTCATTAATCACTTATTATATATCTTAATTTTCTAGGCACTAGGGATAAAGAACATAGACAATACACACAGTCCCTACACTTATGGAGCTTTCATTCTACAAAGAAAGCTGATGATATTAAAAACTAATTACACAATTCATGCCTTAGCTACAATTTTTGACACATGCTATGATGGAAAAGGTTAGGGTCCCATGAAACTATAAAACAAGAACATGACCTATTTTGGTGGGTCAGAGAAGCTTTCCTTAGAAAATGGCATTTGGGGATGGGCGCGGTGGCTAACGCCTGTAATCCCAGCACTTTGGGAGGCTGGGGCGGGCAGATCATGAGGTCAGAAGTTCAAGGCCAGCCTGGCCAACATAGTGAAACCCTGTCTCTACTAAAAATACAAAAATTATCTGGGCATGGTGGCACGTGCCTGTAGTCCCAGCTACTCTGGGGGCTGAGGTAGGAGATTCACTTGAACCAGGAGGCAGAGGTTGCCATGAGCCGAGATCTCGCCACTGCACTCCAGTTTGGGCAAGAGAGTGAGACTTCATCTCAAAAAAAAAAAAAAAAAAGAAAGAAAATGGCATTTGAGCTAAGTTGTAAAGAATAAAAAAAAGAATAGAAGTTATCCAAGGGTAAGGGAAAAGTTATATGATTGTTCCAGACTACATGTGTGATATTCCTGTTGAGACAGATCATGGCTTGGTCACAGATCTGAGAAAGAGCTGCATGTCTGGATAGCAGAGACTTCGGTTGTACAAGAGTTTTAGATTAAGTAGGTATTAGATTCAGTCCTTGATCCACTATGGATCAATCAGTGTGTGGGGAATAACTTACAATCTTACTGGGAGCTTACTGGGAAAATCCAGAAATTAGAGGAAGTAGCCAAAATGTAGCTGTATCATAATGTAGCATAATGTTAGCAACATCATGGATCAGAAAACCCAACTAACACCACTGAAAACTCAGATTAGCAGTCTTTCTTTAAAGGGCCAGATAGTAAATGTTTTAGATTTTGTAGGCTGTATTGTCCCTACTGCCACCATTCAACTCTGCCAGTGTAGTGTGAAAGGAGCCATAGACATCTGTAAACAATGGGCATGACTGTGCTCCATATAACTTTTTGATTGGCCCGTGGGCTGTAGTTGGTCAATCCCTGGCATGAAATGTAAAGATATTTGAGGTTTTCTTAGCATGAAGCCTAGTAGTGGATAGTTTTGAGGTTGGTTCAGCAACATCATGAAGTTAGGGAGCTGGAAAATTACCTCTGTGGTTCTCTTATAGTCATGTGAGCAAATAAAACAGACACCAGGGTTTTTTTGTTTTTGTGTTTAGAAAAAATGTGAATCTCTTAAATTAATAGTCAAAGGAACACAGTATTTGTGAAAAAATTCACTGAGAAGTTTCTTAAGGGGGAAGAGACAGGGGTTGTTAAGTGCTGAGTAAGAAGGGAGTGGTTCATGGTGGTTAGGTTAACTAAGGCTTAACAACTAGTACTCTGGAGCTGGGCGCAGGGGCTCACACCTGTAATCCCAGATTTTGGGAGGCCAAGGCAGGATGATTTTTTGAGCCTAGGAGTTTGAGGCTACAGTGAGCTATGATTGCGCCACTGTACTTTTGCTAGGAAATTTAAACAACAAACCAAACTCATACTGGATAAAGCAGAACAAGTCTATAAGCCTGCCTGCAATTTGTTAAAACCAGTCTTACTGCCTATCAATCATCACAGAGTCTTCAGTTAGGTCCAGTAAGGGTCTGGTTCCTGGAGTCCCTCAAAACTCAAGGTCCTTCATCAGGTACTGCTGCTTAGAAACAGTTGAATAAAATACAACAGTAAGGTTTGGTATCAACAAGGCAAGTGCTGATGTAAGTGAAAATTCTACCTTTTACAGTACCAAGGTGGCTACTGAACTCCAAGCATGCCTTGTTCAAAGGACAGCATCCCCGCAGGATGGAGGGCATGACCAGAGGGACTTCTCAAAACATCCCTCTTATATCTGGGAGGAAATGTTTTCCAGAGGCCTCTTATCCAAGCCTGCAGTCTTATCCTTATGTTTTATTGGCTCAAACTAGGTCACATGTCCACCTCCACACATCACTGGCAAAGAAGAATGGGATAATCACAGCTCTTCCGTGGGCTGCCTGTCTCAACAAAACTGGGAATCTGTTAGCAAAGAGGAAGGGCTTTAAGGGCAACTGAGAAGACCACCAACTGTGTCCCCCACAGCCATTACCGACTTTCCTCCTTGTTAACAGAAAATGCAAAAACAATGAGAGACAGACACCACCGAACAAGCTGTAGATGGAGAAGCTCAAACAGCTCTGCAAGCATTAGGTGGATCTTTAGAGGGCAGCTGCTTAGCGGGCTGGGTGCCCTGATTGGAGCTTCAGTAGTGCTGGCTGCTAATGAGAATAATCAGATCTTATCTGTTTGGGGATTTGGATTTTGGTTTTCATTAGAATGCATAAAGAGGAACACCTCTCCATGCAATCTGTCTTCCCTAGGGACACACAGAACCAATCTAAGGAAAAAGCTTGAGGACAGCAATCTCCAGTTTATCTATAAAACAAACATAGTTTAAATAATCAGCCACAGGTTATTGGATTTCTTCTATTTATACTCTACTTTTATGAGAAACTGGAAAAGTATATACACACATGCCAACGTTAGGGATTTAGTAGGAAAAGCTATTTCCAGGGTATGTAATAATTAAAGTGATACTAATTCGGCCCAATCCTTAAAACACCTTCTCCAGCACAGTCTGTACTGTAGGGTAATAATATAATTATAACCCTAAGGCATTGCAGGACACAGGAGAGAGAACAAACTCTTCTTTTCAAGTTTTATGCTAATTGTATGTTACTGTTGTTTAATTATTTGTCAGGGGAAGGCAATGAAGAATGATGAGAAAAGCATGGGTTTTCATAGTTGGCAAACTTGGAATCAAATTCCAGCTCTGCCACTTAGTAACTGTCTGTCTCAGTTTCTTCATATATGTTGAGAGTTTTTTTTGGTATTCTCAAAGCAGTTTTAGTACACAGAAAGATTAATCCGTGGCTTACTTTGCTTTTTAAAATGAATTTCCATTCTTTAAAGTAACAAATTTAAAACCTGGGTTTGTCCTTAAGCTTTGTTCTTTTCTGTGTTTTGTTTTGTTTTGTTTTTTTGAGACAGGGTCTCTCTCTGTTGCCCAGGCTAAAGTGCAGTGGCGTAAACACAGCTCACTGCAGCCTTAACTTCCTGGTCTCAAGTGATATCCTGCCTCAGGTTCCTAAGTAACTGGGACCACAGGCATGTGCCACCATGCCTGGCTAATTTTTTTAAAAAAAATTATCTATAGAGATGGGGTCTCACTTTATTACCCAGGCTGGTCTCAAACTCTTGGGCTCAAGCAATCCTCCTGCCTTGGCCTCCCAAAGTGCTAGGATTACAAGTGTGAGGCACCATGCCTGGCTGTGTGTCCTTAAGCTTTTAAATGTAGCTTAAATCTTATTGATCCATTTATAAGTCTAGCAAATTTTAGCAATCTTTTTTTTTTTTTTTTTTTTTTTGAGACGGAGTCTCGCTCTGTCGCCCAGGCTGGAGTGCAGTGGCGGGATCTCGGCTCACTGCAAGCTCCGCCTCCCGGGTTCACGCCATTCTCCTGCCTCAGCCTCCCAAGTAGCTGGGACTACAGGCGCCCGCCACTACGCCCGGCTAATTTTTTGTATTTTTAGTAGAGACGGGGTTTCACCGTTTTAGCCGGGATGGTCTCGATCTCCTGACCTCGTGATCCGCCCGCCTCGGCCTCCCAAAGTGCTGGGATTACAGGCGTGAGCCACCGCGCCCGGCCTAGCAATCATTTTTAAGGGAGCCTATGAGTAAGGTTTGGTCTCATTTACAAGTTTGGTTAATTAAACATCTTCAAATATTTTAAAGTGCATTTATACATTTAATATATTTGATTTCTTAAGAGTTTCAGTTGTCTAACTTAAAACTTATCTTAGTATTAAAATATTGTGTCTAATAAATTAAATTTGTAAATATAGAAAACTGTAGTTCTCTTAAATGTTCTAATATAGTATGTAAATTTAGTAAAACTTCAAATTAAAACCACAAATCTAATAAGGGTTTTGAGTACATAATTTAAGTTGGAGTTATAAGACCGTCACCCTATAGGCCAAATTCATGCCAATGTTAGAAATATATAAAACTTGCATAGATTCCTTAGTGTGAAATATTAATATTAAACAATTCATCTATACAAATAATCATTGAAAGTCACTGAAGTTCCTTTCAACTAAGAGACCTGGAGCTACAGATACCTGGTGTAACACTCCTCTTGTGCCTCAGCTTAGACTCCTGTTGCATCTTCCCATGTAATACATGGGTTTGCTTTTTGAGTTTGCTTGTATGTTTCAGCCAGGATGTTGGCTGGATTCTTGTTTTTCACTCCGATTAGTTGGATGTGGTAAGCTTTATTTATAGCTGCAAATCAATTTCAAGAGAGGGCTGTTTGGGTAGCCCTTGTCCCTAGAGTCAATTTATATTAATTTCAATGTATATATTCTAAGAAGCCTGTAACTCCTGTCCTGGTTTGTATGGATTGGACTTTGCATTTCCTTGGTGCTTAAGATCTGTAAGTGTACCTCCAGCTTCTTCTGATTTTCTAGAGCCACATGACACTTGTTATTTATATTGAATATTGATATAGTTTGGATACTTGTTCCCTCCAAATCTTATATTAAAATGTGATCCACAGTGTTGAAGGTGGGGCAGGTGGGAGGTATTTGGGTTATAGGGGCATATCCCTCATGAATGGCTTGGTGCCCTTTACCTAGTTATGAGTTCTGGTTGTTAAAAAGAGTCTGGGACCTCCCTCCCCTCTCTCTTGCTCCCTCTCTTTTCATGTGACATGCTGGTTCCCCTTCCCTTCTGCCATGACTAAAAGCTTCCTGAGGCCTTACCAGAAGCAGATGCTGGCACCATGCTTCTCATACAGTCTACAAAACCATGAGCCAAAATATATCTTTTTTCTTTACATATTACCCAGTCTCACATATTTCTTTATAGCACTGCAAAATGGACTAACACAGAAAATTGGTACCAGGAGTGGGGTGTTGCTATAAAGATATTTGAAAATGTGGAAGCAGTTTTGGAACTGGGTAACAGACAGAGGTTGGAGGAGTTTGAAGGGCTCAGAAGAAGACAGGGAGACAATGGGGAAAAGGCCTCAAAGGCATTTCAGAAACATTCCAGGCCATGCCTATCATCACAGGCCCAGAGACCTAAGAGGAAAGAATGATTTTAGGGGCCAAGCCCCGTGTGCCACCATTCCGTACCATTTCAGGATGCTGCTCTCAGAATCCCAGCAGCTCTGGTTCTAGCCTTGGCTCAAAGGGCCCCAGATACTGCTTGGGCTGCTCTTTCCTAGGACACAAACTATAACCGTTGATGGCTTCCTTGTGTTGTTAAGCCTGCAGGCATGCAGAATGCAAGAGTGAAAGAAGCTTGGCAACTTCCACTTAGATTTCAGAGGATGTATTGGAAAGCCTGAGTGCCCAAGCAGAAACCAGCCACAAAGGTGGAGCCCCTGCAGAGAGACTCTACTAGGGCAGTGCTAAGGGGAAATGTGAGATTGGAGCCCTCACAGAGTCCTCACTGGAGCACTGCCTAGTGGAGCTGTGGGAATGGGATCATCACCCTCTAGATCCCAGAATGGTAGAGCCACCAGCAGCATGCACTTTCAACCTGGAAAAGCTGCAGGCATTTGACTTTAACCTGTGAGAGCAGCCACATGGGCTGCACCCCGTAAAGCCATGGGGATGAGGCTGCCCAAGGCCTTGGGAGCCCAACCCTTGCACTGGTGTGCCCAGGATGTGGGACATGGAATCAAGGAAGATTATTTTGGAGCTTTAAGGCTTAGTGTCTGCTCTGCTGGATCTCTGTTGAGGCCTGTTGCCCCCTTATTTTGGCCAATTTCTCCCTTTTGGAATGGGGATGTGTACCTTAGGCTTATACCACCATTTTATATAGGAAGTAAATAATTTGTTTTTTATTTTATAGGCTCACAGCTGGAAGGAACTTTCTTTGAGTCTCAGATGAGACTTTGGAGTTTGGAATTTTGAGTTGATGCTTGGAGCTAGTTAAGACTTTTGGAGATGACTGGGAATGAATGATTGTATTTTGCAATGTGAGAGAGACATGAGACTTGGGGGAGGTCCAGGAATGGAATGATGTAGTTTGAATATTTGTCCTCTCCAAATGTCATGTTGAAATGTGATCCACAATGTTGGTGGTAAGGCCCTGGTGGGAAGTGTTTGGTTCATGGGGCCAATCTGTCGTGAATGGCTTGGTGCCCTCTCCATGGTAATAAGTTTACATGAGATCTGGTTGTTGAAAGAGTCTGGGACCTACCTCCTCTCTCTCTTGTTCCCTTGCTTGCATGTGACATGCTGGTTCCCCTTTCCTTCCACCATGACCAAAAGCTTCCTGAGTCCTTACTGGAAGCAGTTGCTGGTGTTGCACTTTTTGTACAATCTGCAGAACGATGAGCCAAAATAAACCTCTTTTCCTTATAAATCACCCAGTCTCAGATTTTTTTAAAGCAATGTAAAACAGGCTGACCCAGATATGTTCACTGAATACTGGATATTGAAATGATAACTGATTGAATGCCATGACTTTTCTTGTGATCACAACATATTAGGTCAGTCTATTAGCAATATATAAATTTGGAATTATAATACCAGCAAGATTGTTGTGAGAACTAGCATGGATTAATGTAAGGCACCTACTTCAGTGATAGTATCTTGTAGGCACTCAGTCATCTATAGCCACTCCTACCGTTTTCATAATTCATTGATCTGAACACATTTTGTCAATAATGTGCCCTACTCATTTCTTTACTTACCCCTTTGGCCAGCTTGAATTCCATAGTTAAGTATGATATTATTGCACCCTTGCCTAAACCCTCAGTTGTATTGACTCTTTCTTTCTTCATTGTACTACTCTGGCAAAACCCCTACCTGTGTAATCCCATCTCTCTACCTACTCCCAGCTTGCACCCACACAACTAAATATGACTCACATTACCACACTCATTGGTCTTCCATTAAATTCTGGTTCACTTTATTATTATTATTATTATTATTATTATTATTATTATTATTATTATATATTTGTAAGACAGAGTCTCACTCTGTTGCCCAGGCTGGAGTGCAGTGGCATGATTTTGGCTCACTGCAACCTCTGCCTCCTGGGTTCAAGCAATTCTCATGCCTCAGCCTCCCAAGTAGCTGGGATTACAGGCATGGGCCACCACACCTGGCTAATTTTTGTATTTTTAGTAGAGACAGGGTTTCACCATGTAGGCTAGGCTGGTCTCAAACTCCTGATCTCATGTGATCTGCCTGCCTTGGCCTCCCATAGTACTGAGATTATAAGCATGAGCCACCGCACCTGGCTGGTTTACTTACTCTAATGCTGACTGGCAATCAGTACACTTTTGTAATCTGTTTACTTCCCCACTGTTCTCAAAAGCTATTTTACACTGTCTCATTTCTCCTTAAACTGCCGTTCTTACTTTGAACTGATGAACTTTCTTCCAACGTCTCTGAGAAAATAGAATTATTCAGAGAATAACTTCCACATACTCCCCCTCCATACACAACCACCTCCCTGCATCTATTCTCATTTCTCCAGGATGAACCCCTGGCAAAGACAAACTCTTCTATTTCTGTGCTAGATCTCACCCCCTCTTGTCTATTTGAAGACACTGCTCCAACAATCTCTTCTCTCATCATCAGATTTTTCCTAATAGATCTTTCCTATTAGCCAACAAAGTCATTATTAATTCTCCTTTTTTAAAATCCTCTTTTGACTTTATTTCTTGCCAATTAAACCTTCATTTTAAACTTCCTTTTATAACAAAACTCCTTGAATGAGTTGTCTCCATTTCTTTTCTCTTGTTATCTCTTGAGCATCTTCCAGCCAGGCTGTCAACATACCATTTGTCGAGGTCATAGAAGACTTCCATTTTCTAAATCTCACTGTCCATTCTCAGACCTCATCTTACTTAACCTATATGCAGAATTTAACACTTTGAAACTCTTCCTTCCACCACTCTTCTTTTTTTTTTTTTTTTTGTTGTTGTTGTTGTCTTCCTGCTACTCCATTGGCAGCTCCTTCTCAGCCTGCTTTGCTGTTTCTCCTCTTCTCCCTGATTCTTAAGATTCAGTTAAGAAACTCAGTCCTCAGGCCTCTACACCTTTCTCTCTACACTTTTCCCTTTGGTGCTATCATTTAGTCTAATGATTTCAAATACTGTCTATACATCAATGACTCCCAAATTTATGTCTCCAACATGGTCTTCTTGTCTATTCGACATCTCTGCATAGAAGTCTAGCGGTCACCCTAAACTTAACACCGTCTGAAACTAAGGCCTGAGCTCACCCTAACAAATATGCTCCTCCTCCAATCTTCTCCATTTCAGTAAGTAGCAGCTCTATCCTTCCATTGATTTAAGATAAGAATCTTGGCACCATCCTTGACTTTAGTCTTCTTCTTCCAACATGCTATGGGTTAAGTTTGTGTCCCTGCAAAATTCATGTTGAAACTTAATCCCCAATGCAACAGTATTAAGAGGTGGGATCTTTAGGAGGCTTTAATCTCATGGATGGTATTAGTGCCTTATAAAAGGGCTGGAGGGAACTAGCTAGAACCTTTTGTCCTTCCATCTCTTCTGCCATGTGAGAGCACAGTATTTGTCTCAACTGAAGGATGCAGCAGAAGGTATCATCTTGGAAGCTGAGAACAGCCCTTGTCAGACATTGAACCTGTTGGTGCCTTGATCTTGGACTTTCTAGCCTCCAGAACTGTGAAAAATAAATTTCTATTGTTTGTTTGTAAATTACCCAGTCTTGGGTATTTTGTTATAGCAGCAGGAATGCACTAAGACACAACTCATATCTGATACATCAGCAAATCCCCTTGGCTTTATAGAAAACATATATCCAGAAGCCAACCATTTCTAATACCTCCGCTGCAACCAGCCTGATTCAAGCAACTCTCCTCTCTACCCTGGATTTCTAGAAATAGCCTCCTTAATGTTCTCTCTGCTGCTGTCTTGCCGCCATCTCAGTTTATGCTCAAACCAACAACCACTTTGAGTATTTTTAAAAATTTAAGTCAGATCATGTTACTCCTCTATGAATGACTTCACATCCCTGAGAAGAAAAGTCCTTAGGATGGTACAACATGATCTGGAAGTCCCTCACCTCTCGAACTGCATCTTTTACCATGGTTTTTTTTCATTCATTTGAGTCTAAAATACCAAACAGACTCCCACGCTGAGGCCTTTGCACTACTGGGAGTGCTCCTTCCTAGAAATCCACACTTTTTACTCCCCTACTTCCTTCAGGTCTTCAATCAATTGTTGCTGTAGTTCATTTAGACACATTAGGCTAGGTTATGCTGCAGTAATAAGCAACCTCAAACTCAGTAGTTTAGAACAAGTCAGAATACATGTCCATTTTGGTTCTGCTCCATATTGTTCTCATCCCAGGTTCCAAGCAGACAGAACAGCCACTAGTGGAACATAGCTGTGGTAGACAGAAAGAGCATGATGAATCATATACCAGCCCTTAAAGCTTCCATGACAAAGCAGCATACATCACTTCTACTCACATTTCATCAGCCAAAGCAAGTCACTTGGCATCTCTAATTCCAATGTAGCAAGGAAATACAATCTTTTCATGTGCTCAGAAGAACCAGAAATATTGATGAAGAATACTATAATATTAATGGTTAACATGGTCACCATGTAATGGAGGCCTTCCCCAACCATGCTATCAAATATTGCAAGCCTTCTTGACCACTTTCCAATCCCCCATTCCCTTTACCGACTTCATCTCTTTAGCATCTATCACAATGTACATGTACTATATATATTACTTATTTATCTTATTTATTTTATATCATTTCCCATTAGAATATAAACTCCAAGGGAAGAAAGACTTTTGCCTGGTTTATTCAATGCTGTGCTCCCAGTGCTTAGAACAGTAACTACTATAAAAAAGTCTAGACAAAAACTTGTTGAATAAGTGAACGAATAATAATAAGAAGAATACAATTTATGATCCATGTAAAATATACAATGATTTTCAGCTGATAAGTCATAGGATTTGGCTGAAATCAGGGTTGGTATTATTTATTCATTCAATAAATTTGAGTTCATATCTATAATAACTTATGCAAGGGTCTACACATCAAGGAGAACATCCTCATCCACAAACGTATCAGGTACATGGGAACTTATTTTACATTACTTCCCCCAATGGAGGAGCAGGACCTGCTTGACTTTCATGGAAACAAAAATCATAATCTTCCCATTTCAGCTAAGATCTGGCTGAAATCAGGATTTCTTGTTCAGAAGTACTAGAAAGCCTCATGTGTGATAAACATACTTCCTAATTTCTCCTTCTTGACCCAGTTGCATTTCATCACATGTACAGCATCCCCCCACCCCGTAAGCAAAATTTATGCTAATAACAAAGCTCTCAGCATCTTAATTTGAAAGGTTTTCAATAGCTTGAGGTTGGCCTCTTTGCATCATGGTCTTCTTTAATGAATCAAATAATGCATTTCTCATGTGTAATTAAATAATATCTTAAAACGCTCTGGCTTCTTCAAAAGACTCATGTGGAATTCACTTTCACATAAGGATAATGACACTCAGCACTGAGGGTAGACTCTTTGTTGTGAGGGCTGTGGATATTCACCTGCTCCTTGAAGACAAATCATAAAGGAAATTAGTACAAAACCTAAAACAAGTTCTTAGCCAGTAGAAAATGAAGTTATGACATCAATATCTAATCCAAGGCTAGTTGCCTAACCAACTTAGAGATATTATTGCTGAGTCAATTGTTTCTACCAAGATTTTTGTTTTTCAAACACCACATCCAGGCGTGCAAAACATTTGAGGGAGCAATAAGTAGATTTGCATATCACGTGCATATAGTTTGCATAAGATTACACATCATCTTTAGGAAAATTCTTGGTTGAAATGAAATGAGTGATATTTTTCTTATATCCTTATTAGGTTCTCCTTAGCTCCTGTGCCTCAATCTTCATGGTTCCTCACTGCCTACAGGAAAAAAATGCAGTGTCCTCTGCCTAGTGTTTCACTGATCTCAATTCACCTGTCCTGCTATCATCTCTCCTCCTGTTCCCTATATTATCTTATGCAGCAGTCATACAGAACTTACTCACTGCTGTCAAATGTGCCAGGAGGTGTCACTATTGTTGGACTGCCCATGATTTTTCTTCCTCCAGTCATTTGTACATCATGGTTCAGGGGCCTCCACAAAGTCCTATGTGTAGGTTTTGATTAGTGAATAGCCAGCTTGGTAGATGTATCCGTTTTGTTAGTGATTGGTTTAGGCATGGGTATGTGACATAACCCTGGCCAATGAGAAGCAAAGGGAAGCCTGCTAGGGGCTTCTTGGAAAGTGTCCTAAGTCTTAAAAGGGAACACATACACAAAAGGCAAGACTGACCTCTTTTCTGCCTCTGGACAGGGCTATGGTAATACCTGGAGCAGCTTCAATTTCACATAACCATTGATGGCTGGTGGCGCACTTTGAGATGGCAGGGCAGAAAGATGGAAGGACCTGGGAGCTTGAAAAGGTCATCGTGCCCCTGGCTTAGGCAATCATAATAACAACTATAATGTTAACTAAGTGTCAGGCAGTGTCATGGCATCTTAGATATGTTAACTCATGTAATCCTCACAACTATCTCATGAGGTGAGCATTATTATCATCCTCATTTTACAGTTGAGCAAACTGAAGCAGAAAGAGTTTAATGGCTGGGGTCACTCTCCTTATCTATTTGTTTTCTCAGCTTTTTATTATGAAGTTTAAAGTCTAGGATACTAGAGAATAGTGTAACAAATCCCTTTGTACCCATCAATCATCCAGCTGAAACAATTAGCAACTCATGGCCAGTCTTGGCTTATTTGTGCCCTTGTTCACTTTTCCTCTGCCCCACATGATTTTGAAGCAAATCCCAGACCTCCTATTATTTCATTCTAGAATATTTCATGCGTGACAAGAACTAGAAGCTACTTTTATGTGGACCTTCTGTTATAATCAAAACTAGTTGCTAAATATTCATAACATTTTCCTCATAAAAATTGAAAATGTAGAAAATCTAAAGGCAAACTATAAAAATCAGAGTATGATTTTAGGATCATGAATTCTAGAATATGATCTCCTAGAAATAACAACTGTTATAGACTGAATGTTTGTGGCCCCCTCCAAAATTTATATGTTGAAACTTAATCCCCAGTGTGATAGTATTTGGTGGTAGAGCTTTAGGGAAGGGATTAGGTCATAAGGATGGAGCCCTCATGAATAGGATTAGCGTCCTTATAAAAGAGGCACCAGAGTTCCCTTGTCCCTTCCACCACGTGAGGTTACAATGAGAAGATGGTGTCTATGAACCAGGCAGCAGGCCCTCATCTGATAGAGAATCTTCTGGCACGTGAATCTCAAACTTCCCCACCTCCAAACTGTGAGATATAAATTTTTATTCTTTATAAGCCACCCAAGTGTTTTATTTATTTTTATTTTTATTTTTAGACAGAGTCTCGCTCTGTCACCCATGCTGGAGTGCAATGGCGCTATCGTAGCTCATTGCAACCTTTGTCTTCCGGGTTCAAGCGATTCTCCCATAGCCTTCCAAGTAGCTGAGATTACAGGCTCCCACTACCATGCCTGGCTAATTTTTGTATTTTTGTAGAGACGGGATTTCACCATAGTGGCCAGGCTGGTCTTGAACTCCTGACCTCAGGTGATCTGCTGACTCTCTCCCAAAGTGCTGGGATTACAAGCGTGAGCCACTGCACCTGGCCAGTAAGCCACCCAATCTATGGTATGCTGTTATGGCAGCCCAAAGACAACAACAACTAATAATAGTCATGGATTTCCTTTTAGTATTTTGTATACATTTCTTTTGAATATGGGATTGTGTTTTTCTGCTTATTATGACCTGAGCATTTTCCAACCTCATTCTAGCCCCCATGATCTTTGGGTGCTGGGCTCCCTCCATCCTTTCTTCTTCTAGCAACATGAATGCATCCTTGGACACCTGCTTCCAATATCATTGCTCTGCCTCATCTGGGCTCCTTTTGCACTTTGTACAACACCTCTATGATGACGCTTTAATAGCAGGTGGCAATTATCTGTTTATCTGCATCCTTGACTAGACCAAAGCCCACTTTTTGAATTGTTTGTTGTTTTTTTAAATCTCTGGTGCCTATATTGTTATAAAAAACAATGTGACAGAAGTCATTATTGTAAGGATAATGTTGAACGTGGGGGTGCCTGCATTATAAAGTGTTCTCTTTAGAAGGATCCAGTGAAAAAAATCTTCCACTCATCCCAGGGCCAGGTAAAACCATTTTGGTCCTGAAAAACTGGTATGCTTTCTTTAGCAGATTTATTTTTATCAGTTGTTGCCTTCATGAGTTCAGGCCGTTATAACAGAATACCGTAGATTGGGGTGGCTTATAACCCATGAACAGTTGTTGAGTTATTGATTTGGTCACTAGAAAGCTCAGAGCTGACGTCATGAACCTAAGCTTGAAAGCATTTTCAACGCATTAATTTTCTCATTCATTTTTAATTTTATTTCTCTTTCACCATAAATTCTTTATATTTGAAAAAAATCATGGTATTGAGATAGGACCATTTTTGACATTTGAAAAAAATCATGGTATTGAGATAGGACCATTTTTGACATGTTAATTTTTGAATTTTCTTCTCCTTTTTCTATGAATGCAGTTTACAGATTCTGTGCTTTCTTGCTTCAGAGCTGGTAAAATTATGGTTGACTTCTCCTTCTGAATTTGTTTGGAAATGTTTAAAGCCTTTAAGGAGGTTGAGCTAAGTGTCCTCGGTGGAGAAAAAAGGGTTCTAAGAGAAACGTGGAAAGGGGCAATTCTCCCACATTGTCAAGAGATTCCCAGAGTCTCTTTGTATCTGTGGGTTTAGAGAGAGCAAAGGGAGGCAGAACTCTAGAAAAGTAGAAAGACCCCAGGTAAGAACCATGGCCGTTCCATATGCTGGCCTAGGACTCTGAGCAGCAGGCATAACTTGGTATCAGCAAAGCCACTGGAGCTGTGTGAACTGGCACGGTGACTATCTCCTCATTACCAGGGCACTAAGCATCAGCGGAACCCCCTCAATGTCTTACAGTTATGTAGGACTCTGGAGCTTTTGTACTAATGTGAAGGAGGGAATCCTCAAAATGGCTGAGACTGAATTTCCCATCTACCCAGCAAGAGTGGGCTTAGATTAGAAATTAAGTTTGATTTACAGAAAATGAAAGAAATAATATTTCTTGCACATCTGAATTTTTAGACTGAGATTCATATTCACTACAATATTTGCTGAATTTGTGAAATTCAACCCCTATCCTTTTTGGAATGAGACAGTGTACAAACGGAGAATAAAATTGTTATTATCATGGAAAGAATATACGAGCTTTGTTGGCAGTTCTATCATTTTACTTCTGGACCTTAATTTTTTTTCCCTTAGGTTTCTCCAATTACCTCCCAACTGTCCTGGCAGGGCCTGGTCTTGTTTGCTTCAATGCACGCTTCACCAGCTGTCAGAATTGTCTTTTGCAAATGCAGATTGGTTTGGGTCACACTTCCTTGCTTAAAGTTCTCCATGAAATCCCATTTGGCCTCAAGATAAAGTCAAAGTATACAAAGGCCTACATCATTTGCTTCTTGTTTACCCCTGTAGCCTCATATTCTAAAAATATCCCACACTTCTGCCCACACTTGACTCTCAAGCAATAGTGTCCTATTTGCTGTTCTGTAAATGCATCAGGTCCCTCTTCTCTTCTCTTCTAGTTCTTGTTGCTTATGACACCTATCCACAAACTACCCCTACTCTTTCAGAACTCTTATCAGGCATCACTGTCATACAGGCAGCCTTTCCCAACTCTTCCCTCTCTACATGGATTAGGTGTGGTGTCCCTACGATGTGTTCCACAGGCATCCTAAGGTGACACATGCATCACTTACCAGTGATTTGAATGGCATGTGTCACAGTAAGAAAGAACATGAAAACATGTTTCCAATTGGGGTTCAGGTATCTACAGACATGTTTGGTGGATGGTAAAATGGAAACAGGAAGACATCACAGAGAGGGTCACTGGGTCTAGAGGAAATGGGGTGGAAGTCTGTCACTGTGGTCCACACTTAGCAACAAGGGCCTGAAGGCAGAGTGGTTTGGAGTACATTAAGAAGATGATCTCAGATATAACAGAGGCAGAGACTACTCAATTCTGCTCCAATATCCATTCTCCTTTTTTCCATTTTAGTGATTAAAAAGACCTCCAGGGTTTCAGAGGATTATATAGCCAGCCCACAAAAGATTACATTTTCCTAGCCTCCCTTGCAGCTAGGTATGGACATGTGACTAAGTTCAAGCCAACAGGATGTTAGTGGAAGTGACCTATGGAAACTTCCAAATAATTGCTTTAAAGACAAAGCTACTAACTCTGACTTTCTCTTTCCCCTTCCCACAGGCTCAAATGCAGATATAAACGAGGAATCCTGGATTCTTGAATGATCCTGTGGAGCACAGCAGACCTCAGGGTGAAGAGTTCACTTAACTCAACACTGTTAAGTGAGAATTAAGTAAACTTATGCTGTGTTTGGCTAAGGTGATTGTATGAGTCTTACTGAGAATGGGAACCCAGGGTGGGGTGCAGTATTAAAAGAAATGATGCCAGAGTGCATCTTCCGTAGTAGGTCCTGTGCTGTGTAAGAATCTTAGAGGATCGCTGGGCATGGTGGCTCACATCTGTAATCCCAGCACTTTGGGAGGCCAAGGTGGGCAGATCACTTGAGGTCAGGAGTTCAAGACCAGCCTGACCAACATGGTGAAACCCCATCTTTACTAAATATACAAAAATTAGCTGGGTGTGGTGGTGGGCACCTGTAATTACAGCTACTTGGGAGGCTGAGGCAGGAGAATTGCTTAAATCCAGGAGCCAGAGGCTGCAGTGAGCCAAGATCATGCCACTGCACTCCAGTCTGGGTGACAGAGTGAGACTCCATCTCAAAAAAAAAAAAAAAAAAAAAGGGAATCTTACAGGATCCTATTAAGGACTCACTTTGAGTCCATGAGAAGCTCAGCATTTAGACTTCTGCCATAAATAGCTACTGACCTCCAAGGAAGGAAGGACCAAATAGACCCACTTAAATAGAAGAATTTTATTCCCTCTTCCCCACCTGTTTTTAAGGCCCAAAAATAGTGGAGAAGAAAAGGAAAGCCAGGAGAGGAAGGAAGAAAAATGAAAGAGAAAAGCACACTCCCTTAGTTAGGAGGAAGAGAATTAAGTTGGATATGAGTTTGAAGTTTTAAACTGGATCAATTGTATTATACTGAATATTTTTATACCCAAAAATAACCATAAAGTTTTACCTAAAATATCATTTAGGGGAGGGAAGGTGAGCTCACCAGAACTTTTTTAGGAGCAGTCACTGGAAGAAATAATTTTTTTTATGTTTGAACTCTACTGAGTTTAGACCATTCAATAAACTGGTTACAAAAAAAAAAAAAAAAACCAAACAATAACAAAATATTCCATCTAGAATTATAATTCTAGCCATCCTCCTACTCTAATTTTACTGTGGCCCTCTGCTTTATGAAAGGAACAGCACATGAAAAGGTGAAGGAGAGAGAAATGAATTGGTCAGAGAGAGAGGTAAATATCAGAGGTCTACAGTCAGGAAACCCCAGTGGCATTAGAGGCCAAAGACCATGTTGGGGCCTTTCAGAAAAACACTGTGTGGTATTGGAGGGTAAATACTTCTGCACCACTCTTGAGGTTCTAAATTTTGTGGGCTGAGCTTGATAAGAGTGACACTCTTGGCCTCCCTCTGCTCCTTTATTCACTCCCTTCCAGGAGAGCTGGAAAAACTTAACTGATCTGTAAATTTGGGCAGAATAAACTGGGCATAGTCAGCTCAGTTTCTTCCTTATTCCTTCTGAGAGTAAGCTCCCCGAGTCACACACTGTGTTCTACCTCTCCATGACAAATCGCCTAGGAAACTGATCCTCCAAGGGGAAATCTGCAGAGGGGCTTCAGTCCTTCCTGGGACTGGGTGGCCAAGTAGGCCTGATTCAAACAGTAGAAGGTGCACGAGGCCACGGGTAAAAGCTAGGTCCTTCAACTTAGTTTTGTCAGTAACGAAGATGCTATCTTGGCCTCTTTCCATGTTAGTCCTTTGTCTTATTTCTCAGGGGGTTCAGATCTTGTGTAGAAGAGAGGATTAACATTACTGAGCCCTCTCAGTCCAATCCAGAGGGCATCAATATGGTTGAGCAGAATAACAGCACACTCTAGACAACAGAAACAACAGCCAGAGGACTGAGAAGGGAAAGACGATTGGGAAACAGCTCAAATAATATTCAAGACATTCCAACCCCACCTTGGAACTCCCAGAGAGATGCAAAAAAAGAAGGTGATGTAGATATGCCATATGGCAGGTAAGGAATAATACTAGAACAGATTTAAAGTTAAATTCTTAAAGTGACTTCACCCCACCTTCATCAGCTAAGGGAAGATTCAGCCTGCAATAATCAACAAATACTTGAAGACCTCCTGACAGGTAAATTATACTATCCTGGGTGTTTTATAGGACTTTGGGGAGAGGTAATCTAACACCCAATAAGTTTATTGTCTAATACAATTTAATGAAATGTCAACTTTTCTTCCGCCATGGAAACCACATTTTTCCTCAGAGGTTTCCACTCAAATTCTTTCCCGTTTTACCCCTCCTTGCGTTATTGGTTCTGTAGCCTAGTGGAAAAGGTATGATATTTTATTTGTTTAAAGGAATAAACCAGTGAGATCCAGCTGAACTATTCAAATGACACTGAAGGACTGAAGATTCTCAAGGATGCAGGGTTTTGAAGATGTTCACAAATCAATATAAAGAAATAGAGATGAGAAGGCGGAACAAGATGGCTGAATAGAAGCCTCCAGCGATTGTCCCTCCCACGAAACACCAAACAGAACATCTATCCACAGAAAAAAAGCATGTTCATAAGAACCAAAAATCAGGTGAGTGACCACAGTCCCTGGTTTTAACATCATATTAAGAAAAGGGGCACTGAAGAGGGTAGGAAAGACAGTCTTGAGTCAGCTATACGATCCTTCTCCATCCTCTAGCAGTGGCCTCATGGAACGAAGAGAGAATAGGGGAGTGAGAGAATGTTGAGGGAGTGAGAGCACAGTGGGGAGTGAGAGCACACTGATTGTGGGACTTTGCATTGGAACTCAGTGCTGCCGTGTCATAGCAGAAAACAACACAAGGTAAAACTCAGCCAACACCCAAAGAGGGAGTATTTAGACCAGCCCTAGCCAGGGGCAAATTGTCCATCTTGGTGATGAGAACTTGAGTTCCAGCAGATCCTGCAACCATGGGCTAAAGCACCCTGGGATCCTAAATAAACTTGAATGGCAATTTAGGCCGCAAGAATTGCAATTCCTTGGCAAGTCCTGGTGCTGTGCTGGACTCAGAGCAGTGGACTTGGGGTGCACATGACCTAATGAGATACTAGCTGGGGTGGCCAAAAGAGTGCTTGCATCATCCCTTCCCCAGCCACAGGCAGTGCAGCTCAGGGAGAGACTCCTTCTCTCTGCTTGAGGAGAGGAGAGGGGAGAGTAAAGAGGACTTTGTCTTGCCACTTGGATATCAGTTCAACCACAGTAGAATAAGAAACCAGGAAGAGTCCTGAGGTCCCCCATTCCAGGCTCTAAATCCTGGAAGTCATTTCTAGCATACCCTGGGCCAGAAGAGAAACTATTGCCTTTGAAGGAAAGGAGCCAGGCCTGGCAGAATTCATCACCTGATGACTAGAGAGCCTATGGGCCCTGAATAATTAGCAGCAGCAGCCGGGCTGTATTTGCTATAAGCCTTGGGTTAAACTCAGAGAAATGCTGGCTTCAGACGTAACCCAGCATATCTCCAGCTGTGGTGGCTATGGAGCGAGACCCCCTCCCTCCTTGAGAAAGGGAGAGGGAAGAGTAAAGGGGACTTTGTCTTGCAGCTTGGGTACCAGCTTTACCAAAGTGGGGGTAGGGCAACAAATGGGCTTCTGGGGTCTCTAATTCCAGGACTTGGCTCCTGGATGGCATTTCTATAACTGCCCTGGGCCGCAGGGAAACCCATTTCCCTGAAGGGAGAGGCTCAGGACTGACACCACAAGTTGATTGAAGAGTCCTTGGGCCTTGAGTGAACATCGGCAGTGGCTAGGAAGTACTTGCCATGGGCCTGGGGTGGTGGTGGCCATGGGGAGAGACTCCTCTGCTTCAGGAAAGGGGAGGGAAGAGTGGGAAGGACTTTGTCTTGTGGCTTGGGTGCCAGCTCAGCTGCAGTAGAATGGAACACAGGGTAGATTCCTGATTCCTGACTCCAGGCCCTAGCTCCCAGACAGCATCTGTCAACCCACCTGGGGCCAGGAGGATCTCACCATTCTTAAGGACACAATCTTGGCTGGATTTGCCACCGCATGATTGTAGAGGCCTTGGGCCTTGAGTGAATATAGATGGTAGCCAGGCAGTGATTGCTGCAGGCCTTGGGCAAGACCCAGTGCTGTGCTGATGCACAGCACAGTCCCAGTGGTGATGGCCATCAGGCTGCTTATGTCACCCCTCCCCCAGCTCCAGACAGCTCAGCACAGAGAAAGATTCTATTTTTTGGGGGGAAAGTAAGGGAGGAGAACAAGAGTCTCTGCCTGGTAATCCAGAGAATTCTTCTGGATCTTACCCAAGACCACCAAGGCGGTACTTCTACAAGTTTGCAAGAGCCATAGTGTTACTAGACTTGGAGTACCCCCAGTGCAGATACAGCTGCAGTGATCGAAGACAGATCACAACATCCAAGTCCCTTCAAATACCTATAAAACCTTCCCAAGAAGGATGGGTACAAACAAGTCCAGACTGTGAAGACTACAATAAATACCTATCTCTTCCATGCCCAGACGCTGATGAACACCCACAAGCATCAAGGCCATCCGGGGAAACATGATGTCACCAATGAACTAAATAAGGCACCACGGACCAGTCCTAGAGAGACACAGATATATTACCTTTTAGACTGAGAGTTCAAAATAGCTGTTTTGAGGAAGCTCAACAAAATCCAAGATAACACAGAGAAGGAAATTTAACAAAGAGATTGAAATAAAAAGAATCAGCAGAAATTCTGGAGCTGAAAAATGTGATTGACATACTGAAGAATGTATCAGAGTCTCTTAACAGCAGAATTGATCAAGCAGAAGAAAGAATTAGTGAGCTTGAAGACAGGTTATTTGAAAACACACAGTCAGAGGAGACAAAATAAAAAAGAATATAAAAGAATGAAGCACACCAACAAGATCTAGAAAATAGCTTCAAAAAGGCAAATCTAAGAGTTATTGGCCTTAAAGAGGAGGTAGAGAGGGAGATGGGGGTAGAAAGTTTATTCAAATGGATAATAATAGAGAACTCCCCAAATCTAGAGAAACATATCAACATAGTACAAGAAGGTTATAGAGCACCAATTTAACTCAAATAAGACTACCTCAAGGCATTCAATAATCAACTCCCACAGGTGAAGGATATAGAAATGATCCTAAAAGCAGCAAAAGAAGCAAATAACATACAAAGGAGCTCCAATTCGTCTGGCAGGAAACTTCTCAGTGGAAATCTTACAGACCAGGAGAGAGTGGCAAGATTTAAAGTGCTGAAGGAAAAAAATTTTATCCTAGAATAGCATATCTAGTGAAAATATTCTACAAACATGAAGGAGAAATAAAGGCTTTCCCAGACACCCCCCGCCAAAAAAAAAGATTTTATTAACACCAGACCTGTTCTACAAGAAATGCTAAAGGGATTTCTTCAATCTGAAAGAAAAGGATGCTAATGAGCAATAAGAAATCATTTGAAGGTACAAAACTCACTGGTAATAGTAAGTACACAGAAATACACAGAATATTATAACACTAATTGTGGTGTGCAAACTACTCATATATTGAGTAGAAAGACTAAAAGATGAACCTCTCAAAGAATCATAACTACAACAACTTTTCCAGACATAGAGAGTATAAGAAGATATAAATAGAAACAAGAAACAAGTAAAAGTCAAAAAGCAGAGGGATAAAGTTAAAGTGCAGAGTTTGTATTAGTTTTCTCTGCTTGTTTATTAGTTTGTTTATGCAATTAATGTTAAGTTGTCATCAGTTTAAAATAATGGATTATAAGATATCATTTGCAAGCTTCATGGTAACCTCAAATCAAAAAACATACAACAGATACACAAAAAGTAACCTTCCACCTAAGAAAATCACCTTCACTGAAAGGACGACAGGAAGGAAGGAAAGAAGGAAGAGAAGACCACAAAACCAGAAAACAAATAACAGAATGGCAGAAGTAAGCCCTTACTTATCAATAATAACATTGAATGTAGATGAAATAAACTCTCCAATCAAAAGACAGAGTGAGCCAGGCACAGTGGCTCATATGTGTAATCCCAGCACTTTGGGAGGCGGAGGTAGGAGGATCTCTTGAGTCCAGGAGTTTGAGACCAGCCAAGGCAATATAGGAAGACCCAATCTTTCCAAAAAGGAATTAGCCAAGCATGGTGGCATGCACCTGTGGTCCCAGCTACACAGGAGGCTGAGGTGGGAGAATCACTTGAGCCAGGGAGTTTGAGGCTGCAGTGAGCCATGATTGCACCACTGCACTGCAACCTGGGCAACAGAGGGAGATCTTGTCTCAAAAAATAAAAAAAGACATAGACTGGCTATATATGCCAATCAGTTGGGAAATCCGGAAGAAATGAATAAATTCTTAGACACATATAATTTATCAGGATCGAACCATGAAGAAATCCAAAACCTGAACAGACAACGTGTAACAAGACTGAGGCCATAATAAAAAGTCTTTCAGCAAAGAAAAGCTCAGCACCCAGTGGCTTCACTGTTGAATCTTACCAAACATTTACAGAAGAACTAACACCAATCCTACTCAACCTATTCTGAAAACTAGAGGAGGAAAGAATACTTCTGAACTCATTCTATGTGGCCAGTATTACCTTGATACAAAAACCAGACAAAGACATGTCAAAAGAGAGAAAGAAACAAGAAAGAAAGAAAGGAAGAAAGAAAGAAAGAAAGAAAGAAAGAAAGAAAGAAAGAAAGAAAGAAAGAAAGAAAGAAAGAAAGAGAAAGAAAACTACAGGCCAATATCCCCCTGATGAACACTGATGCAAAAATCCTCCACAAAATACTAGCAAACTGAAATCTACAACAAATTTAAAAGATCATTCTTCATGATCAAGTGGCATTTATCCTAAGGATGATTCAATAAATGCAAATCAATTTATGTGACACATAACATCAACAGAATGAAGGACAAAAGCCATATGATGCTGAAAAAGCACTTGACAAAATTCAAGATCCCTTCCTTCATGATAAAAATCAAAATCCTTAAAAATCTGGGTACACTAAGAGTTTGAGACCAGCCTGGGCAACATGGCGAAACCATGTCTCTACAAAAAAAGAAAAAAAAAATTAGCCAGGCATGTGGGCATGTGCCTGTACTTCCAGCTACTCAGGAGGCTGAGGTGGGAGAATCCCTTGAGCCTGGGAAGTGGAGGTTGCAGTGAGCCGAGATTGCACCACAGCACTCCAGCCTGGGTGACAGAGTGAGACCCTGTCTCAAAAACAAACAAACAAAAATACAAAAAAAACTGGGTACAGAAGGAACGTACCTCAACACAATAAAAGCCATCTACAGCAGACACACAGCTAGTATCATGTTGAATTGGGAAAAACTGAAAGCCTTTCCTCTAAGATTTGGAACGTGAAAAGGATGGCTACTTTCACCACTGTTACTCAACATAGTACTGGATGTCCTAGCTAGAGCAATCAAACAAGAGAAAGAAATAAAAGGAATCCAAATTAGAAAGAAAGAAGTCAAATTATCTTTGTTTGCAGATAATATGCTTTTATATTTGGAAAAACCTAAAGACTCCATCAAAAAACTATTGGAACTGATAAACATGAATTCAATAAAGTTGCAGGATACAAAATCAACATACAAAAATCAGTAGCATTTCTATATGTCAACAGTGAACAATCTGAAAAATAAAACAAAAAAGTAATCTCATTTACAATAGCTGCAAATAAAATTAAAAGCCTAGGAATTAACCAAAGAAGTGAAAGATCTTTACAATGAAGACTATAAAAATTAATGCAAGAAATTTAAGAGAACACACAAAAAATGGAAAGATATTCCATGTACATAGATTGGAAGAATCAATATTGTTAAAATGTCGATATTACCCAAGGCAATTTACAGATTCAATGCAATCCCTATCAAAATGCCAATGACATTCTTTGCAAAAATAGAAAAAATAATCCTAAAATTTATATGGAATCACAAAAGACTCAGAATAGCCAAAGCTATTCTAAGCAAAAAGAACAAAACTGGAGGAATCACATTGCCTGACTTCAAATTATATTTTATAGAGCTACCATAAAGCCCATCTTGCCTTCCGCCTGGCAACAGACTTGGGGCTGTTGGCAGGGGCACGGTGGGAGACTACCCTTTCAGTTTGCATAGGAGCTAGGTGAGGCCTGTCACTGCCAGCTTTCCCCCACTTCCCTGAAAACCTGCATGACCTAGGCACCATAATCCTCCTAGGTACACAACTCCAGTGACCTGGGAAACTTATCCCCATCCCCTACAGCAGCCACAGAAAGACCCACTCAAGGAGAGTCTGAACTCAGACAAGCCTAGCTCCACCCCCATCTGATGGCCCTTACCTACCCACCCTGGTAGTGGAAGACAAAGGGCATACAATCTTGGGAGTTCTAAAGCCCTGCTCACCTCTGGTCCCTCTCCCCACTACTACAGCTGATGCTTTCTGGAAAGCGCCACCTCCTGGCAGGAGGCCAACCAACACAAAAATAGAGTACTAAACTACCAAAGCTAGGGACCCTCATGGAGTCCATTGCACCCTCTGCCACCTCCACCAGAATAGGCGCTGGTATCCATGGCTGAGAGACCCATAGATGGTTCACATCACAGGACTCTGTGCAAACAACCCCCAGTACCAGCCTGGAGCCAGGTAGACACATTGGGTGACTGGACCAAGAAGAGAGACAACAACCACTGCAATTCAGCTCACAGGAAACCATATCCATAGGAAAAGGGAGAGAGTACTATATCAAGGGAACACCCCGTGGGACAAAAGAATCTGAAAAACAGCCTTCAGCCTCAGACCTTCCCTCTGACAGAGCATAAACAAATGAGAAGGAACCAGAAAACCAACGCTGGTAATATGACAAAGCAAGGCTCTTTAACACTGCCCCCCCAAAATCACCCTAGTTCACCAGCAATGGATCCAAACCAAGAAGAAATCCCTAATTTACCTGAAAAAGAATTCAGGAGGTTAGTTATTAAGCTAATCAGGGAGGGACCAGAGAAAGGCAAAGCCCAATGCAAGGAAATCAAAAAAGTGATACAAGAAGTGAAGGGAGAAATATTCATGGAAATAGATTAGCTTAAAGAAAAAACAATAAAAAATCCAGGAAACTTTGGACACACTTTTAAAAATGCAAAATGCTCTGGTAAGTCTCAGCAATAGAATTGAACAAGTCAAAGAAAGGAATTCAGAGCTCAAAGACAAAGTCTTTGAATTAACCCCATCCAACAAAGACAAAGAAAAAAAGCATAAGAAAATATGAACAAAGCCTTCAAGAAGTCTTGGATTATGTTAAGTGATCAAACTTAAGAATAATCAGTATACCTGAGGAAGAAGAGAATTCTAAAAGCCTGGAAAACATACTTGGGGGAATAATTGAGGAAAACTTCTCTGGCCTTGTGAGAGACCTAGACAGCCAAATACAAGAAGCACAAAGAATACTTGGGAAATTCATCGCAAAAAGATCTTCACCTAGGCATATTGTCATCAGGTTATCCAAAGTTAAGACGAAGGAAAGAATCTTAAGAGCTGTGATACAGAAGCCCCCCAGGTAACCTATAAAGGAAAACCTAACAGATTAACAGCAGATTTCTCAGCTGAAACCCTACAAGCTAGAATGGGTTGGGGACCTATCTTTAACCTCCTCAAACAAAACAATTATCAGCCAAGAATTTTGTAACCAGTGAAACTAAGCATCATATATGAAGGAAAGATACGGTCGTTTTCAGGCAAACAAAAACCACCATTACAAGAATTGCTAAAAGGAGCTCTAAATCTTAAATCCTGGAAACACATCAAAACAGAACCTCTTTATAGCATAAATCACACAGGGACATATAAAACAAAATACAAGTTGAAAAGCAAAAACCAAAAAAAAAAAAAAAAACCAGAGTACACAGGCAACAAAGAGCATGATGAAAACAATGGTACCTCACTTTTCAATACTAACATTGAATGTAAATGGCCTAAATGCTCCATTTAAAATATACAGAACTGCAGAATGGATAAGAACTCACACACCAACTATCTGCTGCCTTCAGGAGACTCATCTAACACATAAGGACTTACATAAACTTAAAGTAAAGGGGTGGAAAAAGGCATTTCATGCAAATGGACACCAAAAGCAGCAGGGGTAGTTATTTTTATATCAGACAAAACAAACTTTAAAGCAACAGTGGTTAAAAGACACAAAGAGGGACAGTATAAAATGGTAAAAGGCCTTGTCCAACAGGAAAATATCACAACCCTAAACATATATGCACCTAACACTGGAGCTCCCAAATTTATAAAACAATTACTAATAGACCTAAGAAATGAGATAGACAGCAACTCAATAATAGTGGGGCATTTCAATACTCCACTGACAGCACTAGACAGGTCATCAAGACAGAAAGTCCACAAAGAAACAATGGATTTAAACCATAGCTTGGAACAAATAGACTTAGCAGATATATCCAGAACATTTCATCCAACAACCACAGAATACACATTCTATTAAACAGCTCACGGAACTTTCTCCAAGATAGACCATATGATAGGCCATAAAACGAGCCTCAATAAATTTAAGAAAACTGAAATTATATCAAGCACTCTCTCAGACCACAGCGGAATAAAACTGGACATCAACTCCAAAAGGAGCCTTCAAAACCATGCAAATACATGGAAATTAAATAACCTGCTCCTAAATGAGCACTGGGTCAAAAACGAAATCAAGATGGAAATTTAAAAATTCTTTAAATTGAATGACAATAATGACACAACCTATCAAAACCTCTGTGATACAGCAAAGGCAGTGCTAAGAGGAAAGTTCAGAGCCCTAAACGCCTACATCAAAAAGTCTGAAAGAGCACAGACAGGCAATCTAAGGTCACACCTCAAGGAACTAGAGAAACAAGAACAAACCAAACCCAAATGCAGAAGAAAGGAAATAACCAAGATCAGAGCAGAATGAAATGAAATTGAAAGAAACAACAAAAAAAACCACAAAAGACAAATGAAACAAAAAGCTAGTTCTTTGAAAAGATAAATAGAATTGATAGATCATTAGCAAGATTAACCAAGAAAAGAAGAGAGGAAATCCAAATAACCTCACTAAGAAATGAAACAGGAGATATTACAACTGACACCACAGAAATACAAAAGATTATTCAAGGCTACTATTAACATCTTTACACACATAAACTAGAAAACCTAGAAGAGATGGATAAATTCCTGGGAAAATATAACCCCCCTAGCTTAAATCAGGAAGAATTAGATACCCTGAACAGACCAATAACAAGCAGCAAGATTGAAATGGTAATTTAAAAATTACCAACAGAAAAAAAAGTCCAGGATCAGACGGATTCACAGCAGAATTCTACCGGACAGTCAAAGAAGAATTGGTACAAATCCTCTTGACACTATTCCACAAGACAGTGAAAGAAAGAACCCTCCCTAATTCATTCTAAGAAGCCAGCATCACCTTAATACCAAAACCAGGAAAGAGGATAATAAAAAGGAAAACTATCAAACGATGTCCTTGATGAACATAGATGCTAAAATCCTTAACAAAATACTAGCTCACTGAATTCAACAACATATCAAAAAGATAACCCACCATGATCAAGTGGGTTTCATACCAGGGATGCAGGGTGGTTTAACATACGCAAGTCAATAAATGTGATACACCACATAAAGAGAATTAAAAACAAAAATCACACGATAATCTCAATAGATGCAAAGAAAGCATTTGATAAAATCCAGCATCCCTTTATGATTAAAACTCTCAGCAAAATCAGCATACAAGGGACATACCTTAATGTAATAAAAGCCATCTATGACAAACCCACAGCCGATATAATACTGAATGGGGAAAAGTTGAAAGCATTCCGTCTGAGAACTGGAACAAGGCAAGGATACCCACTCTCACCACTCCTCTTCAACATAGTACTGGAAGTCCTAGCCAGGGCAATCAGACAAGGGAAAGAAATAAAAGGCATCCAAATTGGTAAAGAGAAAGTCAAACTGTCACTGCTTGCTGATAATATGATCATTTACCTTGAAAACCCTAAAGACTTCTCCAGAAAGCTCCTAGAACTGGTAAAAGAATTCAGCAGCAAAGTTTCTGGATACAACATTAATGTACACAAATCAGTAGCTCTCCTGTACACCAACAGCAACCAAGCAGAGAATTAAATCAAGAACTCAACCCCTTTTATAATAGCTGCAAAATAAATAAATAAATAAATAAATAAATAAATAAAACACTTAGGAATATACCTAACAAAGGAGCTGAAAGACCTCTACAAGGAAAACTACAAAACACTGATGAAAGAAATCATAGACAACATGAACAAATGGAAACACATCCCATGCTCATGGATGGGTAGAATCAATGTTGTGAAAATGACCATACTGCCAAAAGCAATCTACAAATTCAACACAATCCCCATCAGAATACCACCATAATTCTACAGAGAATTAGAAAAAAACAATTCTAAAATTCATGTGGAACCAAAAAAGAGCCCACATAGCCAAAGCAGGACTAAGCAAAAAGAACAAATCTGGAGGCATCACACTACATGATTTCAAACTATACTATAAGGCCACAGTCACTAAAACAGCATGGCACTGGTATAAAAGTAGGCACATAGACCAATGGAACAGAATAGAGAACCCAGAAATAAACCCAAATACTTACAGTCAACTGATCTTCGACAAAGCGAACAAAAACACGAAGTGGGGAAAGGACACCCTTTTCAACAAATGGTACTGGGATACTTGGCTACCCACCTGTAGGAGAATGAAAGTGGATCTTCATCTCTCACCTTATACAAAAATTAACTCAAGATGGATTAAGGACTTAAATCTAAGACCTGAAACTATAAAAATTCCAGAAGACAACACTGGAAAAACCCTTCTAGACATTGGCTTAGGCAAGGATTTCATGACTAAGAACCCGAAAGCAAATGCAATAAAAACAAAGATAAATAGCTGGGACCTAATTAAACTAAAGAGCTTTTGCATGGCAAAAGGAACAGTCAGCAGAGTAAACAGGCAACCCACAGAGTGGGTGAAAATCTTCACCGTCTATACATCTGACAAAGGACTAATATCCCGGATCTACAACAAAATCAAACAAATCAGTAAGAAAATAACAAACAATCCCATCAAAAATCGGCCAAGGACATGAATAGACCGTTCTCAAAAGAATGTATACAAATGGCCAACAAACATGAAAAAATGCTCAGCATCACTAATGATCAGGGAAATGCAAATCAAAACCACAATGCTAAAATCCTTAACAAAATACTAGCTAACTGAATCCAACAATGTATCTTCTGCAAGAATGGCCATAATCGAAAAATAAAAAAAACAGTAGATGTTGCTGTGGATGCAGTGAACAGGGAACATTTCTACACTGCTGCTGGGAATGTAAACTAGTACAGCCACTATGGAAAACAGTGTGGTGATTTCTTAAAGAAAGTAGAACTACCATTTGATCCAGCAATCCCACTACTGGGTATCTACCCAGAGGAAAATAAGTCATTATTTGAAAAAGATACTTGCACACACATGTTTATAGCAGCACAATTCACAATTGCAAAATTGTGGAACCAACCCAAATACCCATCAATCAATGAATGGATAAAGAAACATATATATATATGATGGAATACTACACAGCCATAAAAAGGAATGAATTAACACCATTTTCAGTGACCTGAATGAGATTGGAGACTATTATTCTAAGTGAAGTGACTCAGGAATGGAAAACCAAACATCGTATGTTCTCACTGATATGTGGGGGCTAAGCTATGAGAATGCAAAGGCATAAGAATGATAAAATGGACTTTGGGGACTTGGGGGGAAGAGTGGGAGAGGGGCAAGAGATAAAAGACTACAAATATGGTGCAGTTTATACATAGGTGATGGGGTGCACCAAAATCTCACAGATCACCACTAAAGAATTTACTCATGTAACCAAATACCACCGGTACCCCAACAACTTATGGACAAATAAAATAAATAAATAAAAATATCTAAAAGGGCATAATTGAATTGTTTGTAACACAAAGAATAAATGCTTGAGGTGATGGATATCCCATTTACCCTGATGTGATTATTATGCATTGTGTATCTGTATCAAAATATCAAATATCTCATGTACCCCAAAATATACACCTACCATGTACAAATTTTTTCAAACTTATATTCTTCATTTTATTTATAAGAACATAAAACCATGCAGTGAGCTGAGATCGCGCCACTGCATTCCAGCCTGGGCCACAGAGCGAGACTCCATCTCAAAAAAAAAAAAAAAAGAACATAAAACCATATCTATAAAAGGATATATTAATTGTAAGTAGAATAGCCACATAAGAATACTTAGCAATCCCTAGAAACAAAGAGGCAAAAAAGAAAAAAAAATACCTAGTGAATAAGATAATATTAATGATGACTATGTTCATTAAAATGTTCTACTTTCCATAATCCATCCCTTTGAATCTATTCTTCCACCTTCCAGCCTCCCTTCCTCTATCCTACAGAGTCCAGTGCCCAATCAGGACCTGGAACAAAAACACAATAAATCTTCCTTATATGCTGAAGTATGCATGTATCATTGTATTACTGCAGGCGTGAAACACTGTGAAGATTATTTTAGAAACTGCTAATTTTTTTTTTTTTTTGAGATGGACTCTCGCACTGTGGCCCAGCTGGAGTGTAGTGGCATGATCTTGGCTCACTGCAATCTCTGCCTCCCGGTTCAAGTGATTCTCCTGCCTCAGCCTCCCGAGTAGCTGGGATTACAGGTGCGTGCCAGCAGGCCCAACTAATTTTTGTATTTTTAGTAGAGATGGGTTTTCACCATGTTGGTCAGGCTGGTCTTGAACTCCTGACCTCAAGTATTCTGCCTGACTCAGCCTCCCAAAGTGCTGGGATTATAGGCGTGAGCCACTGCACCTGGCCAGAAACTACTAATTTATAAACAGAAATGATTACCGTGAATTTTCAGTTAATAGGAAAAATAGATTCACACTTAATGTAAATATTAAAAGAAAATATTAAGAGTGAACATTAGCTACTTTAGGAAAAGCATTGTAGATCTTTCTCCAAAAAAGTTTGTAAAAATTTAAGTGAAACACAGGAAAATAAAGATTAGATTAGCATTTATAACATTAAACAAAATCAACTTTACTGTATTTAATTTTTAATTATTTAATTCCATTTAGGCTGTGAGCCATTAAAAAAAAAAGGCCTATTTGGGATTTTTTTCACCTCCCAAGCATCCTTGAACTTACCCACTTCTCATCCCCAAGTCAGCCACACCCATCTCAGCACCATCAAGGGTAACTCTAACTATGAAATCAATTTTCCAGAAGTTACCCACAAAAATTTTAAAAATAAAAGAAATAGGTAGATAGGCATCACCATTCCTAATTGGTTTTTCCTGGAGGGTCAGAGAAGCCTGGATTCAGTACAATTCCTGTCGTAAATATGTGTTTCATAATGATATGAGTACAAGTTCTCATTACAACACAGCTAACGAGGGCCAGATCGGTTGTGGTCGAGTTATTAATATATTTGCCATTTTGTGAGCTACATCTTTGTAAATAAGCCAGGTTGTGGATTTAATTGGGGTCATTTGGGGGGCTTGGCATGGTGCAACAAGGTCACTCCGTTCACTCCTGTGGTTCTTTGTTAGTCATTTTGTGTCCCAAAGTGCTGCAAGCACGAAGAGGCCAGATCACATATTAGCTTTGGGAAACCGGCAGGCTTCCAAGCCACGCAATGCTGTATATGATTCAGGGTGTTGGAGATGATTTTCCTCAAACTTGCTATAGTTCTCTTCTCCTCTTACAAGTAGAAGGTCAGGGTAGGTTAGCATGGAAGAAAAAGAACCAGCTTTGGAGTCAGGCAGTTCTCTGCTCAAAGTGCAGCTCTGCCACTTATTTGCTATAACTTGAGAAAAGCTCTTTTAACCTTTCTGAGTCTCAGGTTTCTCATCTGCACAATGGGATTAGAACTTCCCTATGGGGTTAATGCTAGCACTAGCGAGATTGCATATGCAAAGACCTAATGCTAGCACGGTGCAGCAGCTTGCACCTGTAATCCTAGCACTTTGGGAGGCCGAGGCAGGTGGTGATCCAGGTGAGGTCAGGAGTTTGAGACCAGCGGTGAAACCCCATCTATACTAAAAATACAAAAATTAGCTGGGCATGGTTGTACGCATCTGTAATTCCAGCTACTCTGGAGGCTGAGGCAGGAGAATCACTTGATCACAGGAGGCAGAGGTTGCAGTGAGCTGGTACCATGCCATTGCACTCCAGCCTGGGTGACTCCAGAGGCTGAGGCAGGAGAATCGCTTGAACTCAGGAGGCGGAGGTTGCAGTGAGCTGAGATCGCATCATTGCACTCCAGCCTGGGTGACAAGAGCGAAACTGTGGCTTAAACAAACAAACAAACAAACAAAAAACAAAAAAAACCTAATGCCTATTACACGTTTAAAAAATGGTAGCAAAATATCTACCATTATTTTGGTAGGGACAAATAATAGACAATCGACAGTGATTTGCTAAACAAAGAGGAAATGAACACTTCAGAAAAATACATAGTTTTGGAAATGTGATGTTAATCAAGTAGGGAAATCAGGAAGAGATTAGCGAAAAAAAAGAATAAACTACATCCCGCCTTGTGCTGAGTGCTGTAGACATTTACAGAGCCCAAACAGACATGGCCTGTTGGATGTAGTGTGCTTGATCCTGTTGGATATGAGTGTTAAATACATATCAACCTGAAATAGTCAGTTTACAACACAGGTTGATGAGCAACAAATCATTGCCTGCCACATAATTCATAGTCTATAAATATTTGTCAAGTGGATGAATAAAGCCTATCCTCATCAAATAATGGGTTCTGTGGATTTAAGACTTGCAGAATGAAGGTGTAAGAATCTGGATGGACCTTTTCCCCAGAAAAACCATTTAACAAGTGAAAATTACAGATGACAATCATTTAAGTCTCTGAAAATTGTCCCAAAGGCATGCAGCAAATGGAGAAAGAGTCATTCAAGAAAAACCTATTAAATTATGGTAAAGACAGTGAGAGTCTGTGGCATTTGAGCCAGAATGCATCCCTTTACCCCTACCCAGAGCTTCATGCTAGAGTAGCTCTACTCCAGGCAGGTGAAGCCAAGAAGGCTGTGGCTGCCTCTCCACCCAGTCCTTAGCCTGGAGCTGCAGTTTCACCCAGAGAGGGTCAGGCTGCCATTTCTTATCTTCCCCAGTTCCATGCTGCAGAAGCTCTATTTTAAGCAGGCATGGCCAGAAGGATTGAGTTTCCAACCCCGACCCAGCCCTGACTCACAGGATGGAAGCTTTATTCCAGGTGCAAAGGCTGAGAACACTGGAGCCCTTTTGCTCCCACCTCAACTTGCCAGTAGGGTGGAGGTTCCATGCTAGCAGTGGCGAGAAACGATCAGGAGCTGCCACCTTGACCACTCTTAGAGTGGGATGCCATTTTGGTTAACACAGGTCCCTGTGCTCAGCTATGGTTCAGTGGTACAGGGGTTCTGCCCAGGGCAAAGACAGATCCTAAGTACCAAAGAGCCCTGCAGCTCTGCCTAAGAGAACTGACTTCATTTAGAACAGTGTGGAGAACTCCATATCTAAAGCCACTGTTGAAAACAATGGAGATCTTAGTGGAGGGCCGTTTAAAGCAGGCTGGAGTGCCATCATTTGTACAAGAAAAATGGCAGTACAGAGGCTTATTGGAGAGAAGCAGAGAAAGAGAAAACCAAGAAGAGCTCTCCTGGGACCACAGTCAATTCTGGGGTCAAGAGGGATGTGCCCATGGGTCAGGCTGTGCCTAGTCAAGAGCCATCAGAGCAGGATGCAGGACTGATTTGAAAGGATCTCCTGAGCTGCACATAGAGCCATTAACACAGGGCAGACAGTTTACTAGAACAAAGGATTTAAACATCACCTTTGACGGCTGATTGACAAGAAGCTACTCTGACCAAAGGGAAACTCCTAGAAAACCAGGTTTAAAAGTAAACTCACACTCACCTCTGGCCTTGTAGAACACTATGTGATTGCCTAGGGCTGCACCCTCTCAGGAGTGATTATAGAAGGAACCTCCAAGCTACTAGTCCCTTGCTGAATGTGGGGCAAAAAAAGTAAACTCCTGGAGTTGTAATAGAAATCTCCAGGCCACACACACATTCATTGGTAAAGGGGGAAAAAATCTAACTAGTGAAAGAGGTTAAACACAACTTTTGACCAATAAATGGTTTATGCCAACCCAGGAGTGACCTTTAGGTAGTCAGACTAAAAGATGAAAACAAACAGAAAAAAATCTGGGCAGGGGCATCAGAGGCTGCACATTGCAGCAGAAACAGAATGTGGAATTATTTCAGCCAAATCACCAAACAAATAAACAAACAATTTCTGGAGGGGATTGGTATTCAGAGCTGTTATATTAGCTAAGATGGCCAGTGTTTAACAAAAAATTACAAGACATGCAAAAACCAAGGGAAAAAAACAGGCCACAGAAATAGCCATTGAAGGGGTCTGTATAGTGGACTTAGCAGACAAAGACTTCAAAATAGCTATTAGAAAAACTCCTAGAATAAAACATAGAAGTAAATCTTTACAATTTTGGGTCAGAAAATAGTTTCTTAAATAAATCACCAAAAGCACAAACAGCAAAAGAATAGATAAGTTGAACTCCATTAAAATAAAAACTTTTGTGCTGTGAACAACATCATCGTAAAGGTGAAAAGACAACACAGAATGAGATCCAGTATTTGCAAATCATATATTTGGTAAAGGACCTATATCCAGAATGTAAAAGAACTCTTTAACTCAATAATAAAAAGACAAATGACCCAGTTTTTCAAATGGGCAAAGGATTTGAGTAGACATTTCTCCAAAGAAGAGATACAAATGGCTAATAAGAACATGAAAAGATCCTCAACATCCTTAGTCATTACAGAAATGCAAATCAAAACCACTATGAGATACCACATCACACCCCCTAAGATGGCTATGATGAAAACATTAAACAACAAGGATTGGAGAGGATATGGAGAAAATGGAAGCATTGTGCTTTGCTGGTGGGAATGTCAAATGGTGTGGCTGCTTTGGAAAACATTTTAGCAGTTCTTTAAAATGTTAAATATAGAATTACCATATGACCCAGCAATTTCATTCCAAGGTATGTACCCAAGAGAAATAAAAACATATGTCCACACAAAAACTTGTTCATGAATGTTCAAGGCAACATTATTCAGAATAACCAAACAGTGGGGAACATCTAAATACTCGCCAACTGATGAATGGATGAATAAAACATGGCATATCCCTACAATGGAATATTACTTAGTTATAACAACAAATAAAACACTGATACACATTACAACATGGATAAACCTTGAAAGCCCTATGCTAAATGAAAGAATCCAGTCACAAAAGACTGCATAATTTATGATTCCATTTATATGAAATGTTTAGAATAGGCAAATCTGTAGAGACAGAAAGTAGATTGGTGGTTGCCTAAAGCTGGAACGTTGAGGGGAAATGGGTATGTGGTTTCTTTTTAGGGTGATGAAAATGTTCTAAAATTGATTGTGGTGATGGTTAAACAGCCCTGTGAGCATGCTACAAAACTTTGAATTGTACATTTTAAACGGGTAAATCATAAGATGTGTTAATTATATCTCAATAAAACTGTTAAAAAATAATACATTGTATATTGCTGATATAAATTCCTTCAGTGCTTAGGGGAAAAAAGAATAGAGGCCAAGAGTTGTAGACAATGTTTCAGAGAAAAAATTAGGGTTGAATTAGGACATAGAGATGCATATGTTTGCCTGTGTTGAGGATTCAGTCTAGATAAAGATGAATTTTTATGTAGGGCAGTTTTCCATTCTATAATTAAGAGTGATTTTTGTCTAATAAGTAATGGGCAGTTATAGAATATTTGTAAACGATGGAGTGAGTTGGTTGAAATTGTTTTTAGGAATATTATTCCAGCAGAAAGAATTGGAGAGAGAGAAGATGGAAGTCAGACATCAGGTGGGAGGCAACTAAAGATAATGAAGGCCTGACTTAGGCTGGTTGATGGGGGAATGGAGAGAAAAGGATAGATATGAGACAAGGTGCTGGTACTTCGTGAACTATAGAGCAGGCTACACAAAAACACAGGATTATTTATTATCTTGATTTTCCTCTTGAACATAAGACTATCATGGCCTTTGCTATGTCTTCGGTTTCCTGACCTCAAAAAAAAAAAAAAAGAGATTTCTATTTTCAGTTACAAGGCAGGCAAGGTATCTGGCCCTGTCTTCTTGATGAAAACAACTAAAAATGCAAGCTAAAAGTTTTTTTTTTAATCTTCTGGAAAGCATCTAAGAGCTGGTAGAGTAAGGAAGAATTATCTAGTCACATTCTGAGAGGAACTCAGAAAAGAAAAGAAAGCTCAGAAAAAGCCTTTATTCTGAGAACACTTACTGAATTTTGTGCTCTTAAATTTGACTTTTCACTGCCTGTGGATTACAGAGACTAAAGCCCAGTGTCTCCCTAGGTGGAGATTCTAATGTGAGACCCTTCCTCATAAAACTGCCCCTACCCAGAGTGTCACCCTCAGTATAAGGGTGACCTAGAACTAAACTTTCCTATTCCCTTACTCCTGGTGACTACATGGAGTGTGGCCTGGGCGGTAGCAGAATAGTTAGGTATTGTGGCCACAGCCAGCTCATGCTTGGATTTACATTTATATTTACATTGCATGAGAGTTCCAAAAACTTCAGGCTTTAAAGTTATTAATTTTAAAGTTGTTCCAGGCTGGTAGTACTGCCAGGTCCCTGGCAGAAGTGAATACAAATTCTCTCTGAGGAATGGACCTTTGTCCTAGGTTTCAAAGAATCCCAAAACAACTTTCAAAGGGAAATTAGTAGTTCAAAGTGAAAAAATCAGTAAGTACTCAGTGAAGGCACCAAGAGCAAGAACTAGCAGAAACAACTGACAGCAGAGACAGACCCTCAAAGATCTCAGGTATTATCCTATCAAACACAGAACTATGCTTTTTATGCTTAAAGAAATAAAAAAAAAAGCTTACCTTACACATGTCAGTAAAAAAGAGGCAACTGTAAAAGTAACCTATTAGATTTGGAAAATAATCAAATAGAACTCCTAGAAATGAAAATTGTAAAAATTACAATAAAAAACTCATGGATTTTTGACAACAGATTAGGCATAGTTGAAGAGAAAATTAGTAATTCAGAAAATATAATTCACAGAGTGAAACACAGAGTCACAGAGAAGGAATGTCAGACTGGATTTACTATGTAAGAACTGAGAATATCCTGCCTGTCTTTGTTCCTCAAGAGGCCTTGAAGGCCACTCCCTTCCCTAGGGTTAGAAGACACACACTGGTGAAGAGGGCTCTGTATCTTTGAGAAATTCTGTACCCCAGGGTTGATGCAAGTGGATAGGTGGGAATCTACCATGGAAGTGGGGTCTCAAGTCTCAATGGAGATGATGGAATTTAGGAATGGACAAGGCCAATTGGTGGCACTTAATAATCAGAGGCAAGGTGTAGTTGATTACTGTACCAGGCAGCAAGGCGAAAGTAGCAATTAGGGTTCCTAAACCCACAAAGATCTATGGTGATGGTGGATAGATCATGCTGTTCTTAGAAGAAAGACAAACGGACACATGATATGTCCATCAATAAATAAATGATACTTATTGTTTTATAAAATTAATGTTAATTTTTAATTTTTATTTTTTAAAGTAGAGATGAGGTCTCACTGTGTTGACCAGGCTGGACTTGAACTCCTGGCCTTAAGCCATCCCCCCACCTCAGCCTCCCAAAGTGTCAGGATTACAGGTGTGAGCCACCACACCTGGTCATGTTTTGCAAAATTTAAACTAGCTAAGTAACTAAATGAGTAAATACAGTCATGCACTCCATAATGATGTTTCAGTCAATGACAGACTGCATATACAACGGTGGTCCCATAAGATTATAATACTATATTTTTACTGTATCTTGCCTATGTTGAGATATGCTTAGATACACAAATACTTACCATTGTGGTACAATTGCCTACAGTATTCAGTACAGTAACATGCTGTACAGGTTTGTAGCCTAGGAGCAATAGACCATACCAGGTGTGCAGTAGGCTATTTTATCTAGGTTTGTGTAAGTATACTCTATGATGTTTACACAACAATAAATTGCCTAACAATGCATTTCTCAGAACATACCCCCATTGTTAAGGAACGTATGAGTGTAAATAACTTGAGAGCTGATAAGCACAATATGGATGTTAGTTTTCATGACAGAAAATTAGGTTTCTTCATCCAGTTTTCAATCTCAATTTGTAGGTCCAGAGCCCTTTGTTTAGAGGTGAGGTTGGGTGCCCTTGAGAAGGAACTGCAATGCCCTTGTCAGAATAAATATTCCCCAATCCTTTCACAAAATTACTTGTGTCATTTGACAGGAACTGTGCACTGATTAGTGGTTAGGGCTAAGGGTGGCAGAACAGACAGACTTTTTTGAGGAGTATAAGATATGAGACTCAGCTAACATTGACACCAAATGTCTTGGTCTGTTTTGTGCTGCTGCAACAGAATACCACAGATTGGTTAACTTATAATAAACAGAAATTTATTGGTTCATGGTTCTGGAGGCTGAGAAGTCCAAGATTGAGGAGGTGGTATCTTGCTAGGGAATTCTTCCTGCATCATCCCATGACAGAAGAGCAAAAGGTAGGTGACAGAGAGAGGCAGAAGGAGGCCTAACTCATCCTTTTATAAGAAACCTGCTCCCTTGATAATGAACCTACTCCCCAAATAATAGCATTAACCTATGAGTGAGTGCACAGCCCTCATAGCCTAATCACCTCTTAATACTGTTACAATGGCAATTAAATTTAAATTTGAGTTTGGGAGGAGACAAACATTTAATCCATAGGACCGTGATACCCCAAATACCATCATGGTTATCTGTTTAGGGTGGGACTTACGGAAGCTAGGAGATAAATGGGGTACTGCCCAAAACTGTCTCATTTTGGGTCCAATGTACTTGCAGACTCACCGTATGGTTGTATATCTAGTTCCTGCATGTATAATTGGGATAGGTGTACTTAGCAGCTGCTGGAACTCTTGCATTGGGTCCCTGATGTATGGAGTAAGGTCACTGTGGCAGGAAGGACAAAGTAGGATCCTTTATAACTTGTCTCTTTGTCTTCTGGTATTGTGGAAATTAGTTCTATCTTCAAAAGACTTAAAGGTTGCAAGGTGGTAGTCTCTATCACATACCTATTTAAGTTACCTATCTGGTCTCTGAAAAAAGAAAGAGCATGGCAAATGATAATGAATTACTGTAAGTTGAACCAGTTGTTAGCCCCAGTTGCAGCTTCTCTGATTAATTTATATCTTCACTGGAGTAGATCATCACTATTTCTGGCCCTTGGTGTGTGATTATTGACCTGGCAAATGTGTTCTTCTCTATCCCCATTGGTAGAAAGATCTAAAACCAATTGACCTCAGCATGGCAGCACACTGGCACACAACCAGATTGCCCCAGGGCTATGTTAATACTCTTGTAATATTTTCTGCAGGGACTTTGTTCTAAGTGGACCTGGTGAGTGGGTGTCCTAGGTGCCCTAGTGAGGCAAAAACAGCCAGAGCACAGGCATGTGCTGTGTGCATCATTCTCCTCCATCTCTGCAGGTTGGCATCCTCTTCATCTATATGCACACACAGCCAGCTATGGCTGCTGCACAGCATTCAGGTTACATGTCTTCAGTTCAAGTTACCAGCATAGACTAATTAGAATCTCTAAGACACAATTGTATATTGTTGGGAGAGAAAATCTGATTGGATATGCTGTTTGACCGCATGCTACTGGCATAGCTGATTGGGCCAAGAATTAGCAGAGTTTCTTTTCTAGAAATCTGGAACTCAGACTTGATCTCTGCTGACCTTTTAGAACAAGGATGTGTAACTCATGACTGTGGGAGGGTAAGGCCATTCGGTAGAGGCCAGTCTTTCAGCACCCATTTAGAGAACAGAGAATAAATTAATGTCACAACCAGAGCAGGGGCCTTAGGCAGTGTCCATCTACTTAAAAATATATTATGTTGACTGTGAGGATTCAGTGAATTCACATGTATAATGTAAATGCAAGAACACTCTAACACTTAATTCCTTTAATTCTCCTTATTTTAGAGATACTCACAGACTTTGGAGTCAGGTAAAATCTGGTTCAAATCCATAGGAGTGTTGTTTTGAAGTTTACATGATAAAACATGTTTGAAAACCCTACTGCATTGCCTAACACGTAGTAGGCAGTCAAATGAGTAGCAGATATGAATCTTAATCCACAGACTAAGGAAGTGAGGAATATGACATCTTGTTATTTTTGTGAATCAACTTAAATCAAATTGTGAGTTCCCATCCCTTTCATGTCAGGAGGAATTGTCTCAGTCTTGGACAATTTGTGGACAAGTTCCAGTTTGTGGACAAGTTCCTAAATGCTTTTGCAGGGCCAGAGACCTTCTGGTCACTACTGAGATGTCCACTGTCCCAGAGGTCTCACTGGGTCCAGGTGCTCTGGCTGGCATCCTGGGGGAATGGGAATCCCCACTCCTTGTATCTTGTATCTCCAGGAGCTCCCACACAGCGGCTCACCTCTGAGCTCTCACTCTCTTTCTGGATCACTGTCCAACAGCCTGGGACTTGTTGACCTGCAACGCCTTTTCCCATCTCTGTTCACCTCCTTCCCTTTGACCTCAAAGTCTCTTCCTTTTTCCTGCTAAAAAGAACAAACGTAACTTTTTCTTTTTGCCCTGCAAAACTTCATATATCCACAGCAACACAAAAACTAACATATCAAGGAAGTATCGTATCAGGAATGTTACTTGTGTCCTGCTTCTTAAATCTAGGAAGCAGAGATTTTAGAACTCCTAGTTCACTAAAATTTTTGACTAGTTAGTGCCCCATGATGCTGTGATGTATCAGGTAGCACAGCTTTTACCATGTAATCATATAATGGAATTTGCTATACACAGCATAATAGGACCTTAGCAGCACAAAAACAGTGGCACTCAGGAGAGCAACAAGAGTTCCAGGGTCTGCCTGTAGGAACATCCCACAGAGGCATAGGATGCTGGACCTGGAGGGTTGTCACCTAGTGTGTCTGAAGAAGGGGCTGTCAAGGGCCCAAGGTCATATGTGCATGAGCTAAATGTCAGGTCTGAGAGATGAAGCAGGTGAGGCTGCTAATAATTAGGGCAGATGCTAAGAGGACAATGTGATTTATTATTTGTGCGGAAGGTTGCATGAAGTGAGCACGTGGCTGAAGCCTGGCTTTATGCTGGGAAGAGTTAAGTGTAGTGGTTCTCAGTACGCAGCCTGGAGCCTGTTGGCTTGAACTCAACCCCCATCTCCACCATTTCCTGGCTGTGTAACCTTGGGTAAATTATTACACTTCTCCGTTCTTTTGCTCATTTATAAAAATGGGGGCAAATGATAGTGCTTATTTCATAGAGTTGAGATGCTTAAATGAGAAAATTCATGCAAAGTGTTTGGCGCTGTTCCTGGTTCATATGCTCAGTACAGGTTGAGCATCTCTAATCTGAACATCTGAAATTCAACATGCTCCAAACTCTGAAATTTTTGAGCACCGAAATGAAGCCACAGGTGGAAAATTCCACACCTGACCTCGTGTGATGGGTCACAGTCAAAATGCAGTCAAAACTGTTTCATGCACAAAATTATTTAAAATATTATATGAAATTGCCATCACGTTATGTGTATATGGTGTGTATGAAACATCAATGAATTTTGTGTTTAGACTTGGGTCCTATCCCCAAGACATCTCATTACAGATATGCAAATATTCCAAAATGTGAAAAAATCCAAAATTCAAAACACTTCTGGTCCCAAGCATTTCAGATAAGGGATATTCAACTTGTGTAATAACAGTAGCTAACGTGTATGGGCATCTACGATATTCCACGAGCTACTCTAATTGCATTCTACACAACAAACTCATGAAGTAGATACTATTATTAATTCCTCCATTTTTACAGGAGAGGAAAATGAGGATCAGGGAAGAGGCCAAGCCAGGAATCAAATCCAGGCTGTTTGACTGCAAGGCCAGCACTCTTGACCACTGTATTTTTGGTCATTGTTCTTGGTGTTATTTGGTACTGACCTCCTGCACAGGTAGGCCAGAAGGCTGATATGACCTGTAGAAGGCCACAAACAGTCTGGGCACAGTGGCTTATCCCTGTAATCCCAGCACTTTGGGAGGCCAAGGCAGGCAGATCATGAACTCAGGAGTTTGAGACCAGCCTGGGTGACATAGCAAAACCCCGTTTCTACAAATAAAAAAATTAGCTGGGTGTGGTGGTGTGCACCTGTAGTTCCAGCTACTCAGGAGGCGGAGGTAGAGGCTACAGTGAGTCGAGATTGTGCCACTGCACTCCAGCCTGGGCAACAGAGTGAAATCTTGTCTCAAAAAAAAAAAAAAAAGGTGGCCGCAAACAAATGGGCACCAGATTTATCCTCCATCCAAACTGTGGGTGACAGAAGACGCAGCGTGATTAAGCCCGGAACTCACGGGGAGGCACTCAGTGCTGGGCACTGGGTAGGTGCTAATTGTGAGTAATATATCTTTGGCCTGAAGACCATTCTTACTGCTGGACTTCCAGTTGCTCTTAATGCTGCAGGTAAAGCTGCAGACACCTTGCCAAGAGGCTCATGCTTTGCACTCCAGAACCTCAGAACTTGGAGGTCCAGGAGAAGAATGGTCAAGAGTACAGGCAATGGCATCAGGCAGACTTGGCTTTGAACCTGGTTCTGCCACAGTACGTTGTAAAGATTATTTGAGACAACGTAGGTAAAACCCTTAAGACATACTCAAAAATGAGGGTTGTTACTATTATGAATGATTCTAGTTTCAGTTTGTGCCCACCAATCAAACTTGGTTATTCTGGTGTCTAGGTTTTCTATTCCAGTGCTTTGTACCCTGCTGCCTGCCACTCTCTTGCCAATCCCTTTGGATGGAGGTTTTATTGGGATTTTGCCCTTGGCCTCTGTCCTGGGGTCTTCTGGGCTTCACACCCTGTAAGCAATGGGCCATTTCCATTCTCCTCATGATCTCAGGGAGTGAGGATGAGCCCCAGGTGTTACCTTTTTAGCGAGAGTGCCAGGCCTGGAATGGGCCTACATGGCTGGAAATGCCTTCTCCCCATAAGTCGTGTTTTTTTGTGATGAGGGAGAGGGAGATAATCCTGAGGTCCCTTAGGCTGAGATGGCATCAATCATCTCAGTTTGAAGCCTGCAATCACCAGGAATGGGTGATGGGAATGGAAGCAAATCAGGAGAAAGGCCAAAGAAAAATAGGACCATCCAAATGCCCAGACCTCCTTTAGAATGTCTCTGAGGGCTAATTGCTATCGATGTCAAGTCACCAGGAACAGAACATAGAGGAAAACCGATGTAGCAGGTGTCTCTGAAGTTGCAAGACTATCAATTCAAACGTGGTGATAAGCTCAGTGAGAAACACCTGGGTTCTCTATGGCATGAGGTTGTACCCAAGGAGAGGATGGACAGGGATGGGGGATGCATTACTTAGGCCGAAAGACAATTCTGATACATATGGCTATTTTTATTTTTCAGCTAGCAGCAGACTGGAAGTGAAAGAAGGAAGAAAGAGAGGGAGAGAGAAGGAGAGTTGAAGTACAGTTAGAGGAAGACGCATTGAAAGCCAGGCAAAATGACATCTTATATCTAGACAGTGAGGAAGTTAACAGAAAAACTAGGATTCATTCAGTTGACAATTTTTAAAAAATATCTACCATATACCAGCCTGTATTCTAGGTGCCTGGGATATAGTGAACAAATCAGATCTCTGCCCTCATAAAGCTCACATTCTAGCAAGTTTCTAGTTGTTACAGAAAATCCGTGGGTGCATTTTGAATATGGCATCTGGCTTACAGACTTCTGTAGTTACTTCAGGCTTCATTACAACATAGTTCATTCACCACAGTAATAATGATGATACTAGTGAATAGCTATTCTGTGCATACCATATGTTAGGTACTGTTCAATGGCTTTCTGTACATTCACTTCTTTAACCAGCACCTGAACTCTAGTGTTACTTTTTGCCTTGAACCAGTTGCTGCGGCCAAGTAGCATAGTGCGCTCTGGCTGGTCAGGCCTGCTGGCTGTGACTGCCTGCCCTTCCCTTTCCCCCTTCCTCAGTCCCCTCACTTGCTTTGGAAGGAAGCTGGTGTCAACACCCCATCAGAATCACATGAATTGAGCAAGACAACTGAAAGGGGGTGAGGGTTGGCTCTCCAAAGGGCAGACAAGCATATGTCTATCAAGATACATAATAGACCATTCTAGAAAGGCAATGGCTTCAGCATTCAACGTCCAAAATTCAGGAATGGTATGGCTGGACAAAGCAGGAATTACTACCCTCAAAGCACTGTTATTATCCTCATTTTATAAATGAGGCACAGAGAGGGTATGTAATATGCGCAGGTTCACACACCCAGTAAATGATAGAGACAGGATTTTGATCTCCAAAGCCTGTGACTTAATCACTGCACTATTCTGATAAAGTCATAAAGACAATTTTAGTTGTCATATTTCAGGGATTCTAAAAGCCTGTCTTTCCCATTTTAACATCTCTGCAATTGGGATGTGTCATATAATAGATGTGATAAGAATATGTAGTATAAGTTTAATTGGCAGCATTTCTTTTTCCTTAGTGGTATATAAAATAACAGTGCACCTCTCAAAAAAGTCATGTTAAAGTTGATGAAGTACTGCATTCTTCCCACAAATATTTCTAATGCTCCTTCTCTATGCCAGGCAGCTGTGCTAGGCTCACTGTGCAGCAGGGTAAGAGACACACACACAGATCATTAGTCATTACCCACAATGATCAATGGGAAGGGTACAGTGTAAGAGTCACGCACAGGAAGGTACAGGGAATAGAATAGAGGGGCGCTGGCCAGAGGGGGCAGGTAGGAAACCTTCCCAGAGGGGTGGAGTCCCAGAGGGTAGGGGAAGGAGAGGAGCATGTGGAGGACAAAAGTAGCTCCATATTGAAGGGGGATAAAATGTGAGTCAGGGAGTGGTTTGAGATGAGGCTGGAGATGTTCAGCGTCACTTGATGTAAGGAGGCTTGATTCATTTGGACCTTGAATTCCATGCTGTGTACACTGTACACAGTGAGGATTCACTTAAGAGGTTAAAGTGAGTGGGCCATGGCCAGATTCCACTTTGAAAAGTTCCTTCAGGGAACTGGGCACATGACGAGCTAAATTGGAGGCTGGTTCAGGGGCCATGGCAGTCAGTTTGAACTCCGTGACTCAGTATCAGGATGGAGAAGAGGTAGACTTGATGTCACTTTTAGAGATAAAATGGGAAATGCTTGGTGATGAGATTTGGAGATGGGAGAGAAAGGAATCAGGGATGATTTCCAGGTTTTGGGTTTGGACCACTGGCTAAGTGGTGATGCTACCAATAAAGGCAGAAAACAAAGGAAAAAGACAGATAAAACACTATAGCAAAGGCATACAGAACAAACCCTGAAGCCAGACTATCTAGTTTTAAATCCTAGCCCTACCACTTCCTGGATCTGGAAACTTAGGCAAGTTACTTAACTTCTCTGTGCCTCAAATTCCTAATCTTATAAAACAGGAGTCCTAATAGTGCATACCTTACTATCACTGTAGGAATTGAATGAGTTAATACTTGTAAATATCTTAGTACAGTGACTAGCATACAACAAGCACTGTAACCACACACACATACATTCATATATAGACACATGACATACATTCACATGTACATTCACACACACACGCAAGTATAATAATTATTAAATTATTATACTTGCCTGATGGCAAACGTTTATTGAGCGTTGATTATGTGCCCGTTGCCATGTTAGGCACTGAGAATAGGTGTAAACAGAAAAACAGAGTCCCTAATCTCAGGGTGCTCACAATCTCAACTGCCAATGCCACTTACTTCTAAATCTGAACACTCCACTTAGTCACAAATGCCACCTCCTTCTCTTACAGAACTCTCACACTAAGCATGTACAATATCATACACATTCTCTTTCTTTCCTCTCTCTCCTCTTTCTCTCTTACAACGGTAGTGAGGTATATACTATTATGACACACATTTTTAAGATTAGGAATTGGAAGCACAGACAAGTTAAGTAACTTGCCTACATTTCCACAGCCAGGAAGTGGTAGAGCTAGGATTTAAAGTTAGGTAGTCTGGATTCAGGATTTGTTCTCTATGTCTTTACTATAACTTTTTTTATTTTAAATAAAATTTTCCTTCCTTTAACAATTGGTAAGTAGACAAGGTTCAGCATAGAAAAGGTCAAATTCCAGTTGTTTGGAAATTTTATCTTTTTACTTGACAAATGCACATTCATATGACAAGATTCCATGTAAACAGCATCATCTTTGTGAAGCTTTCCCTGGCCCTGCCTCTTTTCATTCGACATTAAACCTTGCCTTCCTCTGGGCTCTCCTTAGTATCCTTAGGATGCTGCTATTAAAATACTACGTTGTGTTGAATATTTTGTTGTATAACTTGTGACTCCTTCTGAAGGGCGGAGACTATGTATTATGATTTTTGTATTCTCAAATAGCTAACATTATGCATAGCATATAGAAAGTATATAATGAATGCCTATTCACTGAATGAATGAATGGGAAAAGAATTGATCCTTTCTTTTACTAACATTTGACAAATAAGGAGTTACAATGGACAGCATGCTTTCTGCTCTCTCTGAGCCTCCATTCTGACTGCATAGACACTCACGGAAGGCCCATCTTCCTCTTGAGTGCAGAACCTTGTACTAAGACATGCTGACCATAGGTCACTCAGTCATAGCCCCCTCTCTGTGGCAACAGCCAAGCCTAGTGTCCCATTACTTCTGCATCACCCTAATTTTGAAGGAGAAATAGGGGAGTTCTCCCACTATACCTGTAGAGGAGTGTTCCACATGCTTACCCCAAAGCTGGAACACAACACGGAGGTCATGTCCTGGCTTCCTGAGTCCATGCCAAGAATGGAAATCCCCCGAGAATTCCTTTAATACTCACTATCTCAATTTCTCTCTCTCTCTTTTTTTTTTTTTTGATGTAATGGGATCTAGGACTGCTCAGAACATCCCCCTAAACCCCTATTTTCTAAAGACCTATTTATATTAGTCCTTGCTATGTATTTATTTAGGAATAAAGTCAACATTTTGAATCACTGCAGCATGTGGTTACTGTTTGCTGTAGGAGTGGGGTATCCATTCCTCCATCATGTGGTGAAAGTACAGCAGCTGTAATATCTCATTACAGGGATTCACTTTATTTAATAAAAAAAATAGTATTGCTCTACCTAACAAAATTATCCTCATCCCCCACTCCCCAGAAAAACCTGATCTGTGGTTTCAATGCCTCTTGCCATAATAGCTTTAGATGGTTTGCATGTGATATTAGTTAGCTCCAGAATCTGCTTTCAATTCAATTGCTTCAGATTGTATTTTCACTGTGAGCCATTAGTCACCAAATGTTGACAAGCATTTGTAAGGATGCCATCTCCCCCTTTGTTTATATGCAAGTGCAGCAACTAAAATGACTTATTTATGCTTTAATTAAAATTTGTGGATAGACCAGTGATTTTTAGCAGTGACTTTTCTAATTTGTGAGCTCCAGAAAGAAAAAAAAAATCAATAACCTGATACCATTTATGTTTTTATAGTTACCCCAGGCATTTATAATGCAGACCTGCCACTCACCTGCAGTCTCACTCTAAGGAGAGTGATCCTCGCCACATAAATCTTCCCCAGAGGCTGAGAGGGTCTATATTTCAGAGTCACTTCCCTTCTGTGTCAGCTGTAAGTGAGATGTTACATGCTTTCCATTCTCATGGTTTTCATGGCAAGGCACAAAGCTAAAATTAATATTGAAAGTAAATTGATGAACTGTAAGTTTTATAATACTTGACCCAATCTGTAACGACTGCCTAGAATTTTAATAATTTAAGCCCATTGATTTTGGTTCCTGCTTATCATTCTCCACATTGAAAATGTACCCCATAGGGTCTTCGGAAAGAACATACCCAAAATGCCAAGCTTTTATGGAAACTTAATATATTCGACATTGCAGGTGCATAAATCTCCATGAAATTGCACTGAGTTAATGCATTTACTGGTGCACACAATTCAGTAACTATTTTGTAAAAGTCCAAATAAAGATAGATAAGACAGGTAGATAAGGAGAGATAATGAGTAAATGTTCCAGTGTATATTAACAAGATGAGCTTATTGCCTTCACAAGGCTATTAGCTTAACTGGAAAAGAATTAATTAATGTTCAAGGTGTTTGAGATGGTTTTAATTGTTGTTTTTCAAAGTCTTAGGAAAATGAACTGTTTTTGCATTTTCTGCCAAATTCAAATTATCCTTTCGCAATAGTCAGGGCTAGGGGGTGGAGTGTGATGACATAGAGGGTGGGAAGAGAAATACTCAGTTTTGCTTACCATTTTGGCCCCTAAAATAAAGGCACAAGTGACATGAAGCTTGTTTTATTTCCAAAAGTCCTCTTAAGAAGCCTTCCATTTGAGCTTTTGCAGGGACCTTGTATTTTCAGAAAATGTATTTTCCAAGGTCCCTGCAAATGCTCGTGCTCACATTCGTCTTTTCCCCTTTCTCTCCTTCCTCTTACCTTCCCTTCTGTAGTTTTTGCAGTTCAGCTGTGGGAACATTCAAGCAAATTTTCATTGCAGCATGTTGAAAACATCTGGCCACATTCTACCAAGAAGACCCCCACCCTTGCTTACCTTTGGAGGACAGAGGTTGGGTGCTTACCTAGGAGCAGATTTTTGAGTTTACGGAGAGAATAGTTCATTTCTTGGGAACTATTGAACTCAAACATATATATATATATACACACACACGTATATGTATTTATATATAATATATAATCAGATAGGTAGATAGATAGCAGCAGAAACCTTTCCTCAGATGAAATCTTATACAGAAATTCATTTTCTAAATCAGATAAGTACGAAAATGTTCTGGTTGAAGTGGTGGCTGTAAAATAGATGATGAAGGAGAGGGTCTTGTTCTGCCCCCACCTTCCATCCTAACCTAGTCGCTGGACATCTCTACAGAATGCCTGGGCTATGTAGAGCAGGAGTGGAAAATTGCTATACTAATATTAATTCAGTATTGGTCACAATCTCAATATCTGTTAGTGTAAGTGAGCAAGAAATGAAAAAGCCACCCAAATAGATCTTAATGGGGCCTTCTGTCCTCCATATGCAGGCCTCTTCTTACTCTCTGGGCCACGTATTGCAGATACACTGAATGGTTTTCAATTCCTGGAATACAAATAGCTCTCTCCTACCTTTAATTTGAACAGGTTCTTCACCTTGCTTGGAATGTGCTATATCCCCTACCCATGTCATCATCAACTGGCTTGCTCTTACTAACCCTTTAACTTAGAGAGTACTCTTCTTATGTGACGCCTTCTCTCACTTTCAGACAGTAGGTTCAGTACCCCTAGCATATGTCCTCCTATAGTATCAAGTCCATTTATAGTCATCAGCCCGTAGCACTCTGGATTTAATGTCTTATTTAGTATCTCTCGCCCATGAACACAGATGCAAAATTCCCATATGAAATATTGCAAGACCAAGTTGGGTTTATTCCAGTAAAAATGTTTTTAAAATTCTATACCCATTTATGATAACAAATGAACAAAAATACTTAGCAAATTAAGAATAAGAACATCCTTAATAAGATAAAAGGCCTCTTAAAAACAAAACAAAATATCTTAAGAGAGATATCGTACTTATTGGTGAAATATTAAAAGCTTCCTCCTGAAAATGGGAATAAAATGCATGCTATCAAGAATTTTATTCAACATCATACCAGAAGTCCTAGAAACTGCAATGAAACAAGGACATACAAGGATAAAGACTGTAAAAGAAGGAAACTGTCATTCACAGGCAACCTGATTGTAAATATAGAAAGTCCAAAAGAATCTAAGATAAACATAATTAAGAAATTAATTTAGCTATTCTTTAGATACAAGGTCAATATGCAAATATCAGAAGTCTTTTTATACACCAGCAACAACAAATTGGAAAATAATATTTGTAAACATTACCATTTATAATAGCAATAAACATAAAGAAAGAAGTGCAACACCACTATACCATAAAACATTATTTAGAGGACTCAAAGAAGATCTAAATAAATTAGGGGATATATCGTGTTCCTGGGTTGAGAGGATTCTTTCAACACAGGAACATGATATAAATGTCAGTCCTCCCCAGCATAAACCAGTGATTCAGTGCAACCCCATTTAGAATCCCAGGTAGTTTTTAGGTAATTGACAAGGTGATTCTAATATTTATACAAAAATACAAATGATAAAATTAGCTTAAGAATTTTTGAAGAAGAACAAAGTTTGAGGACTTATATTACTGTATAGTAAAACTCACTGTAAAATTTCCAAGTACAATTGAAAAATACATATATTCTGTCATTGTTGATTATCATGTTCCATACGTATTTATTAGATTAGTTTTTTCAATCATATAACATATTATTTATATATTTTCTGATTTTATTTTTGGTGTGTCTATTCCATCAGGTGCTGAGAAAGTGTGTTTAAATCTCTCATTATGGAATAAACTTAACAAAAGAACTATAGGACTTGTAAACTAAAAACTAGAAAACATAATTGAAATAAACTAACAAGACCTAAATAAGTGAAAAGATATCCCATTGTCATGTATTGCAAAACTTAATATTGTTAAAATAGCAATACTTCCCAAAATAAACTACAAATTCAACATAATTCCTATGAAAATCTCAGATGGCTTTTCCCCACAGAAATTAACATGCTGACTCTAAAATTCACATGGAAAAGAAAGGACTTCAAATAGACAAAACAGTCTTGAAAAAGAAGTATGAAGTTGGAGGACTCACATTTTTCAATTTCAAAACTTACTACAAAACTATAGTAACTAAGACAGTGTGATATTGGCAAAGGGAAAGGCATATAGATCAATGGAATAGAATTAAAAGTCCAGACATAAAAATTCTTACTTTTATGGTTCATTGATTTTCAGCAAGAGAGTCAAGACAATTCACTGGGGAAAGGTAGTCTTTTCAACAAATGTTTGTACAACTGGATATCCACAGCAAAAGAATGAAGTTAAACTCTCCTACCTCACACCACATACAAAAATTAACTCAACATGCTTTATAGCCTAAATGTAGAAGCTGAAACTAAAACACTGTTAGAAGGAAAAGGAAGTAAAGTTCTATGACCTTAGATTAGGCAACAGTTTCTTAGATGTGACAATAAAAGTACAAATGATAACAGTAAAAATAGCTAAAATCAAAATTAAATAATTTTAAATAGATTAATCAAAATGAAAGACTTTTGTGCTTCAAAGGACATTATCACAAAAGTGAAATTGAAAATCATATATCAAATAAGGAACTGGTACTCAAAATGTATAAAGAACTCTTACAAGTCAATAATAGACAAATAATCCAGTTTTTAAAATGGGCAAAGTATTTGACTAGACATTTCTCCTGAGAAGATATAGAAGTGGCCAACAGCACATGAAAAGATTCTCAACCTCATTAGTCATTAGGGAAATGCAAATGAAAACTACAATGAGATATCACTTTATACCTACTAGCACGGCTAGAGTTAAAACAACAACAATAACCAAAAATACCAAGTGTTGTCAAGCATGTGGGGAAATTGGAGACCTTGTACATTGATGGTAGGAGTATAAAATGGTGAAGCTGTTGTGGAAAAGTCTGGTGGTTCTTCAAAAAGCTAAACATAGAATTACCATATGATCCAGCACTTTCACTCCTAGGTATACAACCAAAGGAATTGAAAGTAGGAACTGTAACAGATACTTGTATGCCAATCTTCATTGCAGCATTATTCAATATAGCCAAGAGGTGGAAACAATCCAAGTGTCCATTAACAGATAAATGAGTAAACAAAATGTGGTATACAAATGAAATATTCAGTTTCAAAAGGAAATGAAGTTCGGATGCATGCTAAAACATGAATGAACCTTAAAAACTTTATGCCAAGTGAAGTAAGCCAGACACAGAAGAACAAATATTGTGTAATTCACATACATAAAATATCTAGAATAGGCAAATTCATAGACACAGAAAGAAGATTAGAGGTTACCAGGGGCTGGAGAGGCGGGGAAGGGGGATTTAAAGTTACTGTTTAGTGGTTACAGAGTTTTTGTATGGAGTGATAAAAGTTTTGGAAATAGTGGTGATGGTTGCACAAGTGTGTAAATGTAATTAATACTACTGAATTGTACCCTTAAAAATTGGTTAAAATGGCAGATCTTATGATTTTACCACAATTTGAAAAACTAATATTCAAATACAGCAAAGACCATTGAATTTTACACTGTAAATGGGTAAATTATATGTTATGCAAATCATATCTCAATAAAGCTATTAAAAATGGGCAAAAGATTTGAATAGAAATTTTTCTAAAGAAGATATACAAATGGCCAAGAAGCACATGAAAAGATGCTCAACATTATTAGTCATTAGGGAAATGAAAACAAAACCGCAATGAGACACCACTTCACACTGACTAGGATGACTATAATTGCAAAAATAAAAACAAAAAAACTAGACAATAGCATGTTCAGGCAAGAGTGCAGAGAAACTGGTAGCCTTATGCCTTGCTGGTAGGAATGCAAAATAACATGCAACCAATTTACAAAACAATTTAGCAATTCCTCAAAAGTTAAACAGAGTTACCATGTGACCCAGCAATTTCACTCCTAGCAATATACCCAAGATAACTGAAAACATTTATCTACACAAAAACCTGTAAACAAATACTCAAAGCAGCATTATTCATAAAGCCCCAAATAGAAATTAACCCAAATGTTTATCAACTGATGAATGAATATATTAAATGTGGTATATCCTTACAATGGAATATGACTTACTCATATAAAGGAATGAAGTACTGATACATGCTTCCATGCTACACCATGGATGAACATTGAAAACATTAAGTGAAAGAAAGTCAGACACAAAAGGCCACATATTGTATTTATATGAAATGCCCAGAACTGGTAAATCAGTAGAGCAGAAGGTAGATGACTGTATACTGAAAGCATTTTATTAGAAAAAAAAAACTTGAATTGTTATATATTCCTGGCAGAATGACCTTTTTATCATTGTGAAATATCACTCTTCATCCCCAACAATGCTTCTTGCCTTGAAATATATTTTGTCTGATAACAATATAGCTACCCTGTTTGTTTTGGTTAGGTTTGTATCGTATTTCTTTTTATATACTTTTATTTTCAACCCTTTTCAACCCTTCTATATTCTTACATTTACATTGTATTGCTTGTAAACACCATGCAGTATTTTGTTTGTTTTACTTATTCCTTGTCTTTTAATTGGAATTTGGTTTGATTTATTTAGTCTTTGTATTTTAATTGGAAACTTTATTTTATTGAAATATAATGTAATTATTGATTTATGTGGGTTGAAACCTACTATTATGCTATTTCAAAAATGTGTTCTGCCTTTACTTTTTCTTTCTTTATTTTTTATTTTTATTTTAGAGATGAGGTCTCACAGTGGCTATTCATAGGTGCCGATCAGAGCAGTGACAGCCCCAAACTCCTGGGCTCAAGAGATCCTCCAGCCTCAGCCTCCCCAGTAGCTGGGACTACAGGCAGGTGCCACCATGCCCAGCTCTGTTTCACCTTTTTTATGTTGCTTTTCTTCTATCCTTCTTTTCTTCTTTGGGTTAATTTTTTAATTACTTTATTCTTTTCCTATTCTTTTAGTGTTTATCCTGGAGATTACATTATGCATACTTGACTTTAAAATCTAATATGACCACTGTAATAATGTAATATAATGGTACGTGTCATATGTTATATGTCATTATGTATATACTCAATCCAAGAAATATAAGAACCTTAGAACATCTTGACTCCATTTATTACCCTCCCAACTTTTGTGCTTTGTTGTCATGTATTTTAATTCTCGAGGTGTGTTATACAACAAAACACATTACTGTTGTGTTTTATGCAGCCAATAATAATTTAAGTTTCTCTAAGGTTTATCTTTTCTGTTGCTCTTTCCTTTCCGTATCTCCAGGCTTCTGTGTGGCATAATTTTCCTTCTGCCTGAATATCTTTAGTATTTTCTTCAGTGTGCATCTGCTGTCTAAAAATGTCTTGAGTTTGCCTTCATTTTTGAAATATTTGATTCTAGGCTGCCAGCGATGGGGTTTAGGACACACTACCCCAAAATATGCCACCTCAGCATGTTAAGAAACAGCAGAAGCAGAGAGATCCTTCTGACCTTCCACCCTTCTCGCCCTTCTTCCCTGAAGCCAGAAAGGATTTTCTGACCTTCCCCCAACACAGGTCATAACACCCTCTTGTGACAAGTGCCCTCCCTATACCACTGGAGGAAAGAGATCCTGATATCTGAATACGAAGGGTCACAGAGAAGAATCTGAACAATCGGGCCTTGCTAAGTTTCCCTCACTTTATTACCATTAGGTCATACCCTCTTTGTCCTATATGTTTCTCCACAACTGTCCATTCCTCATCAAATCTGGCGTAAAAATACTCAGGTTTAAACTGCTTCTTCGGGTCTTCGTATTCTTAGGAAGTCTCTCGTGTCTTGTAAAACTTAAATAATTTGTATGCTCTTCTTTTGTTAATCTGTCTTTTGTTGTAGGTGCTTCAGTCCTGAACCTAAGATGAGTGAGGAAATGATGTTTTTCTCCTCTAAACCAGTTAGAGTTTGTCTACTCTATTTTATTTTAAAAAGCTGGATGTGACTCATCATGTTTATTTCATAAACCACCGAGGGTTGCAACTGGTAGGTTGAAAAACACTGCTGTAGACTGAGCTTCTGGTCATCCAGCTATTTCAAGCCGTCCTGAGAAATCAGGTGGTTCCCATAGTGAAGAATCTCCATCAAGCTTGCCAAACACTAACCACTCCGACAGAGAAGGCCTTTGGAATCCACACTTAGTCCTCAGTTTCCCAGTCTCCACAGGCTGAGTCTGAGCCAAACTTCAGAATTACAGGAAAGTTTCTGCCTAATAAAGGAACCAGAAATCAGACTATTCCTGTTGCCACTCTAATCACAGGATTGAAAAAATGTACAGAGGGCCCTTCTTATCACAGATTCCGCATTGTGGATCAAAAATATTCAGAAAAAAATAACAATATAATGATAAAAATAATATAACTAAAAAACCAATGCAGTATAACAACTATTTACATACTCCAGATCAGCAGTCTCCAACTTTTTTGGCACCAGGGACCAGTTTCATGGAAGACCTCAGTCAGATCACCAGGCATTAGTTAGATTCTCATAAGGAGCAGGCAACCTAGATCCCACACGCACTGTTCACAATAGTGTTCACACTCCTGTGAGAATCTAATGCCCATGCTGATCTGATAGGAGGTGGAGCTCAGGTGGTAACGCTTGCTCACCCGCCACTCATGTCCTGCTGTGTGGCCCAGTTCCTAACAGGCCACAGACTGGTACTGGTCTGCGGCCTAGGGGTTGGGTTCCCTGCTCTTTATTACTTATAAGTCATCTAGAGATGACTTAAAGTACACAGGAGGTTGTGTGTAGGTTAGATGCAAATACGACACCATTTTATGCCAGAGACTTGAATATCTGCAGATTTTGATAATTGCGGGGGTCCTGGAACCAATCCCTCATGGACACCGAGGGATAACTGTATATTAAATCCCTTCCAACTTACAAAGTCACTGACCCACCTTAGCTCTCAGAACCTGAGTAGAACCAGGTGGAGGTAGGCTGAGGTAACCATAAAATTCCGAGATTCACTCATAATTTTAAGCATTTACTGAGTGTCTACTTCATGCAACTCATCTCCATAATGTATGGCACTCCCCTCAAAGGACGTGGACTTGTGTGACCCTAACAGGCCTTTCTCTTTACTGTGCATTGTTGAATGAATGCCACCAACACATGTTTACTGTTTTTTCTCCACATGTCTACTGTTCTCCCCTTCTTCACTAATTACCCAAGCCACTTCTGTGTGACCCCATGCATTCTAGCTACTCTAATACTCTCAGTCAGGTCATCGTCAAAGATGTTCGGGAGTTTGGGAGCCATTTTTCTCTTCCATGAATATTAATTGTGTGTTTATTACATGTTAGATACTGTTCTAGGTTCTAGAAATACAGACCCTACCATTGTGGAACCCTGTGAAGTAAGGAAGACAGATAACAAATAAATAACTAATCTTGTAAGGTCATGGTAAGGGTATGAATAAGGATAACAGGAAAGAGAAAAACAGAACATGATGGTGGTGTCTTAGGAAATGTGGTCAGCAAAGTTATCTCTGAGGAGGTAAAATTTATGCAAAGATCTCAGTGATGTGAGAAAATGAACCATGAAAAAGCTTGTTGCACATGCACTTTCAGATAGAGAATAGCTAACACAAAGATCCTGCAACTGAAGCAGACTTGGACCATTCCGAGAAGAGCCGAGGCCTGTGTGGCTGAATCACAGTGAGCAGGAGAGGGGCTGTTAGGAAATTAGGTCAGACAGGTGGTTATGAGCTAGAGTATGGGGTTGGGTGTCATTTCTATGTCTTTAATGTGACTTCAGTAAGTGAATTATTATTTTAATGTGTATCTTTCTTGTATGTAACTAACATGTAGCTTTATTTCTCCAGGGTTTCTTAATCATTAGTTTAAATATCTGGACATAAACAAATTTAATCCAAACTACAGCCCTAGAAATAACATGGGTCTTAGGATCACGTTGGCTTAACTTTTGGACCCATCTGTAAAATGAGGATAAGTTGCTCTGTCCCATCTGGTTGCTATGAGGATTAAATGACATAATATATAAAGTGAAAGCATTCAGCACTGTGCCTAATACTCAGATGACACTCAGATTTTAGTTTTGTGTTACCAGAGCACAAGATAGTGGAGGTTGGGGATGAGGGTCCCTGGGGGATACCAGGATTAGCTCACATCAGGCACTGTCTCACATGCTAAATCGATGATGAGATTTTATCCTGATGGTGAGGCACCTTGGAAGAGTTTTGAGAAGGAGAGTGAGAATGAGATTATTCAGTGAAAGACGTATTTGTGAAGATGGTGGCCGTGGTGGGAAAGGTTAGGGAAGGTCAGGAGACAGCAGTACCAACAAGAAGGCCACTGCAGTATTCTTGGTGAGAAATGAGGAGAGCCTGTATGGTGTGCATATATTTTCTCCCATTCTGTAGTTTGTCTCTTTACCCTATTGATTGTTCCTTGTCTGTGCAGAAGCTTTTTAGTTTGCTGTAATACCGTTTGTCTATTTTTGCATTTGTTGTCTGTGATTTTTGGCTTATACCCAAAAATCATTGTTCAGACTAAGGTCATGCATGAAGCTTTTCTCTTATGTTTTCTTCTAGTAGTTTTATAGTTTTGGGTCTTACATTTAAATCTTTAATCCATGTAGAGTCGATGTTTGTATAAGATGTGAGATAAAGGTCTAATTTCATTTTTCTGCATGTGGATATTCAGTCGTCTCACACTATTTATTGAAGAGAGCTCTTTCTCTATTGTGTGTTTTTGGCACCTTTGTCAAAAATCAAGTAATCGTAAATGTGCAGATTTATTTCTTGGCTTTCTATTCTGTTGCATTGGCCTATGTGTCTATTTTTATGCCAGTACCATGCTAATAGGGAGCTAATATTCAAAATATATAAGGAACTCAACTCAATAGTAAGAAAACAAATAATCTGATTTAAATATGGCCAAAGGATCTGAATAGACATTTCTCAAAAGAAGACATACAAATGGCCAACAGGTATAAGAAAAAATGCTCAAGATTTCTAATCATTAGAGAACTACAAATTAAAACCACAATAAGACATTAACTTACACCTGTTAGTGTGGCTACTATCAAAAGGGCAAAAGATAAAAAGTGTTGGCGAGGACATAGAGAAAAGGGAACTCCTGTACAGTGCTGGTGGAAATGTAAATCAGTACAGCCATTATAGAAAACAGCACGGAGGTTTCTCAAAAAATTAAAATTAGAACTGTCACAGATCCAGCTATCCCACTACTGCATACATATCCAAAGGATATGAACTCAGTATGTTGAAGAGGTATCTGCACTTCTGTGTTTATGCAGCAGTATTCACAATAGCCAAGATATGGAATCAAACTAAGTGTCCATCATCAGATAAATGAATAAAGAAATTGTGGTCTATGTATACAGTGGAATACTCTCCAGCTTCAAAAAAGAAGGAAATTCTGTCATTTGCAACAACATAGATGAACATCAAGGATATTACGCTAAGTGAAATAAGTCAGGCCGAGAGACAAACACTCCATGATCTCACTCATATGAGGAATCTAAAAAAGTGCAATTCATTAAAGTAGAGAGTAGAATGGTGGCTACAGGGGCTGGGGGTGGGGAATTGAGGAGATGCAAAAACAACAACAACAATGATGAGAGCCTTTGCTCCTGGGGAGTGAGGGATGGGAAATGGATTTAAGAGATGCTTGTAGTTCCCAAAGCCGTTCATGTGTTGGTGCCATCAAGAGAGCTTTGGCCTCTGCCTGCACGGCCTCTCTCCTTCTGCACCTGCCTGTCTTCTCCTCACCCTCATCTTGAGCATTTTCAGCTCAGGGAAGCCCTGACTTGCCCTCAAGCTGGCTTCAGATGCCTTTCCTGTTGTTCCTTCCTTTGCTCCTTGGCTCTCCTGGAAAGATGCTTTCCTGTGTGTCCCCCTCACTTCCCTTCTTGGCAGGACAGCAAGGACTGCATTCTCTTCCCTTTTTTGAGGAGTGCTCAGTCAATGTTAGTTGCTCACATTCACCCTGGCATCGTGATTTCCAAACAGAAGTCGGTTAAGCCCTGGGAATGCTTCTGTGTTCACTAAGAACCATTCATCCCTTGTAATTACAAGGTCCCAGGTTTTAAGACCAATCTGCATTCTTTTAATGTCAGAACAGCATGTGCCCCATAACAAGAATATGTCCCACTGCCCAGACTTATTGTTTTGGGATTATGGTTTCTAAGAGGAAGCTGGCTTTCATGCCCAGTAACTAGGTTGCTGTTGTTTGGCCTCCATCCTTGAAAACGTGTAATTTATTGATTTTGATATTCATGTTGTGTCCCATCACAAGATGTGCAGTTAACAGAGGCAGGCCTGAGATTAAGAATGGCCTGGGGGAATGATTCAAATAATTAAACCAGCTCCTTGGGTAGCATAGCAGGCACATTCACCCTGGGAGTCTATTGTATTTAAAATATACTTTAACAAATTACATCCCCAACAGGCTAGGATGCCCCAAACAGGAGCACCTTTCAGGTTGCTCCAAGAAGACAATTACTTACAGCAAACCAGTGAGTGGGGGGAAGACCATATTTCAAACCTGAAACAAAGAAAAATGGGAAGGCAAGCAAAGAGGGGCCTTGTCAGCAGAACTGTTCCTTTCATTAGAGATACATGGTTCTCTACTCAAGATCTGGCATTCTGGGAGCAAGATGGGCTGTGGAAATAGCAGAAAGAGGATTTACACTTGAGGAATATTGCAGACACAGCAAGCATAAGCTCTAGAATCAGAAAGCTCAATATTAATACCATTACTACTAATACTTACATCAGCAACAATAATCATAGCAAACACTGATGTAGAACTTATGTTTGGCAGACACTGTTCTAAACACCTTATGTGTATTAATTCATTTCATCCTCATAGCAACCCTATGAGATAGGTGCTATTATTATTATCCCCATTTTACAGAGGAGAAAACCAAGGCATATATAGGTTAAGTTGTCCAAGGTGACATAAGTAGGGAGTGGTGGTGGTAGTCTCCAAAGTTAATTTTCTTAGCTACTTTGCTTATCACCTTGGGCAATTCATTTAAGGTCCTTGATTTAAGTTATCTCACCTATCAAACGAGGCTAACAGTACCAACATGGAAGGGTTATTTTGAGTGGTCAAATAGTACATGTTAAGTAAATAGTGGGCAAGAATTAGAAAATGATATAGTGAAAAGAAGGCTGGAAGAACATAGCTTTTTAACAGTTTTTGGTTGTAAGCCACAGAAACTGACTGACTCACCCAGGTAAGAAATGAATTTATGAAAGGGATATGGGGTATCTTAAGGTGAGAACCTCAGGAAACAGTTTCTCAGATGGAGATTTTTCTGCGGGATATCTACTGGAGGCTGTTCTTGGCAACAAAACTCATGAGGGAGTGAGGGAAGCAGAACTGGGCAGAAGGAGAAGTTGAACTGTGACTCAGGTACAACAAAAGCCTCACCTGATCGGCCAGGGATGGCCCTTCAGAGTTGTCCCAAGGGAGGCCATCCCCAGGGAAAGGTAGCACTCTTGAGAGAAGGGCAATTCTTGGGGTGAGACGTGTCTGTGGCTCTCAGCAATCAACCCTTCCAGCAGCTGCAGGAATAATTGCCTCCGTCCTGAGTGGGATCTGGGTGGTGCACACAGCGTCCACTGCAGCAGGCAGTTCACAGAACTGAAGCACAGCCAAATGGTCAGACCTCACAAGGGAAGTGGCTGGGCCGCACTGAGGAGCAAAGGCAGCAGGAACAGATGGAGCATCTCGTCTGAAGTCATGCTGCCACTCTGCTGGGTCAGTGTTCAAATTCCAGGCAAAGAGCATCTGGATGGGTCTAACCTGGGTTGCATGTCCACCTGTTAATGGACATGCAACAGGATAGGTGGAGCTTTTTCATCAAAAGTTCTCCCAAAACTGGACTTAAAGTAAATTCTAAGTGTAAGTCTCCAAGGAAGAGGAGATGGATGCTAGGTGGGCAAAACAATAGATCTCCATTATACCTCAAAATCAAGAGCCTTGGGGAGAATTCCTGGATATACTTTGGGACAGAGTTTGCAAAAAAGCTTCCATTATTTCTGTCTTTGTGTGCTGCCCTTTTGCACTTGTCTTTAAAGCTCCTCTCATCATGAGATGGAGGCTATTTCCCTATCTCTTGAATCTGTGCTGGCCTTGTCACTGGCTTTGAACAGTAGAATGCCGTGGAAGCGATGTTGTGCCACTTTTGAAGCTAGGACTAAGAGGTCTTAAGAGCACCCGCCCTCTCATGGGGCATCCTGCCAAGGTGCCATGTGAATAGGCTTGGGCTAATCTGCTGGAAGATGAAAGACCTCATAAAGCAGAGGTGAGCCATCTTAACTGAGACCACCACAGGCTAGCACCTAGCTGACTCTGCAGCTGACTGCACATGCATGAGTGAGTTCAGTCAAGACCAGGTGAGCACAGCCCAAAATCCTGATCCATAGAACAATGAGCTAAGTATACATTTGTTGCTTTAAGCTGCTAAGCTTTGGGGCAGCTTGTTACTTAGCAAATCTAACTGATACATGCTACTAATATACTGTGTGACTTTAAATAAGGAGCACATCTTCTCTGGTTTTCCTACCTGAGGAATGAAGGGATTGTACAAATGAAGATCCTTCCTGATCAGTTAGTTCAAGAACCTGGAAAGGGCCAGAAGGCCAGCCAGGCTTCCATAAAGCAAAGCTTAAAGCTGTCATACACCCAGATTGTCACCTTCTTAGTGTACAGGGGTCACTAAGCTATCTCCAGCATCTCTGATAAGGTGTGAAACACCATCAGGTGAGGACAGAAAAGCAGTAATGATGTTGATGCAGCTCTTTTTGATGCTCAGTGAGCCATAGGCTAAACACCACAACTGCAGTTCACAGAAGGTGAGGAAACAAAACTCATTTCTTTCCCAGGAAAGAGGTGGTGACCTCCTCCACCTCTCCATTCTGGCAGCTCTGTGGGCAGGTTTTATGGATGCTTCCCCCACCCACAGCTTTCTTGAGGTATGGCTTGGCAAACAGAATTGTATAAATTTAACGTGTGCACTGTGATTATTTGATATATATATATATATATATATATATATATATATATATATATATATATACAGTGAAATGATTACCACAATCAAGTTAGTTAACACACCCATCACCTCATATAGTTACCTTTTGTGTATGTGTGTGTAATGAGAACATTTAATATTTACTCTTTTAGCAAATTTCAAGTATACAATACAGTGTAAATTACAGTCACCAGGCTATACAGGAGATCCCCAGAACTCATCCATTTTATAACTGAAAGTTTGTACCTTTGATCATCTCTTCACTTTCCCCAGCTCCTACGGGAGAAACCACCATTCTATTCTCCCCAACCACCATTCTACTCTCTGTTTCAATGAGTTCAACTTTTTTTTTTTTTTTAATTTTAAGTTCCAAGGTATATGTGCAGGATGCACAGATTTGTTACATAGATAAACGTGTGCCATGGTGGTTTACTGCACAGATCAAACCATCCATCACTTTGGTATTAAGCCCAGCATCCATTAGCTAGCTATTCTTCCTGATGCTCTCCCTCCCCCTGCACTGACAGGCCCCAGTGTGTGTTGTTCCCCTTCATGTGTCCACATGTTCTCATCATTCAGCTCCTAGTTATAAGTGAGAACATGTGGTGTTTGGTTTTCTGTTCCTGTGTTAGTTTGCTGAGGATAAACGGCTTCCAGTTTCATCCATGTCCCTGGAAAGGACATGTTCTCATTCCTTTTTATGGCTGCATAGTATTCCATGGTGTATATGTACCACATTTTCTTTATCCAGTCTATCATTGATGGGCATGTGAGTTGATTCCATGTCTTCACTATTGTGAATAGTGCTGCACTGAACATACATGTGCATGTATCTTTCCAGTAGAATGATTTATATTCCTTTGGATATACACTCAGTAATGGGATTGCTGAGTCAAATGGTATTTCTGTCTTTAGATCTTTGAGGAATCGCCACACTGTCTTCTTAAGTGAGATCATACAGTGTTTGTCTTTCTCTTCTGACTTATTTCACTTAGCATAATGCCGTCAAGTTTCATTCATATTGTCCCAAATGGCAGGATTTTCTTCTTTTCTTATGGCTGGACTATATATATATATATGTGTATATATATATAATTATATATAATATGTAATAAATACTGTTATATATATTGTGTGTGTGTGTGTATGTATAGATAGATAGACAGATATCCATTCATCCATTGACAGATACTTAGATACTTAGGTGGTTTTGGCTATTATGAATAATGCTGCAATTAACATCAGAGTGCAGATATCTCTTTGAGGTACTGATTTTCTTTCCTACGGAAACAAACCCAGAAGTGGGATTGCTGAATCATATGGCTGTTCTATTTTTATGTTTCTGAGGAACCTCTCTACTGTTTTATAATGGCTCCACCAATTTACATTCCCACCAGCAGTGCACAGGGTTTATTTTTCTTCATCTCCTCATCAACCCTTATCTCTCTCTCTCTTTTTTTTTTTTTTTTTTTTTTTAAACAGAGTTTTGCTCTTGTTGCCCAGGCTGGAGTGCAGTGGTGTGATCCTCTGCCTCCCAGGTTCAAGCGATTCTCCTGCCTCAGCCTTCGGAGTAGCCGGATTACAGGTGCCCGCCACCATGCCCAGCTAATTTTTGTATTATTAGTAGAGACGGGGTTTTACCATGTTGGCCAGGCTGGTCTTGAACTCCTGACCTCAGGTGATCCACCCACCTTGGCCTCCCAAACTGCTGGGATTACAGGTGTGAACCACCGCACCTGGCCTTATCTTTTTTATAATAGCCATCCTAACATGTGGGAGGTGATATTTCACTGTGGTTTTGATTTGCATTTCCCTGATGACTAGTGATGGTGAGAGCCTTTTTGTGTACCTGATGGCCATTTGTATGTCTTTTTAAAAATAAAAATAAAAGTGTAATAATGCCCTCTGGCACATAGATTCAAGTTGCCCTTAACATACACTCCCTGTAGTCTTCATTGGAAAGATGTCTATTTAGGTGTCTTGTCATTTTAAAATTGGATTATTTGTTTGTTTATTTGTTTGCTGTTGAGTTGTATGAGTTCCTTATATATTTTAGCTATTAACTCCTTATCAGATATATGGTTTGCAAATATTTTCTCCCATTCCATAGGTTGCCTTTTCATTTTGTCGATTGTTTCCTTGGATGTACAGAAGGCTTTTAGTTTGATGTAGTCCTTCTTGTCTGTTTTTGCTTTTGTTGTTTGTGTGTTTTGGTGTCATATCCAAAAAATCATTGCCAAGACCAATGTCAAGAAGTTTTTCCCTATGTTTACTTCTAGGAGTTTTGCAGTTTCAGGTCTTACATTTAAGTCTTTAATCCATTTCAATTAATTTTTGTGAGTGGTGTATGATAGGGATCCAATTTCATTCTTTTGCCTGTGAATATCCAGTTTTCCCAACACCATTTATCGAAGAGACTATCCATTCCCCATGTGTATTCTTGGCGCCTTCGTCAAATATTAGTTGACCATATATGCATAGGTTTATTTCTGGGCTCTTGATTCTGTTCCATTGGTCTGTGTGTCTGTTTTATGTGATGTATGCATTCTTTCAGCCCAGTTTTGTCATTCAAATTGGTACCTCCTTTCCTGTCCACACATCTGCTTTTCCTTAACTGAAGCCAAAGATGCAGAATGGGGAGGCAGTTAATCTCAGATTCTTCCCCACATACAAATCCAAACCAACTGTCTACTTCTCAAATGAAGCCTGTGGCCCAGAATGAGCTGGTATGTATGTATGCATGTGGGTTTTTAGTTAGCTAATTAGTTAGTTGGCTTTTCCAGTTCTTAGTAATTATTTTTTTAGTTCTTGCAACATTTATTGAAAGCATGTTATGTACAATGCATTATATCAGCCGCTTTCATGTATATTATGACTATCATCATTTTCCAAATGAGAAAAAAGAGGTTCAGAGAAGGTATATAACCTTCCTAAGGCCACACAACTAGTAAATAGCCGAACTGAAACAAGCACCAAGGCTTTTAAAGCTTAATTTAAATATTCTTCGTCCTATTATGGGCAACCATGCAAGCCAGGAGCCTCTGCCTGAGCTGTGTGACCACTCAAAAAAACAAAAAACAAAAAACAACAAAAAATGTGGTTTTTGAGTCCATCAAGTAGAGCCACCAGATACCTAAATTAAAAGAAAGCTTGTCTTTAACAACAATTTGAGAGATACTAACACTGTTTTATATAGATAGCTTTGGGGGACATAACATGTATAAATATATATATATATGTGTGTATATATATGTGTGTGTGTGTGTGTGTGTGTGTGTGTGTGTGTGTGTGTGTGTATGGCTTTTGGGGACATAATATATATAATTAGGATGACATAGTCTATGATGGAACACTGATGTTTTAAAGCCTGCTCCTGAATTCAGGGCTAATATTTAGCTGGCATGTACCAGAATCACTATCTCAGTTGTCAAAGAATGAAATAATTCTATAGTTGGCAGACTGCTCTTACCCTGAATCCTCAGAATACTGTGACTCAGCTCTCTTGCACTCTATTCTGAGACTCCTCACTCTCCCTCCCCATGATCCAGCAACTAAGGGGTTCACAGCTGGCCCAGTAGGGCCTCCGGTACTTAGTCCTAGCACTATTGTGGGCCACTTGCTGTTACGTCTCACCCCCTACCTTAGTACATTCATGCTGTTGTAACAATATACTACAGCCTAGGTAATTTATAAATAATAGAAATTTATTTCTTAGAGTTCCAGAGGCTGAGAAGTCTAAGATCAATGTACTGGCAGGTTTGGTGCCTGGTGAGGGCCTGGACTCTGCTTTCAATATGGCACCTTGAAGGGCAAAAAAGGTTTAGGGTGCTCCCTTCCACCTCTTTTATAAGATGTTAATTCCATCCATGATGGCTCGGCCCTCATGACTTAATCACCTGCTAAAGACTCTACGTCTTAATACTATCACATTGGCAATTAAGTTTCAACATATGAATTTTGCAAGACATATTCAGACTATAGCACCCTCCAAGTAGTAATATTTCCCTACCATTACCTTTCTTCACTCAGTAAACTTGACCTTAGGAAGATCTCTGATAGGGCTAGACTCAAAGATATACTAGAAGTGGCAATGACTGGTGCAATGGGAATTCTGCATTCTGGAATTTCTCTATCCTTTATCATGACACGCAAGATCTGCCTGTCCTATGTCCTATACACTTAGGGCTCATGCTCTGCTTTCCATGGGAAAAGAACCTGTCCTCTACAGAATGCTCATCTCACAAAATGTTCTCCAAATAAGAAGGTTCTGTGGTCATCTGAATTGTTGAATGCTGCATGCTATATCCTCCTTTTTGGAGTGTCACATATTTACATCGTAAAAGCTCTGAAAAGACCTGTAATAAAGAAACCTACTTAATTTTGTTTAATCCAGCATTTCCCAATTATGGAACCCCATTTCCTTCCCCTTCCCCCACCATGCCTATTAAATTTCTACTTTCCCACATGAGAGACTAGGAATGTATAAAAGTCTTAGGAGGAAGGCTGAGGGAAAGATGGAAAAGGATGCTTACTGTATATTTGTTGACCTGTGTATCGTGACAGGAGGTGAGATGGAGAGGGTGGGAGTAGGAAAGAGAAATGCAAGGGGAGCATGTGGCTGGCTCTCTTGCCCCACAGCCACCACCCCACTCTGAGACTGGGGTAAGCATAGAGAAGAGGGCCAGTCAGCAGCTAGGGCTGTCCCCAGGAAATCTGGAAGACCTCCAGGCAGATATGAAGCCGCTGGTTGAGAACTGGGTTCATGTTCCAGTTCCGTAATTTTTCTGCTCAGTAGCTTTGAGCATGTCATTTAAATTCCCTGGGACTCCCTTTCCCCAGCTCTATAGATTAAATTAGACCATTTACGTAAGGTGATCTCAGACTTGAATGAGTCACCCAGAGGACTTGTTAAAACACAGATTGCTGGGCCACATCCCCAGGACTTGATTCATTAGGTCTGGAATGGGCTGATAATTTTGTTCTCACTAGATTCCCATCAGTGCTGCTGCTGCTAGAAGGGATCACACTTTGAGTAACATTGATATAAGTTAAGGTGCAAATTTATAATTTGTAAAATATGCAACTTGATTAATTTAAATGATTTAATCAATTCTGTATTAAAATAACAATGTGTTCATGAAATAAGTTGAATCTCTTACCACCTGCATATGTTTGAGATGAAATGGTTTTGTTTCTATGCCAGAGGACTGATTTCCATGGTGGACATTTCAGGAAAGTATCTGGGGACCAGGCAGTCACTATCACATTGCATGGGCAGGCACCAGCTCTGGCTGGGGGTGTCAGTCCCCCAGACATTCCCACATGGGGACAGAGGTCATCTGCCATCTCTAGAGAAGCAGAAAAGATTGTATCCCTTGGGTATGTTCTATTTCCTCTCTGAGTTTCACAATACCCATTGACAGACAAAGGCTCTGAGAAGTTCTGCAGACAAATGTTTATTCAATTTTCCTGTCTTGTAAGGGTTAGAGGTACAGGGTCTAGACCTGCTCTGTCCAGTACAGTTGCCACTGGCCGCATGTGGGTATTCAAAATTAAATTAATTAAATTTGTATAAAATTAAAAATTCAGTTCCTCAATCCCATTTCAGGTACTCATTGGCCACATGTGGCTAATGCCTACCATTTAGATAGCACATATAGCATATTTCCTTAATTGCAGAAAGTTTAGGGCTTCAAAACCCAATTCCACCACTTAACAGCTGTGTGAACTCAGAGAGTTTCCTTAAACTTTTGGTGCCTTAATTTTCTGAGCTATAAAATAGGGCTAATAAGTCGTACATACCTCAAAGGGTTGTTGTGAGAATTAAACAAGTTAATATATGTAATCATTAGAATTGTGTCTGGCACATAGCAAGCTGTCAATACATGGTACCTGATACACAAATACACATATATATATACATACGCATATATACACATAAGCATTAATGCATACACATATATATACACACATAAACGTTATACATACACACATACATATGTGTGTGTGTGTATATATATATATATATATATATATATATAGATGTTTTTAAATGTAGATTTTATTATTATTCAGGTGTGATGAGACCATAAAATCAGGAGGCCGGGCATGGTGGCTCACGCCTGTAATCCCAGCATTTTGGGAGGCTGAGGCGACCGGATCACTTGAGGCCAGAAGTTTGAGACCAGCCTGGCCAACATGGCGAAACTTCATTTCTACTAAAAATACAAAAATTGGCTGAGTGTGGTGGTGTGTGTCTGTAGTCCCAGCTACTCAGGAGGCTGAGGCAGGAGAATTGCTTGAACCCGGGAGGCAGAGGTTGCAGTGAGCCGAGATCGTACCACTGCACTCCAGCCTGGGCGACAGAGAGAGACTCTATCTCAAAAAAAGAAAAAAAGAGACAGCAGGAGATAATTGTCATTGAAAAGATAGTTTGGGCTGGGCATGGTGGCTCACGCCTGTAATCTCAGCACTCTGGGAGGCCGAGGAGGGTAGATCATGAGGTTAAGAGATTGAGACCATCCTGGCCAACATGTTGAAACCCCGTCTCTACTAAAAATACAAAAATTAGCTGGGCGTGGTGGTGCACACCTGTAGTCCCAGCTACTCGGGAGGCTGAGGCAGGAGAATTGCTTGAACCCGGGAGGCAGAGGTTGCAGTAAGCCGAGATCGTACCACTGCACTCCAGCCTGGGTGACAGAGTGAGACTCCGTCTCAAAAAACAAAAAAGAAGATAGTTTGTTACTCATGGTTCACAAGAGGAAAGGGTATGCCAAGCCACACAGGGCCACACCAGGAAGGGCCATACAGGGAAGCACCTGGGCTGTTTAGGAGGCAGAAGAAGTGAGAATGAGTGTGAGCAAGAGTCTTTGTTTAAATTTCACTAATGAAACAGAATCATGAGACTTTATTTTTTAGATAAAGAAATTGAGATTCAGAGGTATGAAGAAAATTGTTCAGGTTCACAGGATTAAGGAAGTGAGGGAGCTGGAACTGAAATCCAGATCTATCTGCCTCTAAAAATCTTGATCTTTCAACTACGTTATAGCCAGAGACACAATCAGACCCACCAAAACCTCAGAAAGTGGCAGCAATAATTCAGAGACGGCATGTTACTTTTTCTTTTCCTTTCAGAAGCTCTTGTTGCACAAACTCTCTCTGAAAGGAAGAATAGACACTGATTCTGAGTGCCTGCAATGAACGCTGCGGAACTTACCGTGTGAGCTATAATTGATAGAGATGCCAACTGCCAACTAACCAGAAAAACTCCAGCATCGTAAATCTGTCCCCCGGCTTCTCATGAGAACTGATGGATGAGGAATTCAGCTTAAATATTTAACAATCAATAATTCAAATACCTATCCAACCATTTGCAAGTTGACATGTTTATAAATATAAGGGCTGCACTTCCTTGCATTTCACATGAAACTTAGAGTTTAAATGGAGAGAGTAGATATACCACATATTCTACGAGGAAAAATCTAGAGGAGTAAGTGGAAACACCCTACCAGTCTTGGCTCAACTGGAGTCTATTAAACTTCTAGCTTTGATCATGTACCATTGTTCACGCCCTCATGTTGCTGGTGAGCAAATCAACAACAAATAACGTGTTGGAAAGCCCAGTTGTGCAGCTGGGGTAAGATGCCAGAGCTTGATCTCCTTTGCATCAGCAGCTCCAGGGATCAAACCTAATGCACAGCCAAACAGCACAATGAATTATTCACTTTGAGCTTCCACAATCTCTCTGCCACTAGAATGGGTCATCTCTCAGGCTGTAATTCAACCTCCTTCCTTTGTCTTCACTTCCCAACAGACCGCCAGGAATGAGGCCCAACTCTGGGGAGACATTCTAGCCTGGTGGCTGGGGGCCATGAGCTGTGCGTGTCCAGATGCTGGGTAGGCATATTGCTGTTTGAATTTAACCATTTTGAGTGAATAAAGTCTAAAGTCAGCATTGACAGCAGTGATTTATCTGCACTTCACAATTATTGAATTTAGATGCTCCATCCACTTGCTGATTTATTAAACTGCTCTCTCCTCTGAGAGAGAATCAAAGCACCTCCTTTGGCCCTAATGGATAGACACTTTGGAAGGACTTAGGGAAGCCATTGTTGATAAGACTCACTACCTAAAAGAGAACCCTGTCTCATGTTGTCTTTGCACGAAAATAACGTCCATTATTTGTGTTTCCTTCACAGTCAATAACTCACCCTTTCCAGAGAAGGTGGGGTTGTTGGCAAACACCTCTGATGTTGTAGGGGCTGAAGTGTCAGGCCTGGGCAATGAGCTGCTTGCCACATTTGCCTCCCTTCGCCCCCACCTTCCAGCTGTCTCTCCTTCAGCTGCAGAGCCTGAGGGTCCCCAGATTGAAAGGAGACCCATAGCTTGAGCCACCAGCTGGCTACACTTCCTGTTCACAGGTTCTACCTCCACAGAAACAACACTAGCCAGGACCTTGACCATTCTCCTCTTCACAAAACAATGCAGATTCTGAAACCCCCCAGTGGAGACGGAGAGGAAAAAGGGGACATGCGGCTGAAATGAATCCAGGCCTGGTATGCCCACCACCCTCATTGTTGGAAAAGGACTGTGAATTCTCTGTGCCAACAGTAATTGATGATTCCAATTGGCGGATGGCCTGTTAATGAAAAGATTACCAGGCAGCAGCATATCTAGTGTAGAATTTTGGCTCCATTCTGAGAAAATATAACTGGCTGGTGGGGAAAGGACAGAGCTCAGTTTACTTGCAGAGCCACCAGCTATAGGTCTGTCTTGAATTTAGGCTTCCAGGGCTGTGGAGGAATAGATGAGGTGTAGGTTAGTTACAAAGGAAAAATAATAGTGGTTGAAGCTGATGATAAATGAATGTCAGAAGGTGTGATATGTAGAATTTCTGGAAACATGTATGAAACACAGTAACTAATGTGCACAGTTCGTGAGCATTTCAAAGCATATTCACAATCATTTTCATTGAATGGGTCAGTACTGATCAGAAGCAGAAGTTGGAGGGGAACTCTTGTGGGAGAAGGGAAAGACACAATATTTAGTTATTAGAAACAAAGTAAGTTATTAATACATTTACGAGAAAGCAGACTAGTCATTAAGAACTTATGGAGAGCATCTGGAGGACTGAGGACCTGTGGTTTCTCTCACTGTCAGGAAGAAGTCAGTTAGATAACAAACCTTGCAGCTGCACATCCAGGTTTACTGTTTTACCTATTGATGTTGCTGCATAAAGAAGATTCAGGTGGAAACTCTTTCTCACCTGTGTGCCTTAGCTTAGGCTAAGAACAATTGTCATGGCTGCCCTCTTCTTGCCCAGGAGGAAACCTGGGCCTGATTGATGCAGAGTAATTAAGTAAAACCTGGAGCCAAAATTTTCATTTGAGGCTTATAATCACTCTGGGAAGCAGATACCATTGGTATCTTTAAAATAAGCAAACATTGGCCGGGTGCGGTGGCACACACCTGTAATCCTAGCACTTTGGGAGTCCGAGGTGGGAGAATCACTGAGGTTAGGAGTTCAAGACCAGCCTGGCCAATGTGGCAAAACCCCATCTCTACTAAAAATACAAAAATTAGCCAGGCGTGGTGGCAGGTGCCTGTAATCCCAACTACTTGGGAGGCTGAGGCAGGAGAATCACTTGAACCTGGGAGGCGGAGGTTGCAGTAAGCCAAAATTGTGCCACTGCACTCCAGCCTGGGCAACAGAGCAAGACTCCATCTCCAAAAAAGAAAAAAAAAGATAAAATAATTTTTTTAAAATACAGACTTTGTTTTTCAATATGAACTCCATCAATTTCAAGACATCTTTGTGATGTCTTGTGAGGGATGATAGCAGTGATTTAGTCCATCCCTTGAGAACCAGGCAACAAGAGTGAGACTCTGTCTCAAAAAAATAAATAAAAAGCAGAGGCACAGAGGGGTTGAATGACCTGCTCAAAGTGACACATTCATACTGTTTCTTTTAGAACTGAGATTTTAGATCATGTGCTTCAATATTTTCTCCCAGCTCCTTCCTTTTTTTCTACAAAGAAGGGAAATGGAAGTCCTGGAGAAGGGAAGGCCAAGTAGCTGGAACCTGGGGTTCCTGCACCTGTAGACTTGAGATCAATCTTCTCTTTCATACATAATGGTTCCAAGTACAATCTTAGAGAGATCTCATGCTACTAAAAAGTGTTTGAAGACCACTATAATAGACAAGCCAATTTTCTCTTCATGACAACCAGATACAAAGATGAAATGAAAAATTTGAATGTTATCTGAAGACCTGGTTTCTATATATTAAGCCACTCTGCACATAAATAACACTTTCACTAACCCAATACTAACGTAAACCGGATACTCAGTCTCAGACTACTGAATCTTGTAGATGGAAAGTCTTCAGAAATATTGATTAAATTAAATTGCAAGTCTCAACTGCACCAGCAACTGTAGTTCATAGGTACAGTCCTGACTGACTCTCCCTGGGTCAGAAAAGGCCAGATGCTTATTTGAAATTCAGAATGAGGCCACAAGAGGCCAGATTTAGATTGTTACTTCTTGAGAGACAGAAACCTTTCAGCATTTTGGCAATTACTATTGAAAAAACTACCCAGGGAGAAGGTAGTTTTAAACACAATTAGGATTCTATTTTAAGGAGAAATCATAAACTGCCCATTTAACGTGCTAATGTTTGATCTACTGTGAAGCAGAGAAGAGAGAAGCTATTACAAATTTGCTAATACCATCAAAACTTATAAAGTGATAAAATGAGGCTACATGAAGAACATGCAGTCATCCCAAGCATTAGACATGCTAATAGCTGTGAATATATATGAGAGAAGAGAACTGTTCTGAGAATCAGTGAGATAAATTGGGCTGTTTTATCTGCAGTCTGCCCCATGACCCTTGGTCACTCCTGATTCTCAGACCACCTGAACGCTCTCCAAAGCAGGGACACACACTCCAAAAAACTAACATCATCATGAGAACGTCTATGGCATTTATTTTTATTTTCTCCATTTAAAATGATGATTTTTCTGATTTTTTAATGCCCATAATATTTTAGTACAGGAGTACACAAATATAATTTTAAATAAATAGCTATCCTACCCAAACTCAAGAACTGAACTAATTCAGATATATTTTAGGATGAATTCTTGGCAATCCAAATTCTGACCGCTTGATGTCAGAACCAAATAGATTTGGATAAACTGATACTCTTCACTATCCAAATGTACCATCTCAACTCAGGAACTGATATTTTTAGATAGCGAAGGATAGCTGTGTGTAATTATGGAGATGCCAGTTTGTTGTTGTTTTTACTGATAAAATGCACTATTAAAAGAACTGAGGAGATCACAGCTGCAGATGACTGATCGACCTGACTCTGAGTCACGGTCAGACAGGGCCTGCAGAAGTCGGGACAGAGCGAAACGCTCTGTCTGTGCTTCTGTGTCAAGTACACTTGTATATTTCTTGGAGATTAGGTTCTGACCTCGGTGAATAAAGTGAAAGTTCGTATATCCACATTTTCCCTTGAAAATCCCTTGGGAAGATATATTTTGGAGGCTAAGTTTTTTCTTTAGTTTGGGAAAAGATCACTATTTCTTCATGGAACTCTAAGAAGATATTGAGTTGCCCATTGGAGGTGTACCAGAAACTTATATCTTTATTTTTATTTATTTATTTATTTTTTTTTGAGACAGAGTCTTGCTCTGTCACCTAGGCTGTGTAGTGTAGTGGCATGATCTCGGCTCACTGCAACCTTTGCCTCCTGGGTTCAAGCAATTCTCATGCTTCAGCCTCCTAGTAGCTGGGATTACAGGCATGCACCACCCCTAACCCTGGCTAATTTTTGTATTTTTAGTAGAGATGGGGTTTCACCATGTTGGCCAGGCTGATTTCGAACTCCTGACTTCAAGTGATCCACCCGCCTCCGTCTCCCAAAGTGCTGGGATTACAGGCATGAGCCACTGCGTCCGGCCAAATTTATATCTTTAAATATTAGAATGAAACTCAGTGCACTGACATACTTTATAAGAGGACATGAAGGAGAGAGAAGCCCTGAGGAAGACCCAGTTCCAGTGTCCCCTTCTCATCCTCCCACTGGGCTATAATTGAGCCTGGTGCTGGTTGCACAACTCTGTGAATATACTGGAAACCATTGGATTGTACACTTTAACTTGGTGAATTGTGTGGTATGCTAATTATATATCAATAAAACTTAATTTTTTAAAAAAAAATATAGCCTTAGGCACTCATTTTCTAAAGGACAAGTTTCAAGAGATGAAATCAGTACCACTCTTAATTAAATCCAGGCAACTGGGGCTCCTGTCCTGGGTCCTCTACTTTAGAGGGCCCTTTCTTTGGCTCTGCTATTGCTATACTCTCCCCACAGGCTGAGGTGTCCCTGGAGCCAAGGGGATGTGACTACCCAGGTCTCTCCCTCTCCTTTATAGGCCATGCTATTGGGCCCAAGCACCCTGAAATTCCTGCTCAAATGGCCCCAGCTTCCTTTCATGCCCTGTGGAGTTCTTCTCCTGTCCATCTTCCAGTGGCAATGGCAGACTTTGCCACATATGTATATGCTTCCAATTGCAAAGGGTAGTCTTTGCCTTTGGAGGGGAAGGGTTTATAGGTAGAGCTTGGACTGTATAGGTTGGGATGTCTAAGCATGTGCCCAAGACCCATCATGGTGCAGGACTTGGTTAAGGGTTGGAAAAGAAGGGGGTTGGCCGTGAGCCAGAGATTCCTATCTGTACTCTGTTCCAGGTCTCTGCTATGTTGGGACATACATGTTATGATAGGAAAAGGTCTAAAGCCAGAATATGCATCAACCTAACCTAGTACTCTTCCAATATAGGTTCCCTCTTTTCTCAGAAATCCAAATACAGTAATGGCTAACATGTATTACGCGTGTTAGGCTCCCTTTTGTGCATTTAACATACATTATCTCATTTATTTCTTACAATGAGGTGGGTACTGTTATCACCCCAACTTTCCTATGAGAATACTAAAGCTTAGGGAAGTTAAGTAAATAATTGAGTCTGAATTTGGTCACAGAACAAGCTGACAAAATCCAACTGAGCCGCACTACTCCCTAGGAATGCTTGCCTCATAGATAAGATTGTGTTAGCAAGAAACAGGCCTCTTTTTATCTTCTAGCAATTCTGAAAGTGATACAATAAGAAAAAAAGAAAAAAAAGCTTACCCTCCAACAGAATCGTTGACTAAGTTCCTTTTATTTGAACAAGGCTGGATAGCACAAAACGTGCACGAGTTTGTAATATGAATCACATTTATAGAGGACATTTTCATTTTCTTTGTAGCCTGAGGCAGTGGGTTGTCAGTTATTCCTTCTAAGATTAATCTTTCTGCATCAGAGATATGGAGATTAAGGGTTCAGGGCATGATGACTTATGAACAGATGAACTTGATTTTCTATATGTTACAAAAAATTTGGTTCACAAAGCATTCCTTCCATCTAAGATCTCAGTGGCATGGTTACTCAGAACTTATTGATGTGATTAGGGGTGGTTTTCTCAAGTTGCAGACAAGACCTCCAAATTTACCAGCTCAAACTATCTTTATAAGAGCTGACTCAATTCTAGCATGGATTAAGCTAAAAGCAATTTATAATAAGTACATATATGTAAGCACGTTCCGTTGTTAGCTGACATCTCCATTTTATAGATGGGGAAACCAAGGCTCAGAGTTCTGTAAATTGTTCAAAGTGATAGGACCAGAAATCAAACTAGTCTTCTGATGCCACTTTGCATGTCAGTGTCCAGTATTTTACAGGTATAGGTCATTGTCATTTTCACAATCTTCTGTGATTTTTATATTAGCCTAGTGAGCTGTATAAGAATATGGGCCCCTTGGTGAATGCCTCCCCAGCCTCCATTTCTCCATCTCTGCATCTCCTTCTCCCAGAAATAGCATCTAGATCTTCATTCAGAGGGGACTCCACTCTTAGGATGGGACAGCCTCTACCTTATCTCCAGAGAAAGCTCTAGTTGGTTTCCATTTGTTCAGCTCAAGAATTTGTCAGGATGGCCATGTGACTTGTTTTGGCTGATGAGGTGTAAGGGGACAGTTGCTGGAACTTCCAGGAAAGAGGTTTTCTCTTTTATCTATGGCAACTACTGGAAGAGATCAGTCTTCTTCCTTTGAAGTGTGGACTATGTGGAAGAGAGGCCTGAAAATTGCTGTTGTTTTTACCACAAAAGGAGGCAGCCAGGGGAGGGGGAAGAAGTGGGGAAGTGTGGAGTTGACCCACAGGGAAGGATGGAATACAGAGAATGGCAGAGAAATGGAGATGGGGCCATGACACTATGACCTCAGGATCAATTCACACCTGGACTCATCATTTTTACTTAATTTTGATTGTGTTGATACAATAGGAACTATCTTCTCGTTGCATATTAAAAAACCTGAAGCTCAGAGACAGAATAACTTCTCAGGTTACCACAACTACAAAAACCATGTCTAGAGCTGACATACATGTTCCTTGACTTCAAGTCCAAGGTGGCTTTTGTGTTTTTAAAGATGATTTCTCCAAACTTGGGTAAGAGCAATGCTTCTTCCTCTTCTTCTAAGAAAAATAAGGAAACATTCACTCCATAGAAGATTCATGGGGCAAAGGCCACAAGAAATAGAAAAGAACAATCAAGCCATTGTAACAGAAAGAGTTGTTACAAAACAAATAGAACCAATGGAATTAGAAATGGCCAATCTTGGGTATTCAGAACAAGTCCTATTAAAAATGTTGACTGATTTGTTAGAAACCAGGGAGGCCATTTTAAATTTTTATAATTACTAGGGACCTCAAAATATTCCCATTTTGATGCCAAAACCTGTGGAGCAAAGAAAAAATATAATAAAAAAAAGCGTAAAATATTAGGTTTAGAATAGACGTTAAACATCAACTCATTGCTGGGAGCACCAATGGAGAAGTTCCTTTTACTGCACCCTTAATAGATGGCCATCCTGCTCTGTTTGAACACCTCCATTTACGGAGCTCTGACTACCTCATAAAGTAACTTTGTCTTTTAAATGACACTGTCATCTGATTTAATTAATAATAAAATTTAAGTACACATAAAAACAGTAATGTTGCAGGATAATATTGTTTATATTTATATCAATTTTTTTTCTTCATGGTATTTCCTGTTATCCTGTAATAAATCTTCCTCTGATTTGATGAACAGCATGCATGTTCTGTTTCTGCCTTAGAAGAGGGAGTGCCAAGAAGAATGCAGAAAACAAAGGGTCAATTTTATGGCTTCTGGGTTTCAAAAGCCTGTCAGGGCATAAGCAATAGATTTAGAAATATAGATGTAAAGCCAGCCTCCCTTGCCTTCAGAACAAAACAACAGCAGTAACTACAAAAAGATTCTGCAGATGGGGAAGGTGAGAGAGTCAGGAGAGAAGCAAGGAAGGCTCAGACACAGTGAGGTACCTAGAAAGGTACCTGCCTCCTGCCCCACTTTAGGTCAACCCCAGGATAAGAGGGAACAGAAGGCCCTGCGGTGGTTCATGCCCCTAATCCCAGCATTTTGGGAGGCTGAGGTGGAAGGATCGCTTGAGCTCAGGAGTTCAAGACTAGCCTGGACAACAAAGTGTGATCCTGTTTCAATAAAAATCAAAATATTAGTCTGTGTGGTGGTGCATGCCTACATCTCAGCTCTACCGGAGGCTGAGCTTGAGCCCAGGAGGTCGAGGCTGCAGTGAGCTGTGTTGTGCAGTGAGCTGCAGCCTGGCAACAGAGCAAGACTCTGTGTCTCAAACAAACAAATAAAAAAATAGAAGGAACAGCAGAAATTCCAGACAGGTTTGTGGATGTCAGGAGCCCTCTCCTTTTATCTGAAGAGAGTCTGTGAAAAGAGGAAATAGGCCAGAGTTCCAGCCTAGGCTACATGGCCAAACTCCATCTCCACCAAAAATACAAAAAAATTAGCCGGGCATGGCGGCGGCGTGCGCCTGTAGTCTCAGCTGTAATCCCAGGCTGAGGCAGGAGAGTTGCTTGAGCCCGGGAGGCGCAGGTTGCAGTGAGCCAAGATCGCACCACGGCACTCCAACCTGGGCGATGCAGGGAGACCCTGTCTCAAAAAAAAAAAAAAAAAAAAAAAAGAAGGCCAGAGTAGAAAGGGTCATGTGGCCCATCTAGGAAAACAGTGCTGCAGCGGCCCTCAGGCTTTCCGGTAGCCAAGAGTTGGCGGGGTGCGGTACGGAAAAAGAGATGGGATGTGGCTCCTTGCTCCCGTGGGCGGGAGGAGGCAGATTCCATGGTGACCTGCATGGGCTCATCACATGGAAGTGGCAACATCTCAGTGAGACAATAGAGATTAATAATGACCAAGGTCGGTTCCCGACCCCTGTACCAACATCTGGTTCTATGTCACACCACAAAACAGAACGCAGTCTCACATTACTTTTTGCCTTTCCCAAACCCAACCTCTCTCTGGGATTCCTTAGGGGAACTCTTTCTGTCTCTCCACTGCCCCCTCCTCTGCTAGAGTGAGGACATGTGACCGATTGTCACTTATTGAATGCTTCTACCCGGAAGTTTGACTTTTGAGTGAGTGAAGGGATGATGAGACCAGCCTGGCAGCGACCGGGACAGTGGTCTGCCGTGATGGCTATGCTTGTGACTGGCTATGGTTACATCCTGGTGAATTTTTCCTGCTGCCTTGCTTTGCTTGGTTCTTAATTCTGCAAACCTGTGAGCTACCTAATACCTTCCAATGAATCCCTCTTTTGTATTAATATACTTGAGTCAGAATCAGTTTCTGTTCCTTGCAGCTTATTGATGCAGAAATTTGTGCCGAGGCATATGCTCCGGGCTCTTCAAGTCAGAAGGCCTGTATGATAGAAATCTGGAGTTGATCCGATTGCCTCAGTGAGGAGTTAGGACATGATCATTCTTTTAGGATTCAGAGACAGGAATATGGAAGCTCATGTCCACAGCAGCAGAACATCTAAAGTATCACCTGTGGTCATTTGGAGGAAGTGCTCATGAAAATCAAGGAAGCTTTTAGGACAGCATGTAAGTATTGTCCTGGGTCAGCGTAAAAGACAGGAGTTAAGGACTGTGGAAGAATGGCTGCTTCGAATGGCCCTGGGTAGCTTATGAAAAGAGAATGACAAATTTAAATCCCCAGATTCTCAATTTAAGGCAAACATCCACACCCAAGAACTTTCTATGGCAGTGCTAAATGAATTTCCAACCTCTAAAAGCCACACTGCTGAGAGAGTAGAAAACAAATTCAAATTTGGACTGTGAGATTGGTAGAATTACATCAGTTGAATGCACAGCTTTGTCATGCCTCTTTGGAGAAAGTTAAGGTACTGATAGAGTAAGATGTGGAAGGCCAAGTGTGGTGGCACATGCTTGTAATCCCAGCACTTTAGGAGGCCGAGGCGGGCAGATCACCTGAGGTCGGGAGTTCGAGACCAGCCTGACCAAAATGGAGAAACCCTGTCTCTACTAAAAATACAAAATTACCCAGGCGTGGTGGCGCATGCCTGTAATCCCAGCCACTCCGGAGGCTGAGGCAGGAGAATTGCTTGAACCCGGGAGGCGGAGGTTGTGGTGAGCAGAGATGGCGCCATTACACTCCAGTCTGGGCAACAAGAGCGAAACTCCATCCCAAAAAAATAAATAAAAATAAATAAAAAATAAATAAAAAAGATGTGGAATGGGGGTATATGAGAAGACCTAGAGAAATCACCAATCTTTCTGTGCCAGCCAAAGCAACTCTCCTCCTTGGACTGTTGGCTCTCTTTATTTTTTGCTCAAAAGACACTGTAACTCTCTTACCCAAAAGAGTTACATGGAAAGAAGGAGTCTGTCCTTTCTCTGCACTGCAGCATCTCTCCCTTGTCTACAGGATCTGACCTAGAATACCTGTGGGGGAGGCGGGGAGTAAAAAGTCAAACCGGGAGCAGAAGGCATGTATAACAAATGATTTGCAAGACCTTGCTAATTTACACCTTCAAAACCGAGGAATATGTGTGGGAATGAATTCTGTACGTTCTTGACCAAGGGGAAACGAACATAATTTCAGACCAAGTTGAAGTCCCTGGTAATGATGCACTTAGTAGAGACTCCAGATTCTGTTGCTAGCTCAGAGCAGCTGGGAGTAGACACCGTTGTTTGTTCAGTTGGTTGACAGAAATCTGGACTCAGTGGTGGCCAATATTAAACAGAGTTGAGATGTCATAAATTCCTTGATACCGAGTAAAGGAAAGAATCCAAAGACTCTGAGAGATAGGAATGCTGGAGTGAATTTATCATGTGCAACTAACCCTATCACTCCCTGACTATGTCTCCGAGGAAAGCTTAGAGGACATACCCTTTGCCAAAGTATTGAGAAATACCTTGATGAGGGTAACACCAGAAACTGCTATCTGGAGGCTAGAGATACTGATGGGAGGTGGGATGACATGGGCTCCCTGAATTCAGTGGCGAGGAGGGTCCCAGGGCCACACCACAGCTCTTCAATGGCAAACGTGGAAGCTGAAGGGGGAATCCTCCCTGTTTCACCCTTGGGGACATGTGGCTTTAATTCAGCCACTGAGATCTTTCAGTCCAGAATTCTAAATCCTAAGCAAGTAAAGCAAAGATGACAGATGATGAGATTGTCTCAAAGGACCTTAGGGTAAAGACCCAAATACACTACTCTCCTTAATTTGACTTTTGATATCTTACAAAGCTGAACATGATCAACCCCTTACTTATTTGTCCACTTTCATCTTGCTCCACTCTCCCACTCATCCACCGGGATCCAACCACGTTGGCCTTGTTTCAGTTCCTTAAACTTGCCCAGATATCTCCCTTCTCATGGCTTTGATAGACACCATTTACTCTGCTTAGAATATTCTTCCAGCTCTGGCCTGGCTAACTCCGCTCATGCTTCGGGTTTCAGGAAAAATAGCTCTGTCTTTTGAGGCCTTTCCTATTACACTTTATTTATTTTCCTTTATAGCTCTTATCAGAATGTTAATTGCCTTTTAATTTGTATATATTTCCTCATATATATATATATGTATATATACACACACACACACATATATATGTGTCTGCTCATGACCCTCCAGGTTTTCTGCTGTGTTCTGGCTATGTTTGCTGTTGGTGACTTCTAAGAGAGGACCTGACAGAGATGGTGCTCAGAATGATTTGCTACATGGATGCTGTGTATATGATGCTTTGATTGATTGTTTTCCCTCACTGTATAATGAGAACACCTTTTTCCATCAATAAATATAAATCTATAAAGTCATTTTTAATGAAACCACAGTATTCTACATAGGGGTAATGATAATAACAATAACCGTCTTTATTTAAACATTACTTTCTGCCAGGCCCTTTTTTTAAGGGCTATACATGGATAACTTATTTAATCTTCCCAAACCTTATAGGGTAAAAATGTGTATATTCCTATTTTACACAGGTGGGAACTGAGGCATAAAAAAAATTAGGTAACCTTCCTCAGAGTCTCATAGCCAGTGTCATGTGCAGCCAAGATTTGCACCAAAGCATTTTTGTTTTGTTTTATTTTTAGTTGAGAAATAGCACCTAAGCATTTTGCCTTCAGATCTTGTGCTTTAATCTCAGTGTTACATGGCACATAAAATTCTATTTCATTTAACCAATCTCTTAAGGGTATATATTTAGGTGTTTTCTAACTTTGGGCCATGGTAAATACTGGAATTAACTCTCTTATCTCTGAGCAATTATCTGATCATATTGGAAAATATTTTGCCAAATTTCTTACCAGATTGAGCATTTTCCATCAGCAGAATGAGACTGCTCTTGCCCACACGCTTTATGCTTTTCAATATTTAGGGCTGACAGATTTAGCAAATAAAAATACAGGATGCCCAGTTCAATTTGCATTTCAGATAAGTAACAATCTTTTGGTGTGTGTCCCACGCAACATTTGAGACACATTTCTGCTTAGTACAAGTATGTTCCATGCGCTGTTTGGGACACACTTATACTGAAAAAAGTATTCTTTGTTTATTTGAAATTCAAATTTCAATTTAAACTCCAGTGTAACTGGGTGTCCTGTGTTTATCTGGTAACCCTAAGGAGAAAAGAGTACTTCATTTAAATTTGTCTGTCTATCTTTCCTTAACTGGCCTTTGCAAAATGATTTATGAAGCAGTGGCTAAATGCTGGCAACTGTGACTGTAAAAAGGAATACATAATTCCTGACATCAACTAGTGCACTGTCTAGTGAGGAAAATGGACACATCGTTAAGTCTAGTGCAAGGTGGCAAGGACAGTGATTGAGAGGTGTGCAGGGGTTTCAGGGAAGAGCATCTAACACCAGATACAGGAGGCAGAGAAGGATTCCTAAAAGGCTCCTAAAGAATAAATAGAATTTAGCAGCCGGAAATGGTAGCTCACACCTGCAATCCCAGCACTTTGGGAGGTTGAGGCAGGCAAATCACTTGAGGTCAGGAGTTCTAGACCACCCTGTCCAACATGGTGAAACCCTGTCTCTACTAAAAAAAAATACAAATAATTAGCTGGGCATGGTGGTCCACACCTGTAGTCCCAGCTACTCAGGAGGCCGAGGCAGGAGAATCGCTTGAACTCGGGAGACGGAGGTTGCAGTGAGCCGAGATTGCACCACTGCACTCTAGCCTGGATGACAGAGTGAGACTCTGTCTCAAAAAAATAAAATAAAATAAAAATGGCAGTTAGCCCAAGGGGTGGTGGAGTATTTCAGCAGATGAGAGTCATATAATCAAAAATTCACCAGCAGCATGGACATGGAGGCAACCACCAGCAGTTGATGTTGCTGTAGCCCGAAGTGTGGGGCAGAGTGAAGAGAAATGAGACTGGGGGTCAGTGGGAGCCAAATCATGAATATAGTTCATCTTTTGGGTTGTGGTACTGAATTGAACATGATTGTAAGCAGGACCATGTCAGGGACATCCTCTCTTGTCCTGATCAGCTACCACTGTCTTCTGTGTCTTGCTTCCAGTGTTCTCTCTTCCAGGAACCTTTCCTCACCACCCTTTGGTGACTTAGGTGCCTCTCCTCAGGGCTGGTCTAGGACCCTGAGCTTGTTTTGTCAACATGTGACCACCTTGTGTCAGAAATGCCTGTTTACTGTCTTCCCCACAGCCTTCCTGAGGACAGGACTAATGTCTTCATCAGCTCTGTAACCTCAGCTTCCAGTTCCCTTTGGTTTTCCTGAATCCTGGCTATTTGCATTGGTGGGTGCTACATTAGTGACGCCCAGGCAGACCATGTTCTCTACTACTAAATCGTATTCTATCTCTGCAGAACCCCAGATGGCTTCCAGTGCCCAAACCCTACTGTCAGTAGCTTCCCTAGAGCTGATAGCCCTCAGTTAATTCCAAGGCCCAGAAATGAACCTTCTCATGGCCCCCCACCAGTCCTTGCCCCCTGGGAAACCGTTTGGGGTGTCCATTGTCCAGCAACTTTTACTGTATTATCCCCCTATCTTTCTCCCAGAGGTCCCTCCTCTCCCAGACCATTAAGTTTCTGACATATATTAATCGGTTAGACCTTTGGGCTTGCTCAGATTTAAGCTGATAGCCGGGCATAGTGATGCGAGCCTATAGTCCCAGCTACTGGAGAGGCTGAGGCAGGAGGATTGCTGGAGCCTGGGGGAGGTAGAGGTTGCAGTGAGCCATGATTGTGACACTGCAGTCCCGCCTGGGTGACAGAGTGAGGCCCAGTCTAAAAAAAAAAAAAAAAAAAAAAAGCCGAGCTGCTGCTGTATATAATTGAGATCTCAGAAGTCAATCTTACTTCCCACATTCTCTTTTTTATGATTTTCATATAGGAAGTATATCATTAGCTGATCTTCAAGTCGGCCTGGCTGCTGACCTTGCTGCAACCTTTGTTCAGCATGGATAACTCTGCTCTCTTTGCGCTCCCCTGCAAGTCCAAGCCCTACACTGCACCCCAGTGGGTCCCGTTAGGTCCTCCTCAGCTCTGGATTTGGCATTCTGTCTTGGCCTCTGTGTCTCTCCAGGGTCATGAGTTTTTATGGTTTAGTTATAAGAACTTTGGAGTCTGAAAAACGTGGCCTGGAATCCCAGCTCCTTTTTATTTAAGACTTTCATGTTGTTATTTAGTCTAACCTACCCGTGTATCCTGTGATGACTATGTTAATCTATCACCTTTTGTTGACAAATGAAAAAAACTGTGGGCATAGAAAGGTTAAATGTTTTTCAAAACTGCCCAGCTAGTGAGTAGCGTACCTGGGACTCAAATGCTGGTTTCTGTGATTTCAAAACTCACATTCTCCCTGCAATATGGCGTCCAATGCAGACACCGTACATGGGCCTAGGGCAAGCCACTTCAATTTTATGAGTGTCAGCTTCCTGCTCTCTGAAATGGAGTTAATAGTTGGTTAATAAGAGCTACCTTTCAAGATTGTTGTGGAGATTAAATGAAATTATGTAAATTAGGCACCTAGCCCAGAGCCTGACAACAACTGTGCAAGAAATATTTCCTTCCCTCTTTGCTGCACCCATCTGGGTAGACTTTTCCATTGCATTAGCAAAAGAGGAGCTCTGAGGAAATATCAGCCGTGTCAGCTGGCCTGGGAGGAGCTGCTCTTCTGATGAGCAGGTGAATGCGGGCTCTTTCCCCACCCATCAGGTAGAAATGGGCTTAGTCTCCACAGGTCCAGCAGGATGGCCTGGGGCCTGCCCCTGGGCCTGGGAGGCCAGGTCTTCACCAACCTATGACATGCCAGAAAAAGGTGATGGCTAAAGAGCTTAGCAACTTTTTTGGAAGAAAAGATGTTTTGGATAAGTCTTTTGGATAAGTGCTACATTAGTGATGACCAGGCAGACTGTATTCTCTCTACTACTAAACTGTATTCTATCCCTGAAGAACTCCAGATGGTTTCCAGTGCCCACACTTGGTATTCCTTATCTCTCCAGCCCATCTAAATATGCCCATGGCCTGGCTCTGAGTCACGAGGGCATAAATCTCCATCACAAATTTATTGCCATGATTTATCAGCTCCTGTTGCTCAATGGCCAAGTAGTTAATTTTTAAATGAAGTGGGGCTGTTTTCATTAATACCCTTGCGCTAACTACCTATGAAAACACTCAAAGACAATTAATACCATGTTGTTGAAATACTGAACCAATAAATATCTCTAGTCTTCTCTCTGGCAGATGAAAGACATTAGACTCATCCTCTGATGTAATAATATTATCCCATTGTCTTCCTCTTCACAGCATCAGAAACATCTACATTTTAGGACTAGATTACATGGCTGGGCCAGTCCATACCATGACTTTAAAAGGTTGTTGCTTCATGACATCTATGTAATGCCTTCAGGATATCGTGGTAATGATATCATGGTAATGAAAACTTTTGGTTTCAAAGGCTTTCTGGAAAGCAAATGCTTGCATCTAACCAGTGCCAGAGTTTAGGTTTATCAGTAGTTTGAGCAGTGAACAGAGGTTGAAATTCACATTTCTCATAGGTGCAAACCTGTATAGAAAGAACATTCTAGATTTTGACAACTCTCGAGCCACATCAGGGATTCATAGCCCATGATAATTTGTTATTTACTAATGCATGATTTTACACCTCATATAGAGGCTGCTGTGAGCCAGTGATTTTTTCACTTACAGGGACATTCAGTTACCCTCCTTGCCAATAGTATCTCACTCAATCATTTCTTCCTGAATCATTTACTGGGGGCCTACTGTGTGCTAAATGCTGTCCTAGGCCCCAGGGGAGGGAGCATGGCACCTCTCTGCCATCTCAATCTGCAGGGAGCATATTCATATCTCCTTTATTATTTTCCACGTGCCAGCATCATTTACACAACAACTCTTAGGTCATAAAAAATGGGTTTCTTTATGGAAAATAGCCCTGAAAAGAAATCCAGGTGGTGCATTTAAAAAGTTGTTTTTATTGCTTTTTTCCCATCTTGCTTAAATAATGTGTTCACCATGGCAAAAACTAGAAACTATATAGGTAAGCAAAAAGAAGATAATTGGCTCCCTTAATTTCACCACCCAGAGATCACCATAGTTAACCTTTGCCTCCCACACACGGGCTGTCTTTATTTTTACTTTATCCATTGTCTATTTTTTAATCCATTGTCTATTTTTTTAAGTCACGATTATTCTTTGTATAATTGTCGTGTAATTGTCTGCTCCGCATTTCCTTATATAAGGCTATCCTGCACCACCATTCCATCTTCATAAACATACTTCTGTAACTGATGGCTGTAAATACTCTTGGCGCCCTATTGACTTGTGCATGTGACATTCTAAAACATGTAATAGTTTGCTTAATCAGGTATATTAGTCCTTGTGTTGCTATACAGGAATACCCGATGCTGGATAATTTATATAGAAAAGAGGTTTATTTGGTTCATGATTCTGCAGGCTGTATGTGAACCACAGTGCCAGCATCTGCTTCTGGTGAGGGCCTCAGGGAGCTTCCAATTATGGTAGAAGGCAAAGGAGGATCCAGCATATCATATGACGAGAGAGGGAGCAAGAGAGGAGGAGTCAGCCTCCTTTGAACAACCAGCTGTCATATGAACTAACAGAGAGAGAACTCACTTGTTACCATGGGGAGGGTACCAAGCTAATTCATGAAGGGTGTGCCCTCCGTGACCCAAACACCTCCCACCAGGCCCCATCTCCAATACTGAGGATCACACTTCAAAATGAGATTTGAAGGGAACAAACTTCCAAACCACATCGCCAGGCATCCATTTTTTGGATACTGAAGTTGTTTTCTATCCTTTTGTATGATAAACAAAACTATAGTTTTATTTGCGTAGCCGTCTTTATTGCCAGCTTCCCATGTAGACCCCTAATTATGTCCTTGGGATAAATTAACTGCATGCACATTTTAAAGGTTTTGACACATGTGGTCAAGCTGCCCTCAAAATGTTTCCAGTTTATACTCTCAGGCATCCTTTGCCACTGTCACATGAAGAATCACCAGCTTCCCACCTTCAGGTTACAGAAAAATCAACTGCTTGCACCCCCAGCATTGCAGAGAAACTGACAGCACCTGTACCCCTAGCACTGCAGAGAAACCAGCTGCAATCTACACCCCCAGCACTGCAGAGAAACTGACAGCACCTGCACCCCCAACACTGCAGAGAAACCAACTGCAATCTACACCCCCAGCACTTCAGAGAAACTGACAGCACCTGCACCCCCAACACTGCAGAGAAACCAACTGCAATCTACACCCCCAGCACTGCAGAGAAACTGACTGCTCCTGCACCCCCAGAGCTACAGAGAAACCGACTGCAATCTACACCCCCAGCACTGCAGAGAAACTGACAGCGCCTGTACCCTCAGCACTGCAGAGAAACCGACTGCTCCTGCACCCCCAGAGCTGCAGAGAAACCAAATGCAATCTGCACCCCCAGCACTGCAGAGAAACCGGCTGCGCCTGCACCCCCAGCACTGCAGAGAAACTGACAGTGCCTGTACCCTCAGCATTGCAGAGAAACCAACTGCACCTGCAGCCCCAGCACTGCAGAGAAACCGACTGTGCCTGCACCCCCAGCATGTTAGAGAAACAAACCGCAATCTACACCCCCAGCACTGCAGAGAAACCAACTACTCCTGCACCCCCAGAGCTGCAGAGAAACCAAATGCAATCTACACCCCCAGCACTGCAGAGAAACCGACTGCTCCTGCACCCCCAGAGCTGCAGAGAAACCAAATGCAGTCTGCACCCCCAGCACTGCAGAGAAACCTGCTGCGCCTGCACCCCTAGCACTGCAGAGAAACTGACAGTGCCCGTACCCTCAGCATTGCAAAGAAACCAACTGCACCTGCAGCCCCAGCACTGCAGAGAAACCGACTGCTCCTGCACCCCAGCATTGCAGATAAACCGACTGTGTCTGCACCCTCAATATTGCAGAGAAAGCGACTGCCTCCACCCTTGGTTACTGCGGCAGATGCCTCCCTCCTCCTGCCCAGGGCTCCCTTTCCCCTGGGTTCTCCTTCCCATCCCTGCCCCAGCCTCAGGGCTTTTCCTCTATTAAGTGACCTCTCTTTCTCTAAGCTCTCTTCCACTACATATAAAAATGCTTGGCACTTGCATATTAAAAGAAAAGAAAAGTTCTGGACCTACAGGTTGGATTGCACCCATTCCTTCCTCCCAAAGTTCATATACTAAATCCCTAAACCCTAGTACCTCAGAATGTGACTGAATTTGAAGATAGGGTCTTTTAAACAAGGTGACTGAGTTAAAATAAGTCTATTAGGTGGGCCCAACTTCAATTTAGATGACGTCTTTATGAGAGGAAGAATTTGGGCACACAGAAAGAAAGCAAGGATGTGGATGCACAGAGGAAAGCTTGATGAAGATGTAGCGAGAAGGTGGCCATCCACAGGCTATGGAGAGAGACTGCAGAGGAAACCAAACCTGCCAACACGTTGATCTTGGACTTCCAGCCTCCAGAGCTGTGAGAAAATACATTTCTGTTGTTTAAGCCACCTAGTGTGTGGTATTTTCCTATGGCAGCCCTAGCAAACTAATACAACATCCTAACAGCCACTTCGATGACAGCCCCCATACAACCAAACATCTTGAACACGTTTGCTCTCACGTGCTTCATTCCTTTGCCCCTTCTCACTCAACAGCCCAATGCAGTCAGGCTTCTACCCCCTTTTTGGGAGACAGCTCCCACCCAGGTCACCAGCAGCCTCCACAGTAGTTACTCAGTGAACATCATGCCCAACATAGGTAAACACTGAATTCATGAAGAAGTAGTTGCTGTTGCTGTTACCGTTGTTTAAAAGGGGCCAGCTCAGTCAGCCAAATTAGGGTACAAGATAAGAAAGTAACCCAGGGGGTTGGTGGGGAAGTAGGGATGGTTAATAGGTACCGAAAAAATGAAAGAATGAATAAGACCTAGTATTTGATAGCACAATGGGGGGCTAAAGTCAGTAATAATTTAACTGGACATTTAAAAGTAATTAAAACAAGACAGTTGGATTGTTTGTAACACAAAGGATAAATGCTTGAGGAGATGGATACCCCATTCTCCATGATGTGATTATTACACGTTGCATGCCTGTATCAAAACATCTCAGGTACCCCAGGAATATGTACACCTACTATGTACCCACAAAAATGAACATTTTTAAAAATCTGTATTATTCTTTCCAGAAAGTGTGTTGGTATTTTTCAGTGTATACATAGCATAGGCATACACATTTGAGACTTATTTAGAAAATAGGATAGGCATGCACATTATATAGATTATTTGTAAAATACAGTGTGATACTGAAGCAGTCCTCACGGGGTTAACAAGCATTTTGGACAGGAATAGAATTATAATGAAGCATGAATCAGGCTGTGCTTTGGCTCAGTTCCTTGTAATGGAAAGTCGTGTAGCACTAGACACCGACCATTTGCATCCTCATTGTTCTTATAGGTAGGCTCTCCAATGTTATAATCATAAAGCTTTTAAGAATTGCTTAGGTTGTTTTTCAGATTCTGAATTCCAGCAGAACAGCTGAGGACAACCAGTCTGAAAACCCCCACGGTGGAACCAAATCAGCATGAGAATGCAATTTCTTCAACTCCCTGTCCCATGACTTCACCCTGCACCGTTTGACCAGTCGACGATCTCCACACTTCAGCCCACTCCAAAACCTTTAAAATCCCTAGCCCCAAACTCCTTGGAATGATACATGTGAGGTTTCCTCCCATCTCCTTGTTCAGCAGCCCCAGGATGAAACCTCTTTCTCTGCTGCAACCCAGTGTCTCAGCATATTGACTTGCTGCACATGGGGCGATGAACCTATTACAGTTACAATATCTTGGTCAATTTCCTCCCGGTCTTTTTTTCCCCTATGCTGAGGTTGTCTTCATGCTATAGTCTGCAGCGTATTCTCTGTACAATTATTTGGCACCCACCTTTCTTTCATTTTAGGAAACATTATAACCATTCCTCCTCCAGCTATATTCAGGCTATTTAAAAGCAGCATGTAGCTCACTGATCTTCCTGATTCTCCTTTCAGGTTAGGACCTCAGTTTCTGGTAGAGCCTTGGCCTCTATGAGGATCAAGACCAGTCAGTCAACAAGCACCCCCTGGACTATAAACCTTGTGCCCACCACACTCTTCCTCCCCCGACCTTCTACTCACTGCCCCACCTGCAGATGCATATTATGGTGAATTACTTTGATTTTTTATTTGCCAGGTGTGGCAATTGAGGGATTCCAAGGAATTGGCAAAGAAGTGAAATGCCATTCAGAAAGCAAGGTGAGTCAGGAACAGCTCTTGCAGCAAGCACCTGGCATGCACACGAGCTTTGAATATAGTGATGTTCCTTTCATCTGCTGGGTGGTTTCTCCCCTCTCAAAGGAGAGACTCTGAATGACCTTTCACAGACCCAGGGAGAGGTGGCTGGAGGAATTTGAAAGCAGATTTATGGACTCAAGACACAGAGATTCCCTGACTTGCTTGAGCAAAGTAGATGCAGCTTTGATGACAAAAGAGGAAGGAATTTGGATCCTATTTTAGGGTGTGGGTTGTTCCCATCATAGCCCCACGGGCACACAGTGCCAGGGTGGAGGTGGTAGGACGTGGAGGGACTTTCCTAACCAATCCTTCAACCACACTATACTTCCTGAGAACCACATGTCAGACCCTGAAAGGAGGAGAATGGTCTTGGACCCAAGAACACCAACCTGCTCTTCTCTGGAGGCTCTCTGTTCTCAATGTCCACTCCTGCCTCTGTAGCTTCGAGGTGGCTCCTTGGAAGCCCATCTCTCCCTTTTCCAGTACATTCTGTCCTCCTTTCCAGGCTCACTTGCTTTTCCAGCATGTCTGTTACCTGACTAAATCCGTGCTTGGCTTCCTGCTGCTTGACAAAATCACCAGGAGTTCAATAATCATGTTGATGGAGTTGTTTTTTTTTTTATTTCATTTGTTTTTCTTGGCCTCCAAAACAAGGATCCAGAAACAGTCCCTGCTTTAAGTCTAGAAAGACAGTATACAAAAAGAAAATTCATAGGGAGAGTGCAACCATAGAGGAAAGCACAGAGTGCCACAGGAATTCAAGATCCCCTGAAGACAGTTTTTAAACCCAACCAGTGGGCCAGATTCCCAAGCTTACATATATATATATTTTTTTTCCTTGCACTTCAGATGTTTAACAACAAACTCACTGCTTGACTTCAATGTCTCACATGCATCTGTGGCTTAAAATGTCTAAAGTTCAGCTCTTAATCTCCCACACACACTATCCCACACACAGGCAGTAACACTCAAGCCCTTGTCACTTGTCCTGGCTCTGCAACTCCCAACCCCTGGGGTGGCTGCTCCAAAATCCGCATCGGGTGCTTCTACTATGTTCTCAGTTTCTACTCTTTCTAGAACCTCACGATTTCTCTTCCTTGCAAGCTCAGCCACACAATTAAGTTTTACAAATTGTATTAAAAGTAATGGCAAAAACCGCAATTACTTTTGCACCAACCTAATACATTGTTCAGAATGTCTAATTATAAAAAGCATGTGAATTTCAGGGTAGCCTAGTCTGCCTTAAATGCCTTTATTATATTAATATTTTAAAAGTGTGAAATATAACACATATATAGATAGGTGCACACAATAAAATTCTAAAGCCAATGATTTATCACATGCAAACATTCTCCTTTATCCTGTCAATATGGTGAATTACTTTGATTTTTGAGTGCTAAATTACATTTGTATTATGGGAATAAAACCATCCTAGTTGTGTTGTATGCCCATTTACTATAAAGCTGGATATCTTTCTTTTCCTTTTTTTTTTTTTGAGAAGAGTCTTGCTCTGTTGCCCAGGCTGGAGTGCAATGGCACGCACTGCAACCTCTGCCTCCCAGACTCAAGCAATTCTCTTGCCTCAGCCTCCCAAGGAGCTAGAACTACAGGTGCCCACTACCACACCCAGGTAATTTTTTTGTATTTTAGTAGAAATGAGGTTTCACTATCTTGCCCAGGGTGTTCACAAACTCCTGAGCTCAGGCAATCCACCAGCCTCAGCCTCCCAAAGTGCTAGGATTACAGGTGTGAGCCACAGCACCTGACCAAGCTGGATTTCGTGTTAACATTTTGCTTAGGAGTTTTGCATCTATGTTCGTGCATGAGATTAGCCTATAATTTTTCTTTCCTGTAATGTCCTTTTCAGGTTTTGGTATCCAGGTAAAATAGAGAGGTTTTTCTTTCTTATTCTCTATAGAGTTATGAACTATTAGCATTGTTTCTTTCTTTAGTGTTTGGTCATTGTCACTGTTGAAGATATTAGGACCTAGAGTTTTCTAGGTGGAAAAGTTTTTGATTTTTTTTTTCATGGTAATAGGATGGTTCAGACTTTTAATTTAATCTAGTGTCAGGCTTCTAAAAAAATTGTCCATTTGATCAATATTTTTTAGTTTATTGCGGTAAGACTAGTTCATAAGCTTTTTTTAACTGTTATTTGTAATGCTACCACATCTATAGCACATCCCTCTATTTCATTTCTGGCATTGCTTATTTGTGCATTTAAGTTGCTCTTTGACCAGTCATTCTCCTCAGGGAATATTCCATTTTATTGTTTGTTTTAAAGTACCAACTTATGGCTGGGCATGGTGGCTCAGTCTAGAATCCCAGCACTTTGGGAGGCTGAAGGGGTGTGAATCGCTTGAGCCCAAGAGTTTGAAACCAGCTTGGGCAACATGGTGAAACCCCATCTCTACAAATAATACCAAAAAAAAAAAATTAGCTGGGAGTGGTGGTGTGCACCTGGAGTCCTGGGCAACATGGTGAAACCCCATCTCTACAAATAATACAAAAAGAAAAAAAATTAGCTGGGTGTGGTGGTGTGCACCTAGAGTCCCAGCCACTCGGGAGGCTGAGGCCAGAGGATTACCTGAGTCTGGAAGGTCAAGTTGCAGTAAGCTGAGATTGCACCACTGCACTCCAGCCTGGGTGACAGAAGAGACTCTGTCTCAAAAAAAAAAAAAAAAAAAAAAAAAAAAAGGAACAATTCATGGCTTTCTTAATCTATATTGTGTATTTATGTTTTCTTTCATTATTTTTTTCTCTTTCTCTTTTCTCTCTACTTTTCTTGGGCATAATTTAGTGGTTTAAAAATTTTTTTTGAGTTGGATTCTTAATGCAATGATTTCATCCTTTCTTATTTGGTAGTACATTCATTCTTAACTATAACATGTTATTCAAGTTATGGTTTAACTATATCTCTTAAATTTTTAAACTAAAAAATTTACAAACAGTAAAAATTACTCTACTTCTTTGATAAAGTGTCTATTCAAATCTTTTGTTTATTTTTAATTGGGTTGTTTGTTTTTATTATTGTTCAGATTTGAGGGTTCTTTAGGTATCCTAGATACAAGTTCCTTGTTGTATACATGTTTTGAAAATTTTTTTTTCAGCCTGTGACTTGTCTTTTCCATCTCTTAACAGTGTCTTTTGACAAGAAAAATACTTTAGTTTTAATAAAGCCAATGTATCATCCTTGATGCTTTTGCTCTTATATCTCAGAAGCACAACCCAGGGTCACAAAGACTTTTTAGGATATTTGATTCTAGAAGTTTTATAATTTTAGGTTTTCTATTTAGTTCTATGGTCCATTTTGAATTAAATTTTGTACAAAGTATAAAGTAGAATAGAGGCTGTTCTCCTCTTTCTTCTTTTTGCATGTGATGTCCAATTTTCCAGCACCATTTGTTGAAAAGACAATTCTCCATTGAATTGCCTTTGCACCCCTTTCACAAATCAGTTGACTACACTTGTGTGGATCTATTTCTAGACTCTGCTCTATTCCATTGATCTATATATGTATTCTTTTGCCAATACTGCACCTTCTTGATTATTGTAGTTTTATAGTAAGACTTGAAATCAGATAGTGTGAGTGCTCCAACTTTGTTCCTTTCTTTCAAAAATCTTTTGGTTTTTCTAGTGCATTTTTAAAAATATTAATCTTGAAATCAGATTGTTGATATCTACAAAAAAATGCCCTGAGATATCTATTATGAACAACTTGACTCTACAGATCAATTTGTAGAGAATTGACATCTTAACAATATTGTCTTCCAATCCAAGAATATGGTGTATTTATCCACATTTTTAGGTCTTAGTTAATTTCTTTCATCATTGTTTTGGGTTTTCAGAATATACATACTAACCATATTTTATTAGATTTATACCTAAGCGTTTTTGTACTTGTAAATGGTACTTTAAAAATTAGATTCGAATTGTTCATTACCATTACATAGAAATATAATTGATTTTTGTATGTAAACCATGTTACTGTTATCGGTGGAGTGTTCGGGCCTTCCCCAATTCATATGCTGATGTCCTAACCCCCAGGGCAACGGTATTTGGCGATGGGGCCTTTTAGAGGTAATTAGGGTTAGAGGGAGTCTTGAGGATAAGGCCCTCATGATGGGATTAGTGACCTTACTAGAAGAGACGCCTGAAGGCTGCTGAACCAGTTAGCAATGTCCTCCCTTGTCTACGGGTTTCACTTTTCCCAGTTTTAGTTACTCATGGTCAACCACAGAATGAAAATATCAAATGAAAAAATCCAGAAATAAACAATTCATAAGTTTAACATTGTGTCTTGTTCTGAGTGGCATGATAGAATCTCAAGCCATCCTACATCACCCTGCTCAGGCTGTGAATTATCCCTTTGTCCAGCAGATCCACACAGTGGATGCTACCCACCCATTACTGTACAGGAAAAAACATAGTGTCTGTAGGGGTCGGTACTCTCCGTGGTCTCAGGCATCCACGGTGGGATGAGGGGTGTCTTGGAATCCATTCTCCATGGATAAGGGGGGACTACTGTATTACCTCTGTGATAGTTCATGTTTGTCAGCTTGACTGGATCACAGGATGCTCAGGTACCTGGTTAAACAGGATTCCTGGCTGTGTCTGTGGGGGTGTTTCCAGAAGAGAAACAGTTTACGTTTGAACTGTAAAGTTAGTAAAGCAGACGGCCCTCCCTAACGTGGGTGGATATGATCTGATCCATTGAGGGTCCGTTGAGGGTAGTATAATAGCATGAGGGCAGAGGAGGGGTGAATTAGCTATCTTCCTGACGGCTTGAACCGGGACATCCATTTTCTCTCGTCCCTGGCACTCCTGGTTTTCAGACCCTCAGACTTGGACTGGAATCTCCACCATCAGCCTCTGGCTCTCAGGCCGTTGAACTACACCACCAGCTTTCCTGGGTCTCTGCTTGCAGACGGTAGATGGTAGGACATCTTAGCCTCCATAATTGCATGAGCCCATACCTTATCTCTTTCCAGATACAAATACATATATTTATCCTCTTGATTCTGTTTCTCTGGAGAACCCTGACTAATACAACCTCTCAGCTCCAAACACCACTGTTAAGTCCAGATCCTGTGTATTTTCCATCCCAGGAGATGATGAGGCTCAATTCACTCAAGGGGACAATGGGCCAAGAGTAGGAATCTCTGACTTCCTTTTGCTGTGCTGAGGGCACATCCCTGGCTCTCTGTGGAATCACTGAGGATTTGCCCTGACTGAACATGTAGGGGGCTCCTGAAGGATCAGGACTTCCCCCACACAGTGTAACAGGCATGGGTGTGTGTCCTCAGGGGTCATGTTCTCCCCTCACCCACTGAATGCCCCCCACACTCTGAAAATGGTGCTAAGGTAACCAACAATTCAGTTGATGGTTCATGTACTGGCCACTCACTCCCAAAGGACAAAACTTTCTTTAAAAGTTTAGCCTATTCCCGTGGTGTTAACGTTATTCAGAGCTTTTCTTAATTATTCTGAAAGCACTGAAGGATTGTGAGGTGTCCACAAGTCCTAATTGTGAGCATTTTGGGGTGCAAGTATTCAGTAATATTAGTTGATAGCAACTCTTTGTGTAAATACATTTTACTCAGCTTTTGAGGCTCAGAGGTGAGCCCTCAGGGTGCACGCTTTTCATTTGAGTGACTAATTTTTCTGTGTCTTATAGTTTCTTCTTTTATTGAATGGGACTCCTAGTTTCTATCCTACTGGAAGGATTAAATGATTAAATGAGATGACCCCGTGACACAAGTAAAGCACCCTCTCTAGTGCTGACTGTTGGGTTTCAGGGCTGGACATCTAAATGATGTAGGAATGAGAAGGGGCTGATACATCAGCCATGTATGCTTTTGTAGGAATAGGCTGAAATCCCATGTGATTGAGTTTACTAATCTAGGAATGAGAATAAAACAAAGTGTATGAAATTAGAGAACACTTTAATAATCCAGGTAAATGCTTTAAAACAAACAACTGGGATTGTGTGTGTGGTGTGTGTGTGCATGCACATGCACTCACACACACATGTGCATGCATGTGAATGTGTGTGTGTACATCAAGATTTAGGGGAGACATTTTTGAATTTTAGTACAATTTGTTTTAAAGCAATGGTCTGTAGGCTATGAGGTTTATCAGATTCTAGGTTTTACTACTGTTCCTGGTTCATGGCTGGCTCAGTTCAAGTCCATTGGAAGCCCAGTTAGGTAGAGATTGCTGAAGAGAAGAAGGAGAGTATAATAGGCTGAATCACGTCATATGTTGAATTCCCAGTGCCTCTGAAGGTATTTGGAGATAAGACATATAAAGAGGTGGTTAAGTTAAAATGAGGCTGTTGTGGGGCAGGGGCTAATTCCACTGGTGTACTTATAAAAAGACATTTGGACACAAAGAAAGACACCAGAGACACCAGGGATTTGCAGGCAGAGAAAAAAGGTCACGTGAGGACTCAGAGAGAAGGCAGCCATCTGCAAGCCAAGGAGAGAGGCCCCAGAAGAAAGCAAACCTACAACACCTTGACCTTGGACTTCCAGCCTGTGGCCTTCCAGAACTGTGAATAAATACACTTCTGTGTCGAAGCCACCCAGTCTGTAGTATTTTGTTATGAAAGCCCGAGCAGACAAATACAGAAAGAGAAGGCAGAGCTGAGAGGAACTGCCTGCAGATTTCTGTTCACAGAGTGGCAGCCTTTGTCAGGGCTGGTTAATAGCAGCAAACCGGCACCCTCCAGAATTCAGGGTTTGGATAACAGGAAGAGGATAAATCTCCAATAAGTTAAAAGTAAATTGAAAAAGAAGAATTCACCATCACTTCTGTCAGGAACCCATTCCAGCCATTTTTTTTTTTTTCCCAGAGATTTTGGCTCCATCTTTCCCTTCTGCCTCGGATAAACCTTTCAAACACATTCATGTAAATGTTAGTTACAGTGTAGGGTTCTCCTAGAACGTCCAGGTTGACTGCTTGAGACTAGCATGTGCAGATTGTCTGCCTTCATTGATCTGCACTTCAGAGCCGGAGAAGGGCGAGGATGATTTAATGCCTATTTTCAAAGAATGAAGGATCTTTTTTCAGCTCTTGCCAAGGAACAGACAAAGGAAACAGGCTTCACCTGTAACACAAGGGGTTCCTGTTAGACAGGAGGGAGATTTATCAGGCAAGGAGACTGAAGACACATGAGTGAGTTATGGTATCTCCTTACCTGGAGATCTTCAGAGTAAGATGTACTTCCCTCTGACAGGAGCAGTCAGGGTGGGGGTGGGGGTGGGATTCCCAGCTGGAGGCAGAGAAATGGACTTCAGTGACCTTTGAAGGTTGAGTCCAGCCTTCTGAGTCAAGGATAAACTAAGATGGGAAAATTTATGGTTTTGACATCTATCATGTGAATAAATCTGAGCCTCTGCTGGAGTTTCAGGAGAAAGAAGATTCCGGAAGTCTGCTCTGGCTTGATCTCTCTATCAGTCAGGGTTCCAGCGGGAAACAGATGGCACATACAGCTCAAGATGGTTTGAGAGGGGTTTAATACAGAGACTTTTTACAAAAGCGTGGACAAGATGTAGGGAGAATACAAAGGATAGAGCAGTACCCCCAGAGCTTTTACTACCCCACGCCTGAAGGAATGAGAGAGAGAGCAGTTACTAGAAAGTAGAAGGAGAAATTCGGGTCCAGAGAATCTTGAGAGGAGCTGTGACCTTCTGTTGAGGAATGCCACCAGCCAGAGGGGAACCAGAGGGAGCCAGGGAAATACGATGAGTCTTTAAAAAGTTCATGGAAAATGTGTATTAGGAAAAAACTATGCTTGATTTTCAAAATGTTTACACCAAAATAAACTCATACTAACTTGTTATAACATGACTGAATAGGATCTAGTTTGAGGCACTAAGAAGGATAAGACATCGATTTGAAAAGAGCCCCTATCAGAGCAGCATGAATTCTGCTAAAATGAAAGCAAGAAGAAACAATGTATGGTGAAGCTTGGATGGAAGAATGGTGAGATCATTGATGCATCACAAAAAGCTTATGGGAACAATGCCTCCCAACAATCAGCAGTCTAGGCCAAGCATGGTGGCTCACTCCTGTAATCCCAGCACTTTGGGAGGCTAAGGTGGGCAGATCACTTGAGGTCAGGAGTTCAAGACCAGACTGGCCAACATGGCAAAAGCCCATCTCTACTAAAAATACAAAAATTAGCTGGGCGTGTGGTGCACACCTGTAATCTCAGCTACTCAGGTGGCTGAGACATGAGAATTGTCTAAACCCGGGAGGCAGAGGTTGCAGTGAGCCGGGATTGTGCCACTGCACTCCAGCCAGGGTGACAGAGCAAGACCCTGTCTCTAAGAAAAAGAAATCAGCAGGCTGCAAATGGATAACTCATTTTAAGAAGGAAAGAAACGATGTTGAAGATGAAGCCCACAGTGGCTGACTGTCCACATCAATTTCTGAGGAAAAAAATTAACCCAGTTCATGCTCTAAATGAGGAGGACCAATGATTAACAGCACAAAAATAGCCGACCTCACAGACATCTCAACTGGTTCAGCTTACACAATTCTCCGAGTGAAAAATTAAAGTTGAGTCACCCATTCCATTCAATGGGTGCCAAAACCCTTGTGCCCAGATCAGCTGCAGACAAGAGCAGAGCTTTCAATGGAAATTTTAAACAAGTGGGATGAAGGTTCTGAAGCACATCTTTGAAGAACTGCAACAGGAGATAAGACACAGCTTTACCAGTATGATCCTGAAGACAAAGCACAATCAAAGCAATGGCTACCAACAGGTGGAAGTGTGCCAGGCACCGTGAATCACACCTGTAATCCCAGCACTTTGGGAGGCTGAGGTGGAGGATCACTTGGGTCCAGAAGTTTGAGACCAGCCTAGGCGACATAGCAAGACTCCATCTCTACAGAAAATAGAAAAAATTAGCCAGGTGTGGTGGTATGCTCTTGTAGTCCCAGGTATTCAGGAGGCTGAGGTAGGAGGATTGCTTAAGCCCAGGGAGCAGAAGCTTCAGTCACCTGTGATCATGCCACTGTACTCTGGCCTGGGGAACAGAATGAGACCTTGTCTCTCAAAAAAAAAAAAAAGTAAAGAAGTAGAAGTGGTCTAGTCAAAGCAAAACTGTTCTAGTCAAGAGCAAAGGTCATGGCAATGGTTTTTTGGGGATGCTCAAGGCATTTTGCTTATTGACTTTCTGGAGAGACAAAGAACAATAACATCTACTTACTATGAGAGTGGAGAAAGTTAACCAAAGTGTTCACAGAAAAATGCTCAGGAAAGCTTCACCAGAGAGGCCTTTTCCAGCACAACAGTGCTCCTGCTCATTCCTCTCCTCAAACGGGGCAAACTTTGTGAGAGTTTCAGTGGGATATCATTGGGCATCCACATCACGGTCCTGCTTTGACTCTTTCTGACTTCCTTTTGTTTCCTAATCTTAAAAAAATATTTAAAGGGCACCCATTTTTGTCCTGTTAATAATGTAAGAAAGACTGCACTGACATGGTTAAATTCCTGGGACCCTCAGTTCTCAAGGGATGGACTAAATGACTGCGATCATCCCTCACAAAGATGTCTTGAAATTTATGAAGCTCACGTTGAGAAACAAAGTTTGTATTTTAAAACAATTATTTTATCTTTTTTTGCAGCCTCCGCCTCCTGGGTTCAAGTGATTCTTCTGCCTCAGCCTCCCGAGTAGTTGGGATTATAGGTGCCCGCCACAACGCCTGGCTAATTTTTGTATTTTTAGTAGAGACAGGGTTTCACCATGTTGGTCAGGCTGGTCTCGAACTCGTGACCTCAAGTGATCTGCCCGCCTCGGCCTCCCAAAGTGCTGAGATTACAGGCATGAGCCACCGCACCCAGCCAAAAATTATTTTATCTTTTTAACATGACCCCCAGGAAAGCATTATTTTTATCTTTTAACTCCATTTCTCCAGGAACTTTCTGTAGTCCCTGCATAAATACCCTGACATCACTCTCCTCCAATCCACCATTCTGTCAGCGCTTCCAATCTGCTGATCTCAATTGAAAGCTCTAGGTCAGAGAAGCCCACTGATGTGGTCCACACAGGTCAGTCTTCCGAGCAGAGAGGATTTTGGAGAAGATTGGAGAGTGCATCTGGAGGGGCACACAGGATAATAGGATGCTCATCCCCTCACAGTATAGAGTGTATTTTATATGCCAAGCACTGTTCTGGGCATTGGGAAGAGGGCGGTCAACCAGACTTCATTTTGGAACAAATTGTGATTTACACATGTCAGGCACTACACCCCTTAAGCCTCTGAGTGTTTGCATTTTAAGGTCATACACAGGTAGCTATTAAGAAGGGAAGAAACACTACTGAAACTGTGCCTCAGTATCCTCATCTGTAAAATAGGGATAACAATGGTGTCTCTGCCACTGGGTTGGATTATATGTGCAAGTGTGTGGGAAGCACTTAGAATAACACACGGTGTGAAGTGAAGGGTTCACTCAGTGCATGTGGCTGTTGTTACTATTAGTGTCATTAGTATCTTCCAGCCAATCTCTTGAACTCTTCCTCATCCTTGAACTCCTAGACTGTGTATCTCCTCCCTGTAGCCTCCAGGGGCTCCCTGTAGAGCCCCTGCTCCTCCCTCTTCTCTCTTCCTTGGGCATGATTGGTTCCCAGATTACCTGGCCCATGATGTCTTCGTGGTTTTTGCAAGGCTGTGGCGTGATTATTCGGTTTGCATGTCTGCTTCCTCTACTAGATTCCATTCTTCTGGGATGATCTCAAATTCATCTCCTTCGCTAACCCCAAGTTCTGGCACATGGGAGCTACTCAATGATGTTTGTTGTGTTTGTTTTGAATGACTTTACAGAATGAGCTTTTGTAGTTTCATAGAAAAGAGTTGGCCCATGTCAGGGTTCAGAGCCATGGTGGTGGAAGTGGAAGCAGCAAGTGAGCTAGAGATGAAGTGATCTTAGAGCCTTCAAGAATCTAGCCCCACTGCTTCCACACAGCCTGACCAGGGAATTCTTTCTTCCCTGGCTAGCAACTGACTTCTGGTCCCCAAGAGCACATATTCTCAAAGGAAAGAAGCCTATTGAACAAGGAGGCATGAACAGAAACACTTTATTTTTATTTTTATTTTATTTATTTATTTTTTTGAGATGGAGTTACTCTCTTGTTGCTCAGGCTGGAGTGCAATGGCGTGATCTTGGCTCACTCTAACCTCTGCCTCCCAGGTTCAAGCGATTCTCCTGCCTCAGCCTCCTGAGTAGCTGGGATTATAGGCATGCACCACCATGCCCAGCTAATTTTGTATTTTTAGTAGAGAAAGGGGTTTCTCCATGTTGGTTAGACTGGTCTAGAACTCCCGACCTCAGGTGATCTGCCTGCCTCGGCCTCCCAAAGTGCTGGGACTACAGACGTGAGCCACCGTGCCTGGCCTATTTTTATTTTTTGAGACGGAGTTTCCCTCTTGTTGCCCAGGCTAGAGTGCAATGGCATGATCTCCACTCACTGCAACCTCCACCTCCTGGGTTCGAGCGATTCTCCAGCCTCAGCCTCCCAATTAGCTGGGATTACAGGCGCCCACCACCACACCTGGCTAATTTTTTTTTTTTTTTTTTTTTTTAGTAGATACGGAGTTTCACCATGTTGGACAGGCTGGTCTTCAACTCCGTCACCTCAGGTCATCTGCCTGACTTGGCCTCCCAAAGTGCTGGGATTACAGGCGTGAGCCACTGTGCCCAGTCCAGACAGACTTTAATCTTGAGTTTTCAACCAGAATTATTCATCTTCCCTGTTAAGGTGGAAATAGTTTTTTTGTCTGTTTTTTTGTTTGTTTGTTTTTGTTTTTAATATCAGTAGAAGCTGACAAAGGACAGGGTCCTTTGTCATTCAGTAGGCCCTCCCTTAGCCTTCGCTTTCCCTGTTAGATGAAACAATACAAAACAAAACAAAAATCAGCAGCATAGAACTGTCCTGAAGCAGCTTGCCCTTTGGGCCAGTTATTTGCCCACAGTTTCCAGAGAGTCAGGACACAAACCCAAGGGCAAGTCCCTTAGTCCTTCCCATGATTTATCTGTGAAACAGTCTTGGGATTTCATCCCATAGGGTCAACTTCCAAGGTCAGGAATATGCTTCCAATTTTATGGTAGAACATGCTGAATTGTGTATGCCACATTGATATAATCCACCAAATCCTGTGAAAAACTCTTCAGGACAAATGACCCAGTTTCTCAAGCAAATTGTTACAAGGAAAATACCAGAGAGGGAAGGAGACCCTACAGTTATAAAGACTTAAGGCATATACAAACCATTTAGTGAATGTTTCTTATTTGGACAAACTATTTTTAAAAAATTATAAGATAGGAGTTTTTGAACAGACTGGTTATTCAGTGATATTAAGAAATTATTGTTACTATTTTGAGGTATAAAATGGTATTTTGAGTACGTCTTATAAAAGAATTCTTGTCTTTTAGAGATATAGTCTAAAAATTTGGGGACGAAATGAAATTTATGGATACCTGATATTTGTTTTAAAATAACCTGGGGGTGGTCAGTCAGGAAGTGGCTGGGGTGTAAACGGGGGAGCCATTGATTACAAGTGATGGACGATAGGTACATATTAATTTGTTCATCAATCTCTTTAATTTGTACATGCATGATATTGTTCCATAATAAAAAATTTAATGTGATAGTAGAGATAAATGTGCTTTTTATTTGTTTTACCAGGTTTCCTATAAAAAGACTTAAAATCCATACTGAGTGTGCCAGATGGAAAGCAAATTTACAATGGCCTAATGTGTTTCAGAGATGAACCAGAAGGTATTTCATTCCTCATAAGTCAAGGGAAGCCCTGCTTCTCCGCCAGTGGGATCTTTACTATTTAGCCATGTTCTTTTACCAAAGAGGCAGAACGTGGATGGTTAAAATGATGACTGGTGCCAGTCTCTTGGCCTCCTTTCCTTGCCTGTTAAGAGTGGATTTCCCGGCCGGGCGCGGTGGCTCACGCCTGTAATCCCAGCACTTTGGGAGGCCGAGGCAAGTAGATCACGAGGTCAGGAGATCGAGACCATCCTGGCTAACACGGTGAAACCCTGTCTCTACTAAAAATACAAAAAAATAGCTGGGTGTGGTGGCGGGCGCCTGTAATCCCAGCTACTTGGGAGGCTGAGGCAGGAGAAGGGCGTGCACCCAGGAGGCGGAGCTTGCAGTGAGCCGAGATCGCACCATTGCACTCCAGCCTGGGCGACAGAGCGACACTCCGTCTCAAAACAAACAAACAAAAAAAAAAAAAAAAAAAAAAAAAGAGTGGATTTCCCTGGCAGTCAGAATACCGTTAAGGAAAATACAAACCAGAGCCAGGTGAGGCCATCTCTCTGGGTTCCATCCAATCTAGTCTGGTGCCCGATGCTTGGAATTGTGCTTCTCAGCACATTCTCATCCATGTTCATTGAGCCATTCGGACTTCTCTCTTGAGGGAGGCAGAGATTGCTGCGTTCATTTTACCGGTGAAGAAACTGAGACTCCGAGGTGCAGTAACTTGCTTAGTGTTATGTGGCCAGTAAGTGGTGGAAGTGGGACTCAAAATCCAGTCCTCTAGTTTCAAGCCAGGCTCCTTTCCACTATACAATACTGCCCTCCAGGGTGCCAGGGTTCTTCTCCTTGGAGAGGCACCAGACTAATAGTTGTTATGTGGTTGATACTGCGCTGGGTGTTTTACATGCATTAATTTCATTTAACCCTTTTAATGACCTTATAAGGTAGTTACTATCCTTATTCCCATTTTACATATAGGGAAATTGAGGCCCTTAATATTGCAGAACTAATAAAATGACAAACCAAGACTTAAGCCCAGTGTGTCTGGTCTCAGATCCTGGATTCATTTTTTTTCCTTTCATATTTCTATTAACTCTTAAAAATATTTTGAGTTAGCCAGTATGGTGGCTCACGCCTGTAATCCCAGCTGAGGTGGGTGGATTGCCCGAGGTCAGGTGTTCCAGACCAGTCTGGACAACATAGTGAAACCCTGTCTCCACTAAAAATACAAAAAATTAGTTGGGTGTGGTGGTGGGCACCTGCAATCCCAGCTACTAGGGAGGCTGAGGCTGGAGAATGGCTTGAACCTGGGAGGCAGAGTTTGCAGTGAGCCGAGATTGCGCCATTGGCGCCATTGCACTCCAGCCTGGGCAACAAGAGTGAAACTCCATCTAAATATATATATATATTTAGATATATCTATATCTATATCTATCATCTATCATCTGTCTATCTATCTATCTATCTATCATCTATCTATACATATCTTGGTTTGTCATTTTATTAGTTACATATAGGGCCTCAATTTCCCTATATGTAAAATGGGAATAAGGATAGTAACTACCTTATAAGGTCATTAAAAGGGTTAAATGAAATTAATGCATGTAAAACACCCAGCGCAGTATCAACCACATAACAACTATTACTCTGGTGCCTCTCCAAGGAGAAGAACCCTGGCACCCTGGAGGGCAGTATTGTATAGTGGAAAGGAGCCTGGCTTGAAACTAGAGGACTGGATTGTGAGTCCCACTTCCACCACTTACTGGCCACATAACACTAAGCAAGTTACTGCACCTCGGAGTCTCAGTTTCCTCACTGGTAAAATGAACGCAGCAATCTCTGCCGCCCTCAAGAGAGAAGTCCGAATGGCTCAATGAACATGGATGAGAATGTGCTGGGAAGCACAGTTCCAAGCATCGGGCACCAGACTAGATTGGATGGAACCCAGAGAGATGGCCTCACCTGGCTCTGGTTCGTATTTTCCTTAACGGTATTCTGACTGCCAGGGAAATCCACTCTTTTTTTTTTTTTTTTTTTTGAGACGGAGTGTCGCTCTGTCGCCCAGGCTGGAGTGCAATGGTGCGAGATATATATATATATATATGTGTGTGTGTGTGTGTGTGTGTATATATATATATATGTATATATATGTATATATATATGTATATATATATACACACATACATTTTTAAGTTTTGGCTGGGTGCAGTGGTTCACGCCTATAATCCTGGCGGGCACTTTGGGAGGCTGAAGTGGGCAGATCACTTGGGGCCAGAAGTTCAAGACCAGCCTGGGCAACATGGCAAAACCCCAACTCTACTAAAAATATAAAAAATAGCTGGGCATGGTGGCGCACACCTGTAATCTCAGCTACTCAGGAGGCTGATGCACAAGGATCAAGAATTGCTTGAAACCAGGAGGTGGAGGCTGCAATGAGCCAAGACTGTGCCACTGTACTTCAGCCTGGGCAACAGAGTAAGATTCCATCTCAAAAAATTCTTTTAAGTTTTAAATTGATACATAATAATCATATATATTTATGGGGTACATGTGTTCTTTCAATGAATGTATACAATGTGTAATGATAAAATCAGGCTAATTGAAATATCGATCACCTCCAATGTTGATCATTTCTTTGTGTTGGGAACATTCAAAACCCTCTCTTCTAGCTATTTTGATATGTACAATATATTATTGTTAGCTACATATATCCTACTACGCTATAAGAACACTATAACTTATTTATCCTAAGTGTAATTTTGTACCCATTAGCCAACTTGTTATCCTGCACACACCGCTTTTCCTGCCTCTGGTCACCACTGTTCTACTCTCTACAAGATCAACTTTTGCTTTCACATGAGTGAGAACATGCAGTATTTGCCTTTTTGCGCCTGGCTTATTTCACTTAACGATAATGTCCCCTGGGCTCATCCATGTTGCTGCAAATGGCAGAATTTCATTCTTTTATGGCTGAATAATATTCCATTGTGGATATATACCACATTTTCTTTATTCCTGGACTAATTTTGTATGCTACTTCCTCCTACTTAGTTGAGGCAGGTGTTAGATGAAAGGTTTCAGAATTCCCCCAAATAGAGGCCTGAAAATGATCAGGAAGAGGAAGAAGGTTTATGCCAATGGTGCACTGAAAGAATGCCTTATGTCTACATTTTGGAATCATTTGTTGAGTTAGTTACAGCATTCACATAGCATTTACAATATGCCAAGCCACTGTTAACCACTTTACAAAATTTAACTCATCAAAAATCTACATCAGCCCTATGAAGTAGTTCGGTGCTGTTATAATTATTCCCATCTTACCAATGGGGAAACTGAGGCACTTGCCAACACCACAGAGCTAATAAAATGCAGAGCCAGGATTCAACCCAGGCTGACTGGGTCTGAGTCCATCGTTTTGATCACTGCATTACCTTCCCTTTGAGCCCAGTATTACACACCACTTGTCATAGAGTATGTCAATAAAGGGGTGGTGTCGGCTGACTTTCATTCCAATTTCTTAATCCCAAATACTCAAGACTGAAATAAGGTAGTGACTGATTTGGTCTAACTTAAACTCTAAGGCATGTACATGTGAAATTGCTCTATTCACTTGAGTCAGCAATGTGTTTTGAGGACTGACTATACCTTTCTGAGAGCTACAATAAGAGAGAACATATTCAATTTAATGGGATAAATCACCTATAGCACTTGGCACATGAAAGAGCTCAATATGCAGTGGCTATTAATACCCGTATTAATCTCTCGCATCTATCCACTTCTCTTACATTCTATCATGGGCACCACAGCCTGGGAGTCTGTCATCTCTTCCATTGCTGCAGTAGCTTTCTTTGGCAGCCCTCTCCACTCAGGTCCTACTTCTCTCTCCTCTCTTAACTAGGCTGCAGTAATGTTCTCTAAGCCTTCCGCGGGGAAGGATTATCCTTCTAGGTCCTGTCAAACCCAGGCATGGCCTGGTGACTTGTTCTGGCCAGTGAAATGTGAGCGGAGTGGCGTGTGTCAATTCCAGTTGGAATATTAAAAGCCAGCTATGTGCCTTGCTGACACATCCAGCAGTGGTCCAGATGGTAGCTACTTTTCACCCTGGGTCCCGGAATGAGATCCTGTGAAGAGGCCTCAGGCAACCTTTGATAGACATGTAAAATCGGTGGTAAACCTTTATTGTTGCGAGCCACTGAGATTTTGGACTTGTTTGTATGACAGCACAGACCTAGTCTAATCTGATTGATACATGTTTTATAAAGCTCTTAGAAGGTAGGACAAACCTGCCTGCAAGGTCCCACAATGTCTTCACCTAAATATCAAGCTTCATTTCGTACTGCATTTCTTCTCCGTTTCTCTCTTCATCCAAACAAGCCTTCTTCTATCCCCTCACAGGTGCCGAGCTCCATTTGACTCAGGTTCTTTGTACATGCTGGTTTTTCTGCGCAGAATATTTTCTTCCCTCTTTTGCCTGGTTAATTTCTACCTATCATACTAGTCTCATTAGGCTTTCATGGCAATGTATATCCTTTTTTAAACAAATTTATTTTGAGACAGGGTCTCGCTCTGTCACTCAGGCTGGAGTGCAGTGGCACGATCGTGGCTCACTGCAGCCTCGATCTCCCAGGTTCAAGCCATCCTCCCACCTCAGCCTCCCAAGTAGCTGGGACCACAGATGCACACCACCATGCTCAGCCAATTTTTAAATTTTTAAATTTTTGGTAGAGATGGGGGTCTCCCTGTGTTACCCAGGCTGGTCTCGAACTCTTGAGCTCATGGCATCCTCCTGCAACAATGTATAACATTTATGGCACATGTCACAACCACATGCTTACCTCTGCTGCTGTTCAAACATTATTTGAATGTTTCGTTTGTCCACTAGAATGCATACTCTATCAGCATAGATGCCCAATCTTTACTATTTCTAGCCCCTGGCATGGTCTCTGGTACATAGTAGGCACTCAATAAGTATTTATTGAATAAATAATTAATAGAGTCAATATATTGCAGTGATTATAGGATGGAGGTTGGGGCCGGATTTCTTGGATTCAAATCCCCCTTTGTCAATTACACACCATATGGCCTTGGGTAAATTATTTAATCTCCCTCTGCCTTGGTTTCCTCATCTATAAAAGGATAAAAGCAGTACCTCTCTCCCAGGGTGGCTGTGAGGTTTGAATGGACTGAGATATGTCTGCTGTTATTTATGTATCGTCTTGTCTCCAAGCTGTCTCATCTATATTCTGCTTCGTGGGGTTGGGGCTGATATTTTTCTCATTACCTTTTCCAGACTCCCTTGCCTGACGGCTACCATTAGGTCCAGCCCAGGGGAGACACAGGCAGGAGCCTAGGAGGAGGAGGAGGAAGAGGGCGAAGGGATTTCTTTCTGGTTTCAGTTTCTGTCCACAATGCCACCGCAGCAGAGAACAGCTGCACCTGCAGCCTCCAGCTCCTTTGGGCACTCTGGCACCAGCCACACCTCACCTCCTCAGAAAGTACTAATCTCCCCTTCATTCTCTGCAGTGATTCTAGCACCAGCACCCCATGTCTTCTCAGAGGTCTGGCCACTGGCCATGTGCTGTCCCCACCTTTGTGGTGACCACCTCCCTCAGAAAAGACCCAAATATCAGCTGTGTGGTGTCCCTCCTTGAGTGCCTAGGTTCTGGTAAGCCCACCTTTCCCTTCGGTTTCCCCAGCTCCAGGGGTAGTGGCTGTATCCTGCAGTTACTAATACCTAGGCAACTTTACAGCCCCTGTTGGAAAACCCATTGAATCTTATTCCTGATTCCCGATTGGGCCCCAACTGATACAATCTATACAGCACTCAGAACAATATCAGGCACACAGTAAACACTATGTGAGTGTCAAATCCTGTATTTGTCCAAGTAGGTGAAAAAAGTAACACTGCCCATCAGAACACAGCCAAGGATGCTATGTGCCTGACAAACCCCATGGTGCATAAAGACCATCTTCTGTGGGAGCCTCCAGTCCACACCCGTGACTGTCACTCAATCACCCAGGCATGCTGTAAAGCAAATGATGACACAGCTTCCATAGCATTAGCAATTTTTTATTTTTCCTTTTTTGTTGCATAGGAAATGCAGTACTTGCTTCCAGTAATTGTATTGTAATGTGAGAAGGTGGTAGCACTAATGGTTGAATACAAGAGTTAAACTAATCCACACCAGCTCAAAAAACCTGTGGAGATTTAGTTGAATAAGAATGGACGCCCACAGTGATTCTCAACCAATTACAAATTTTCACAGAACACAGTAAAACTAAAAGGGTAACTATGAGAGTCAATACAAGTATACTAGAGGCACAGGGGGCCCGGCTCATAAAAACAGATTTCAGACCAAGTTATTAACACGGGGGGTGTTTCGTTTCATAACAGATCTCTTACCATCACTGGAAGTGTTCCATCCCCTCCCCCTACAATTTGAAATGGAAAACAGAGGTATTCCGAGTGGACAGATTTCCATGTGTGGTGGGAAAAGTCCCCAGTGAATTTTGCTCTGGTGAGAGGGCAGGGCTAAGGGTGGGGCGGGGGATCAGGGATTTGCCTTTGAGAGTCTTCCTAAAGGACCTCCTAGAACCTGATAAAGCTCCTAGTCTAGGTCTAGTTAGTATCTCAGTGGCGAGGCTACCAAATGCCTTCGCAGTGCAGAGACGATGGTCTGAGACCAGGGAGAAGGCACCGAGCCGTTAGTTCTCTCAAGCCTCTGTCCCAGCGGAGCTAGCGGCCTTATGACCTTCGGTTGCAATGTCAAAAGAAAAAAAAACAAACAAAAAAAAAAGCCAAAAAAAAAAAAAAAAAACCCAAAAAGGCTAACTTACAGACTATTATCAAAAAATAAAAATTTAAAAAATAAGAACAACACAAATAAGTCAAAGGAAAAATAAAAGCTTTTTTCATTTTGAGAAGTTGAGTATAAAAACAGCAGGAAAAATGGCCCAATACATTGGACACTATTTGTCCTTGAAACCACTGCAGAGATACAAAAGTTCACATTGTATGACCTGGTGGGTGTCTTCCACCATGAAGGTGCTCTGGTTAGATTAGAGGTAGCACTTCCACTGTATGCTCTTGTGGTTCAGACACATTTTGGGAAAGTTTATTTTTCTGAATCAAATAGGCGAATGCATCTACATGTAAAACTCAGGATACCAGGCACACAGATGAGGTCCCACCCCCACACACTGTCTCCCTGTTCTCACGACCAGCTGTGGGTGGTCCCCCTTATCTTTCTAAGCATTTCCGCTATCTGCTCCCCACATACCATCCCCCTAATCTGGGAAAGGTAACTCTTTGGGGAATAAAAGGCAGATGGGTGCTGGTTTAGGGAAAAAAATGAGATGAAATTTATTTAATTTGGGAAGCAAGTAATTTCAAATTTAGACCAAAAAAAGTATATTAAAAAAATCCCGTGTTAATAGCAAACTTCTTTTTCTTATGAATCGGGCCCAAAGTTTGTACAGAGTTTTATTTTTGAAGAAAATATTGCAACTGTGCATGAAACTAAATAGCCATGTGATTTCTTACATTTTTTTTCTTATTTTTCCTTTTAATATGAGGAGGTCTGGTGTGAAGACAGATCAAGCATGGGTACCTGGCTTGAACATTGTCCATTAAGAAAATGTATCAGTCTCCGCATAGCATCAGTCAAGGGTCAAGGAAAATGCCCCTGACTTGCAAATGTTCTCAGAGTGTCTTCGCAGCACAGTTCTTGAAATTCAAATAGTCGTTTTGAGACAAAAATCTCGCCAGGTACTGATTTCTGAAATCAAACACCCATGCTTGTCCCCTAGGAAAAAGAAAACAAAAAACAAAAACAAAAACAAAACACGAGTAATACTGAATTTAAGTAAATGTATACCTCCAAAATACTGAAAACAGCCGAAATCAAGAAAAGACAGAATTTGCGTTCTCAGTGAAATACCTTTAAACCTAGCTGACAAGAACCAAGTCGGAAAAAAAGACTAACATAACTTTGAGTAATATTCATACAGTTCACTAAGCATTATGGAATCGCATGCATTAATATTGTACGGTTATTTTACATCACCTATACCAGAAGGTCCTGACTGACAGACAGCGAAGGCTACCGGTGTAGAAAAATCTTACTTCAGAAGAGCAATATAATACAGATTTCACAGGCACTACATTTTAATATATCAGGTATTATGCTGGTTTTCTTATAATTCTTTCTGTCCTAAAGCTGGCATTATAACAATGACCAAAAAGGCAAGGATTGAAGTAAACGGAAAGTAGATACCAAAGTTGATATAGTTTTTTTCTTCAGATAGATTAGTGCATAGTTCTCATGCAGATAAACACTGCTATGCATTTACACTGTTGGAAAGCAGAGTGAATTGAGCCCAAGTTGTCACATTTGTGTAAATCATTTTGTCAGCCTATAATAGCACCATGTAATGGATTTGCATTAAACATTAAATTGATTTCAAAATTGGTGACACAGTATTCACTACAGTTAAGTGCTATGGAATAGCTTCAATGTTACCTGCTATATATCAAAGCAATTTTCATCCCACTGCTTTTTTATTGGAAAAAATAAAAGGAAAACATACACGACGCTAATTAGACGAATGCACAGCCTTGGACGTGGAGAAGGCAGAGCGGGTTTACTGTCAAACAGTAAATACATGCATTGACTTCAAGACAGAATTGGCCTTGGAAGCCTTTTTGAATGAAAGCTGAGCCGGTGGGCAGTGCAGCTTTCTGAGACTGTCTTTGGACAGATCTCGAAGGGTGGGTTTTGAGGTGCCACTGAAGCTCTCCTTACATTACTATGGTGGTTGTGTTTTAGATTTGTTCTATGGAGGCCTGCTACCAGAAATAAAAAAGAAAAGAAAGAATGAAGACAAGAAAGAAAACAGAAGCAAACAAAAAGAGAGAGAGAGAGAGAGACTCCACCACCACTATGGACAAAGATATTTCTAGAGACATGATGCAAAGTACATTAAATGACATTCTTAGAATCCCTTTCCCCTAAAAAACAAAAAAAATTCATAGAAAAAAAAGGTTTTTCCTTATCCAGGTTTTGTCAGTCCTTTATGCCACTGTAACTACAGGATTCAAAGCTTATGGGGCTAAGGGCTTGGAAAAAATCAAAGACAAACTTTTGGAGATGGGTCTTGCATATTCCTGTGGGCTGACTGAACACCGTGGCTCGGGGAAGTCTGGGTTCCTTCACACTTTGACTGTCAGAAAATGAAGATCACAAGCTCTGGGAGGTGTAACCTTGTCGGCCTGCCTAGAGCCCACACCTGGCGGCGGCAGGGACGGGCCTGGGGAGCGGGCTGACCACACGTAACTGTCATGCCAGGGTGTGAAGACACAGAACATCAGTTCAAACCTCAGAGGAAAGAGAAGGCTCTCTAGCATGGAGAGCGTGGCATTACTGGGAGGCCCTCTGCGCACGAATGATCAGAAAAGGGGCGTTTTGCTGGCAGGGACAAGGGCCAGAAGAAAAAGTCTACAGAAAAATGCTAAGAGTTAGTGTTCGTGCCTCTGACTTCAGTTCCCAAAGAAAAAACAAACAAACAAACAAACAAAAAACACAGAAATTTGAGGGACTCATCTTTGCCCAATCTTGTTAATGCCATTTGATGGGAAAGAAAAAATTCAAATGTGTCTCAGAGTCAAGGGCTGGGCCTTCAAATGCTGATAGCTCTCAGTCTGTCTGTCTACACACCCCAGGTAGCAAAGTCTTCCTCAAGCATCTTCACTATGCTTTTAAGCTAAAAAGCAAAAACACTGGCAACTGTTGGTGTTTCTTTTTTCCTGCTTGATCACAACTGAATAGTTTCCTGCTGCTTTCTGGACAATGAAACATGAACAAAAATGTAACTTCGTGTATTTAATACTTAACCCCTGTTCGTTATCACCCTAGACTGCCTCCCTAATGTTTTAAAGCCTTTAAAACATTTTTTCCTGCAAATCTGTTCAGAGTTCCCTAATTTTAGCTTCATCAAACTTAATACAACAAAATACCTTCAAAAATACAGCATACCTGTAACGTCCATTTACAATGGTTTTTCAGTAGACCTATACTTCTCAAGCATAGGAATATGCTATACCATTGAGAGAAAAAAATAATTGTATTTAAATACTTACAAAAAAAAAAAAAAAAAGGAAACAGGAAAGTTTTAAACTTAAATCCAGTTCCCAAAGGGGGGGTAAAAAGAAAGAAAAGCAATTCTATGAACGCTGCCTTTATAATGAACGATCAGAAATTTTACTAGGCTAATTTGACAGAAATTTTTCCTCATTTAAACAACATTACAAAAGTCCTGCATTATAAAATAGGGTAGAATAAATCAGTGTAATCAATAAAACTATACAACAATACAAATTACATATCTTCTGAGCGGGCAGTTTATTCTCTCTCTTTGCAGTCATGACTACAACATGCTCACTAAAAACAACTAAAACTGCCCAAACTATTGCTTAGTTTGTTTTGTTTAAAAAAGGGTGCAATTTTATTGTATATACAACCAATTTACTGGTAATACCTTGGCTTATTGCAAGGTTCTGACAAAATGTTTGTCTAGGCTTTTTTCCCTTCACTGTGAAGCACTGAAAGCTGCTATTTTTTCTTTTTTTTTTTCTTTTTTTCCTTTTTTTCATTTTTTAGTGCACATATGTCATAATAAAGTAATGCCCAGCTAAGTGCTATAGGGGAAGGCAAAGTATGCTGGCTGGCTATAGGAAGTGACACCATACACTGACAATCACACCATACAACAGCGCCAAACGACTATTCAACCACTTATCAGACACATATGAAAATCCAAAATGTTTTATTTTATTTTTTTTTCCTTAAATAGAGATAACCAGTAAACAATTTTCAGAACTTGGAAGTTTAAAAACGTGCATATAAAAATGGGCATTATATACTTTTTATTGAATGTGGATTGACTGCAGTCTGCTAAGAAAAATGGGGTGTGGGAGCTGAAGAAAAAGGAAGTTGTCTTTTTTTTTTTTAAGGCTTGCTTGTGAAAGGAACAGTTGTAAAAACAAAATTGCTTGAAGCAGGGTCAGCTTAGTGCTTCACAGTTTGACTGCTTCTCTAAGAGGAGCCCTTCCTGCGCACGTGCATTCAAAAATCACAAAAAAGTACAAAGACAAACACCTAAAACACACTGCGTCAAGTGCAGCACCGACTTTGGTCAAATAAAAAAAAATAAAAGAAAAATTAATAATTGCTAAGCTTTTCTACATGATATAAGCAGGTATTGCATATTTTCATATATCTGGGGGAAAATAAAGGAAGACTCCAAATAAATTGTAAAATGCAGCAACATCCAAAATACTGATATTCTAAGCATCTACAGATCTCAGAATAGCACTGCCACCGACCGTACAGGACAATAAAGACTACTCCTATCTGCGGAACAACTAGCTTTCTATTTAGTTCTAGATGTTGAAACTGACGATGGCTGACATAAAAGTCACATTTACAAAAAGTGTCTCCAAATGCTTGACTAGGGAAAAACCCCTTTCAATAGAGGAGCATGTGCAACAATTCCACAAATAATCGCTATCCAGGGCAAGGCACATTGATATGGAATTTTTGTTTTCGTGCAAATTAAGGAAAAAAAACAAAACAAAACAACATTGTTTCGGGGAGAAAGATGAGGAGCAAAGTGTCTTCCCAAGAATTTCAGTTACTTGATTGTATAGGACAGTAGTAGAACCCTTCTGAAGGGCTGAAAAACATAGTTTAAAGGCAAGTGCCTAGAGTAGGGATTACAATATTGTGTCTTAATGCACTCTACTTTATCCTACATTAACTATATAAAAATTAGTTACTAACACTAGAACATGCAGAGACTTTCTCTGATCAGCAGGGCTTGCCAACCAGAACGTATATATATGTATAGTATAGGAAACCTTCTTGAAGTCGCATGGGAAGCAAAGGGGTGCTTCGCTGTCTGGTAGAAAAATCACTTGCACTTTTTTTTGTTTTTGTTTCTGTGGTTTTTTGTGTTTTTTTTTTGTTTTTGTTTTTTGTTTTTTTTTTCATAAGATACAGGACGTTTGGGGGTGCAAACTTTTTTTTTTTTCCCTAACAAGTACCCTTGATCTGAATGGGCACCAGCATTTGTGTCAGTATTGGTTTCATCATTATTATTATTATTATTATTACTATTATTATTTCCCATAGCCCAGTTCAGGGATGCAAAGGTCTTTAAAACTTCTGGACAATCTCTGGTACAATGAGGTGTCTGATAACTGATAAATCCTATGATGCCAGATAGGTGTAAAATTTTTTAGAATTGGCGTAATCCATTATAGTGACTTCTAGCTTATAAAATTAACAGATACCATGATTTCATTTTAGTCATGTGCTTTGATAACAGAAAATAATTAATTAGCATTTAATGTAGTTAACATATTGTGGTAAAAGCACCATTAGATTTGTTTTTTTGTTTTTTTTTTTTAATTTCCTTCAGTTTTTAAAGGGATACAAGTTTAACAATAAAAAACATAAAAAGCAAAAATAGCTCCCCTTTTTCTTGCAAGGCTGTTTTTTACCCCAATAATTTAGAGTCCTGGGGTGAAAGGACTAGAAAAACAAAAATAGAATTTTCAACAATCTCTATCTTACAAAGATATTTAGCTATCCAATGAAATTGCACTTTACTCAATTCAAAATTCGATTGTTTTGATTGATTCCTGTCAGTTTCTGTCAAAACAGACCATCTTCCCCATTTCCATGTGAATTTTTGTGTCATTGTTGAAATTGTTGAAAAAATGTTGTTGTTGTTTTTTTAAATGTAAGTGCAGCATTTCAAAACTTTTAAAAAACTGAACAGTAGTAGTAGTAGTTTGCCATTTTCGGAATTGTTCTGCAATGTGAGTGGATTCATTGTCCTTGCGGGCCATGTTATATACTTAACTGCTGACTGCTGAACCAAAACAAACTAAAGGAACAAATAAAAAAGGAATATAACTGCATTTTCTTTTTCCAATATGTTACAGAAAAACATTGCCCTTTGACTGTCCCGTTATATATTGCAGATCTCAGCTACTACAAAAGATTTAGTTCTCCATGTGCCTCCTCAATGCTCAAGGAGGATCACACCTGTGTGGGTAAATTCATGAAATACTGTGAAACAGCCAGGCTCCGTAAGGAAAGTGTGTTACAACAGGAAGTCAGTGAGCAAGGGTAGTCCTCCGCTAGCCACGTCACCTAATGCTCACGCTACCATGGAAACACTTCAAATGTTACAAAGCCCAACCATTTCCAGCACCATATGAGAAATTACAACAGTCCCTAAAGTATTTTAAAAAAAAAAAAATCCCAAAAGGTTATGGCCTTTGCTGTTTGACCATAATGCTTGCTGTTTCCATGTACAAGTTGATTTGAATCGGTTTTTCTCCCCTTCCGCTGATAGTGAAGTTGTAACTGCGCTGGGTTGAGGTTGCGTCCATGTTACAGAGTTGAGAAGGGGTCAGGTGGTCTGTCTGGTGGATGGTGGGACGCTGCAACTTTTATCCCAGGTACCAGGACTGGAAGACAAAAGGAAAAATACAATTAAAATCACAATTTGTAAAAACGTGTGTTTTAGAAGTTGCCTTTTCAACCACGAAATCAGGATCTACGTTAGGGATGCGGGAGGGATTCGCTGGGAAAAGTAAAGGCACGACAGACAATAAAAAATCCTGTGACACTGAAACTGATCTTATTCTTCTGAAATTATAATTCATTGTCTTCATTGGGGTTTTCCAACATTCTGAGTATATCTTACAGAATGAGGTATTTCTGTTCACTTGAAATACAAATAAGGGTTTTGTTAACTGATGGGGGCAGTTATAGGAGGGCAGGAAACTTGACCATCTTGTTTATCATTCAATCCTCAGTGCCTAGCCCAGTGCCTGGAATACAGAACGTTCTTAATGAAGAAGAGTTGAATGAATGGAGAATGGGTAAAGGGAGGGGTTTCATGTGGCAATGAATGGCTACTCTGATGATTTTCAACATCTCCTTTCAAATGAGGTGCAGGCACTGAAGCCATGATTGTGACACTCTCCTAACAGGCCCAGATGGTCAATAGCGACACAAGAATAAGTGGAGGTAAGGTGGAAAAAGTGCTGGACCCAGTCTTCCTGGGTGATTTTGAGCAAGTCACAGTATTTTTCCTTCCTTACATATGTAGGATTTTATGAGGGAAGATGCTCCTTTCAGCCCAATATATCTAAAATGGTATTTTCAAACATGAAACATAATAACTAAGTAGGATCAAGATTTTACTCTATTAAGTACCACATTGTCCAAAGGAAAAATGAGGCCACTGCGTACCCTTCATTCATGCTTGCGTCCATGCAGCATTTATTTAGAGCCTTCTGTGTGCCTGCCAGGCCCAGTTACTGGTTACCTTTTCCTTTCGTAAATCCTTAGGTGGTTAGCTTTGAGCAATTGTCTGGTCATATATCACTTTATCTGCTGGCATTTCTTTTTCTGTTAGCTAGACAGAATGAGCAATTATGGACTAACATCAGAGTTAGTTTCTCCAGTGAAATAAAAAAGTATGTGGCTTTTGCCGACTTTTCTCTAGAGATACCTTGACAAATTCACTACATTTATCATTATTTACAGAAAAATTACCAAGGCCTAACAAAAACCAATGCTTCTGAATTCTTTAAGTTGACGGTATCAGAAAGGGTTCTAATTGGGTTGCTTCAGGCAGGTGAAGGATCATCCCTGTGGAAGAGATTCCATTAGGTAATGTAAGGACTCATTTGGTCCCCAGGGATGAATGGCTAAGTGATAGCTACATGGAGTTTGGTATAAGATTTCCTAGTCACACAAGCCACCTTTGATTTCCAGAGGAGTTTAAAAAACTTAAGCCCAGACCGAAAAACTACGCATCCTGTAGACTTTCAGATGTTATTCTTTGACCACATGCTTTGAGGAACACAATAAAGCCTCTTGTGTCCTGAAAGGAAATCAGCCTGGCAAATACACATGGCCTAAATCTAGCTGGACAAAAGAAAGAAGAGGGGGAGAGAAAGGAGAGAGAAAGCAAACCCCAAACTGTGTTTCTAGTAGGCCTCTACCTAACAGCTGACTCTCATCCACGTTAGAGCCGCTTCCTCCCTTCTACAAAACAGGTTCAAACTTTGGGTGCGGGGAATAATGCTTACTATTTCTGTTTTCACACTTTCTAAGTCGGTTGTGAAATTCCAGACTTCTTCAATCTGACACTAAGGTAGTTCTTGAAGCAAAGGCCTGGCACCCAGTGAGTCAGCAGGGGGAGCAGTTCTCCACACCACAGTTTCTGGACGAGACCTCAGGGCACTACAAAAATCTGCAGTGCCTCTGCACTTCTCTTAAAAAGCAAAGCAAAAAAAAAAAAAAAAAAAAAAAAGTTTCTTCACACATCTTACTATTCAGTATGTGCCTTGCCGACAAGGTTACCCCAGAGCAGCTCTGTAATCCTTCACTGAAATAGGCTTTATTGATTGCTCTGGTCTATTGTTCTCTTTTCAAGTCCCCCAAGTTCAAGTTCATCCTGGTGTTACATCATGTCTGGTTGCTAAGAGCAACCAGACAGACCCAGACGTGACTATCATTAGCAAGAAACCCTCTGCTCTCCTCCCACCAACCTTCCAGTGGTTCTGACGTAGCAGGCCCACTGCAAACACATTGAAGTATTTATTCTGCCTAATTTATGACCTACACAGCAAGCAAGACCCCCACTCCAAAAACCAACATTGTTGTATATTTAATTAATCTGTCTTTCTCTGGCACTTGGGAAAGTTAGACAAAGGACTAATTATTGTGTTTCACTCTGCACACTTTTCTTTTGGGGGGTGGATATTTGCATGGGAAAGAAAACTACAAGGCCCAGCATCAGCCCCCCACCTCTTTTTCTTTTTGCCCTATTGACATTTCATGAAATACTTTAGCTGCTTAAGGGAATTAGAAAAAAAAAATGCGATGTGAATGTTACTCCTTCTGAGTTGGTATTCAGTAACACAAATCAACTCATGACATGTTTAAATTTAAATGCTAACCACACACTCTCAGAGTTACTTTAAAGGTTAGTTTTTAATCAATAGAAGTTGCTGACTCCAGGTTTTTGGGCTGCACGCTGCAACTCTTGGGCTTTTGTCTAACGTTAAAGCTTTCAAACTTTTTTTTCCTTGAGATGATTTTAGCAATGATTTGCAGACACAGAAGGCTATTGTGCTCTGACCAGCAACATGTCAACAGAGGGGCTGAGCTGCCCTGTGGTGGGGTGTCAATATGACTCCTGAAGGCAGAGGTTGGGGGTCTTTAATAACCCGTGAAAAAACCTTAATTAACCCTTTCAGGCCCAAACCAAAACCTATTCTTAAACTTGTTCACTCCTATAATTTGACCATTAGTACTTATTTCAACATCACACTAATCTTCATGACAATTAACCCAGCTACTTGACCAAGGTTTTCCAGAACAGGAAGTTGGTTAGGGGAACCACACAGGGAATTTTTCTTTTTTGAAGTCTCTGATTAAATCATTTATTTGCAGAGATGGCAGATAGTTCTAATAATAATAATAATAATAATAATAATTCATACATCTCCCTGAATTTTCTCCTAATCAGTTTGTAAAGACACTCATAATCCCATTGGGATGAGTGTGACAGTCACACATGTGTAAGCCAGTCAATTCCTAGAAACTTCCATGAGCTGCTAGTAACACCAGATGGACAATATAATGTTTGTAAAAGCCTACTTTTCTCTTGTGATATTTTCTTATAATTTCTATTATGCAAGCAGTACAAGTTTTAGAACATTAATTGAAGAATGATTCTGCATATTTTCTTCTTGGGTCATATAGGAAAAACATAAAAGAAATCTGAGCTTATTCGATCGTTGGGGTTGAGCAGCAAATCACTGGGAAAATGGTAACACATTAAACAAAAACTATCCTCAGACATTTAGTGACATAAGCTTAGGTTTCATATGCTTTCTGCCTTCGTACTTTATAGCCCCTTAATCTACCCTACTGTATCCAAATGGACTACAAAGGAATCTCCCTCCCTATGTGCAGTGAGTGGCATTATTACAATGCAATATAGGATGATGTTATCTTGATACATTTACATTAAGTAAACACAGAGCTTTGATCTATTTTTTCCTCAGAAACTTTCAGCTATAGTTGTTGTGGAGGTCCACAAATCCACACTCCCACCAAGGCTCCAGTTACGTAAAATTAGTCGGTAACATTCACAATGTCTAGAGTTTGGGATGTGCTGAGCGGGAGTGGGGAGGGAAGTGGGGTGACTGTCCTCTTTCAATGTTCAAGGTGAAACATCAAAAGAAATCTGCAGTCCAGGACAAGAGCTCAGCTTTCCTTTTCTCCAGTCAAATGAAGAAGTAATCTCATCAGGTTGGAAAAGTGCTGACTAAGGATTTAATAAAGTGCCTGCAGATGTGGCGTCTCTAAGGTATTCAACTCATGTAATGCAAAACAGCTCCACACTGAATGTGCTTATAAAATTTCATTTAACCATTGCAGCACGACTTTTTCCCCTCACAGTTCTCTAAGGAGTTTTATCACACTTGCCGCCCGTTAATTTACAGCTCCATGAAAGTTCGAATCCCATTCCGCTGGGATTCTGGAATACTCACAGTAGTCAGGTTTTATGAACCATAAACAATATCTATCCGACTGCATCCTAAACAGGAAGCCTGAAATGGCAGAAGGTACCTCTGACGGTGCCAATCTCTTCCATTTCGTACGCCTCACAGAGAGCAATCAGAACACAGGGGCCGTCTTCCAAAATGTGGTCATGGGGCTGCTGAAGACACAGCTGATGCGGGCCATGGCCTCAACCCCTGCGTTAGCAACAAATGCTCTAATGTGTGCAACAACTTTTTAAAAGGCTTTTTACATCCTCTTTTTACTAAGAGGGCAGGATGCACATTCTAGAGGAAAAAGAAAAATGTCTGAGAAACATTTTTTGTATTTTGTATTTTACTTTAACCCCTAAAAGGAGCAGAGAGTGCTGGGGTGGCAGGGGCAGAGGGCAGAGTGGACTGTGATGCAGCAGAATCTGTTTTTCAGATTAAAAACTTAAACAAAAGGCCTCAACAAGGGCAAAGTTTAACACTGCGGAAGGAGGTTGTTAATGTGGAATCCAGAACTGGGTGTGACACTTGGCTTTCTTCTGCAGGCAAGGTGGGTTATTTGAGGACATTCACACACATAAAACGGAAATGTGCAAACACAGGCTGGCCTCCCCGCACCCTGCAGGCCCAGCTCCTCATCAGCCCCCAAAGAGGACTCAGCCAACCAATAAGCCAAGACTCCAGGAGCTGCTGTCGCTGTTGTGCATTCTCTCTTGGGGAGGTGTTAGCTTTGCACTACTACTTCACACTACTCCAGTGGGTCATTTTTGGCTTCCCGCACTTCTGTGGATGGACTAAAGCCTACTGTTTAGCCCAAATGAGTTGTCCTTGGCAAATCAGCCAAAAGCCCAGTAGTCTCTTCTGCCCATCTCAATATGATAGAAATGGATGAGGTCTCTCAGTGGACTCTGAGTTTCTCACATTCGCATAAACCATTTGGGAGCATTTATTCACTCATCCAACAAGCACTAAGGGCCTTCTATGTGCTAGGTGCTATGTATGCTGGCTCTGGGGATATAATGAGTAAAATATAGTCCCTGCCCTGTAGGACTTTCTTGTCTATCAGGAAGCAGTGGCTAGATTCTAGACCCTTCATGATACCAGATAGCCTGCTTTTCTCCCAATAGGATTTTATAAACTTCTGGCAATGAACGATGCCCAGTATCCAGTGTCCAAAGGACTCAGGATTGGTGTCACTTTTTCCACTGACCAGCAGTGTGACTTCAAGCAAGCCAGTCCCTGTCCTGGGACCCTCAGAGTCTTGTGAGGACCAGTCTGTATTCATGAGAGGCAGCAGTGATTTACACTGGTTTCTTCTGAAAAGGGTGTCATGCTGTACACAGGTGTTAGTTACTGGTACTGCCAGCCTTGGGCTTTGATCTCTGTAATCATTTTTCTTGCCTGATTTTATTTTCTTAATTAAAGAAAGTCTGTTTTCAGTAACTCCGAACCAAGACTTGTTTATTGTACAGAAAACTATTAAAACCGTAATGGGCCGGGATTGGCCCCGGCACCTTTGTGGCCTTATCTTTTCACCACTTGTCCTCAACACTTTTGTTGCCTTAAACTTCTTCCGGATCCCCCAAAGCCAAATGCTTTCTCCCTGCCAGGCCTGGGCACAGGCTGTCCCACTCCTTGGCTTTGCTAATGCTTACTAGTCCTTGGGTTCTAAGATTAGATGTCCCTTCTTCAGAGGGGTCTTTCTTGGGGCCTTTACCCTCAGGATTCTCCTCTGTCACAGTTGCTAAACTTTAATTACCTGTTTTCATCCCAGGCAAGCTGGCTATCTAAGGGATGCCAGGGTGGGCATGTAATAAATACTGTTAAATAAATAAAGGAGGGAAGGAAGAACAAGCTGTATCCGAGGTTACCAAAGCCTGGTGTCAGTCACCCCAATGAGGGCAAAGCAAGGCATCTGGATGGATGACTTCTAGCATGCTCGTGCCACATGACCATGTCTCCCCAAATGACAGACACTCTCCCTCGAGGGACACAAGTCTCCACAAGCCACTCCAGGCAGTTCCGACGGGAGAGTTGTTGCAGCGGGGCCAGTTGCGGCCAACTGCGTCAGTAGCATGTGCAATAGTTTTGTAACATGGACTGCTGCCTACTTACTACAAGCTCAGAGAAGTTGTCCAAACCACCAATCCCTGGAGAATGACTGTGCTGCTCCCAGCCAAGACCTCCGTTTGGTTCAGACCTCAAGACGGGAAAACACTAATCTTTTTACCCAATAAGCCATCCAGTACCTCCAAACCTTGAGAGTGCATACACAATCCAATTATTCTGACTGTTCATCCAAAGTCTGAATCTTTCACGAGATTCCAGCTTGCCCTAGTGTCTCTCTTACCACCAAGTACATTTTTCTTTTGGTCTCCCTTCCTTTCCATTTTTCATCACGTAACCTTTTACCTCATGAAATCAAAGACTGCTGGATTAAAAACTGCACTCCGGCCCACCGCATTTGCTCCAAGATCCTACTAGAGAGCTGTGTGCATAGCCGTAAGAGCCAGGACTCTGGGGTCCGAATGACAAAAATCCTGGCACCATTATGAACTAGTTAGATAATCTTAGGCAAGTTAGCATCACTAGGTCTCAGTTTTAGACTCCATGAAATGGAGGTAACAACTGTATCAGTTTTTGTGGGGATTAAATGCCTGGCTAGGGGCTACTACAGAAAGCCAGAAAGCCAGGGGTAGCTGGGTTCTCTCACTGTGAACGGTTTCTGGGGCCTTAGGGTCCACGTGAGACCCAACGTCCCCAGGAAAGCAAATCACTCTACAAGGCGGCTTTCTCTTATTTAATGATATAATTTCTTAGTTAAAAGTAGCAGCTGCGTCAATTCCATTTCCCCAGTTGCAAGAGAAAGTTCTTGAGAAAATAAAAATCTGTCTTTAATTGCGATATTAAAATCAGAGCGGTGAAACCCACAACACAAAAGGAATTGGCTCAAGTTTATGAAAGGCATTTGGGCCCTTGCCTTGCAAGGCTAAACTGCACGCCTTGGAGGTTGGGGGTGAGGAGAAAAGGGGAGGAAGGGAGGGGGTAGTCAGGCAACCAAGTGGGACAGAAACAATCCTATTTTGGTTTTTGTTAGCGAATGGCATACTACATAGATCAGAGACTTCTTATAAAATACAAACCCCCACTGTACACAAAGCACAGGAAAATGTGAGGAAAAAAGGGAAAAACTAAAAGCAGCTTAGGGTGTGTTAACGCTGCTATTCTGTCAGCTTAAAGAGTATTTTATGCTTGATCAACAGCTCTTTTTTATTGTGCTTTTCTTTCATTCATTCAAGACATCAAAGCCGGGCACCACCAGCGTACCTGCCCTTCTGGAGCCGCTTATGACGGGGTTCTAATGAAGCACGACTCTGGGAGCCGGAGACCCCCGTGGACACGGCAGTTCAAAGGGAATATTTCAACAATGATTACATTTTGTAAATCTTTTTATGAAAGAGACAGCTTATTTCCTGCTTTTTCATGAAAAATAGATTCTATCCATTAAATTGAGCCTGCGCCACGGAAGCTGCTTGAGATCTGAGGTGCAGCGTGGAGATTAAGGGGACAATGACCCGATGAAATTGTCCAGAGTTCCTATCTATTTGGTCATGATGGCACTGCCGGATTTTCTGGGTGGAGCCCAGACAGTGCAGTGGATGGCTCTGCTGCGGAAAATGCAGTGGCGACGGGGTTTCGCGGCTTTATTTTTCAACTTGGGCCTCATGTTTATTATCTGTTTCTTTGTATTTGTTGATTCCACAAAGTCCAACAAATATCAGAAGACAGGCCACACTTTCTATCGCATAAGAGCAAGATAAAAGATTTAAGTTACAAATTCATTAAAGGCTGTATTTTAATGCCCTGAAATGGGACAAACCCTTTTCCATATGGGAAGTTAGCCATAAAAAAGCTGGCTCCTGGTCTGAAGACACAATACAGGCTTTATGATTGGCTAATGTCTCCCCCAAAGGCAAAAAATGAAGAAGCAGCCTAGCCCTTTGTAATTTTTGATTTTCACATTAAAATAATCTTTTCCTTCACAATTTTTTTTTAAATTTTTTTGGCAGGGGGAGAGTTGAGGAGAGTGGGGAAGGAAGGGAATATGACTTCCTGGGGAGCTATGAAATGAAAAAATGTATGTTTTCTACACATCGGATTCCAATTTTAATTAAATGCCTGTTGTCTAACAAGTGCAGACAGAAACACTTGGGGTTGGCCCAATGGTGGCCCAGGGAGGTAACCTTTCTTGTTTAAAAAGAGAGGCGTGGGAGTGGAGGCCGGAGCTCAGCAGAGCGTGGCCACATTGTAATAATCATTCTACTCCGTGCCTCCTCGCTCTTGCTCTTCCCAAACATGACTCAGGTTGAGAGCCAATCAATCAAGGAGACCTTAGTGTGGATTGTGCAGGAAGATAAAGTCCAGTAAGAGAGAAAATAACATTGAAGTAAAAAGTCCAGTTATTTCAAAAATTCTCCCAGATACATCCTGCAACAGTATGCCAGAAGATCTGGCCTTTTGCCAGAAATGAATTCCCAAACCAACCTTTCCAGCCAAGAAGCCCTTCAGACACTGGATAGCATCTGCCACCTTTGGACTTCTCCACCCCAGCAGGCACTTCCACGCTCAAGCCCTGGCACAGGTCTGCTCGTTACCTCTTTAATTCTCCCCTGTCCACTGTTCCTGGTCTTTCTAGTTCCATTCTCTATCTCCTCCCACCCCTCAAGTTAGTGTCTCCCTCCCTCTCCACCTGTGTTTAATCCCTGTGCAGGAATCATGACAGACCCCTACTCTCTCCCAGGCCATGCAGACCAACAGTCCCTAAGGATTAAGATGAAGTGAAGAAGGCCTTGAGCTGCAAACCACAACCCCTGGAAGGCTTCTGTTGTGAGCCAAAGAAACAAGACATACAGGCAGCATTTGGAGAGAATGCAAAGGAAACTGTGGCATCTGCGTTTTCAGATTCATGAGAAAAGATAGTTAAGCACTGGACTGCGGGTCTGGTGGCCTGGTTCAAGTCCCAGTTCAGTCACTGGCTTGCTGAGGGGCCTGAACTTCACCAGATCTCTCTAAGGATACTACAAGATCCTGTTGCTATGCCTTTCTTTACCTTCTAGGAACACCTGCTTTTAGATATCACTGGTGCCAGGAATCATTTTTTTTTTCTAATCGTTCACAGGGTAGATGGGATATTGGGAGAGGTAAAACTGTTCCTATCTTTCATTGAGGTCAGAATGAGCTTGGCTATGGAAAAAGTCAGATCATGGAGTCAGAGATCTAAATCCTAGTTTGTAGGGAGTCAGGGGTCCAACTTTAACTTTTCTGCAAAACAGGCCTCAGGATACTAGTTATCACATCATTTGAGGGAAAAAATAAAGTTAAAAATACAAAACGACTTTCAGACACAGGCCTAAAATGTAAGGAGCATAATTACATGAGGCACTGATATAATCTAGATGGGAGGTATGTGTGTGTCAGGGTTTCACCTGAACCAACAACTCTGGATAAATACCAAACAATTTCCCTGTGCGCGGTCATAGCTCTGTGTTATCCTGAAAGCCCAAACCCGGAACCAGTGAACAATACTTTTCTCCTCCTTCTGAGGATGTGGTAGGATTTAGGGTTTTATGGCAACAAAACTTGTCTTTGTTAAGACGTGACTTGCAAAACAAACCCACATGGGAGAGTTTGCAGTTTCAAATGATAGCATTTTTTTTTTAATGCTGAAACAGCAAATGCTTTTTATGTTCAGATTTATTTCCTTCTAAATTTGTAGATTAAATTTACAACTAAGCAATATTCGTTGCTACAAACAATTAGATTCCTCCCAAATATTTCCAGGGGATATGAGGGGGAGGCTTCTTGATGGGGCTGCGGTTGGGATTTGTGCAAGGTGAAGATCCTATAGCATTGACAGTCTCCGTGAAGGGCCTTACCAACAACCTGGACATGTACATAGCATACGTGATTGGCAGAGCTGCTTGGCTTCCCTGTCAGGGATCTATGCTTCTTGGAGAGAGGTAATATCATTCTAACACAGACAATTTAATTTATTTTTTACCTTTTTAGTAGTGACTTCTGAGATGGAGATCTCGCAAGCAAAGATTATTGAAGACTGATTCAAGAATGTGTTTTATAAAATTGAGCATGCGTACAAAATCATTCTCACTTTGTTTTCGGATAAATTCCACTTGGTAGTGCTCTACCAGCAACTGAGATTTGGGAACAAACTCTCAATACACACACACAGTGCTAGTTTGAAACGGTCCCACACCTCTACTGTCACTTTATTATCAATTAATAAAATCAATTACAGATGGCATGACTGTTATATGTGGACAGGCTCTTTAAATATCCTCTTGTTAAATCGCCATATGGATAGGAAATTCTATTGTTTATTTTGCAAGAATGGTGGTAAGTTCAAATGATATATATACATATACACTTCCATTCTGATTCTGCAATCCCAAAAATCTTGCAGACATGCCAATTTGTGCTATTCTAGAAGACAGTTCAATTAAGAAATACTTTAAGATAGTTTCCTTCTTTTAAAGGAGTAAAATGTCTGAGCTAAAATGTGACTTCCTGTTCTACTGCATCAACCTTTCTGTATTGTTCTCAAGGAACACCGTTTACAAGTTCAAGTTCAGGTTTAAACTAAATAAAACACTCCTCAGGAGTTTATAACGGAGCCTCATTTACATGTGCTCCCTCTGAACTCTGCCGGCCTCTGTATGTTAGTTTCCAAGGCTTGGTGAAGGAATGTTTTACAGTTGGAATCTGGACTGCTTTCTCAGGCATTTCAGACTCAGAGGCTACGCAGCACCAAGTTCTCGTTAGTATTAAAAATTTCCTCAGGTCTACTCCAGAGGCAAAGAAGGACAGAGAGAAAGGCAGGGCAGGGGCCAGGAGAACTTTGCTTCTTAATTTTCCCTAAAAGGCATTCTAGTTAACATTATAGTTGAAAATGGCTTCTAGATGTAGATTCTAGAATCTCATGGCCATGACTTAAAATTTCTGTGCAATGAGTTTCAGCTTTCTGTGGAAATGGTCAATGCACGTTGATTCTCTTCAAATATTAAAACAAGGGTTTGCTTAAATGGTTTTTCTGCCTTGAAGATTAAGTTATGAAGAGAAATGTACCCAGCCCAAAAGAGATCCTAAACCTAAGAGGTTTTTGAGGTCAAAAAGATCTCAGGGATTTTCCAGCCAATAAAGGTGCATCAGAGAGGAAGAAATGGCTATTTTTCATTTAGAAGCAGGAAGAGTTGAAGGGGTTCTCAGATGCCCACAGGGAACCAATCTGGAGAGAGCTGATTTCCTGGCTTATTGAAATTAAGACTCAATCTTGTTGCTAAGCAAGGGTCAAGGAGTTCAGAGAAAGCAGCCATCATCTTCATGGGCAGAAATGGAAAGGGCACAGGAGAAAGAGCACCAAGGACTCTCCTTCTCAACTTCTCTCTGAATTGGAGTTTATCTATAACAGCAAGCAAGTGGGTACAGCAGTAATAAATCAATGATACTAATAGTAACTGTAACCTCAGGGCAATGCTCAAGAGTTACTTTATAGCATCTTTTCATACTGGAGCAGTCCTTTCCTGATAGGTGAGCATACCTGGCAAAACTGCAGGTTGTGGCATTCCCAGTACCCAGATTCAGCAGCTGCATCCCTGCAGAGTGACATGTGATGCGTCAGATAAATAGTTCAAGAGTAAGCACTGCTGTGGGGGTGGTGGGGTTCAGAGAAGCAATTGCATGGCTGGGGGTGGATGGACTAGGAGTGTGTGGTGAATCTGGATCTCAGTTTGCACCTCTGCTAAGAAAGGATGAAGACCACCTTGCTAGCTAGCATGGTGCTTGTGAGGATGAAATGAACTAATATTTGTGTTTTGTCTCCTAACAGGACTGTAACTGATGCTTTTTTATCTTTGGAGTTGTTGGGGTGGGGGAAGGGGATTCCTCTCTGTCTGGCGGAAGACAGAAACCTCATCTTCATGTGCTAGATCATGGCCTTTTCTTAACCTAGTGCAATATTGAGCCGTCACTTTTCTTGCATGTTCAATAATAGCACGAGCATGCTAGCTATATGCAAAGCTTTTAGTCTTTTTTCTCAATCCCCTGAACTCAACCTAGCTCAATATTAAAAAACATTAAGGGTTTTCTAAAACCAAATTAAATGTGAATATGCTTCTAAATAAAACCCTCTGCTGGAAAAATCAGAAGCTTCCTCTTACTGGATAAGGACATGAATGAAAGCGGAATCCATTTAGATGACGTTCTGCAGAAATGGATGATAAAACTGGTTTCTTTGGGAGCAGCAGTTTAGTTACAGTGATTGGGTGGAATTTGGGCTTACAATCTTAAGTTTCTCAGCCTTTAGCCAGGACTGATTGGTTGATTTCCAGAAAGAAGATAATTTGCATAAGAGATAATTTCTCATTGGTCAGTCAATTCCAAATGACTGAAAATCATGTGTTCTTTCTTTTGTGTATTTTTTCTTCTTTCTTTTTCATAAATATCTATCAAACTTTGGTTCATTTTCCACTGTCCTTTGGACCCCTGCCAATAAGGGCTGCTACAGGAAGCCTATTAAACATAACTGCTAATGTTACTTTTTTTTTTTTTTAAGCAACTCTGACAAAATGGTGAATGGGAGAAATTTGAAACTTAAAATGGTTTGCACATTTTCCTGAGGATTTAATTTATTCATGTGGATCCTAATGGTTTTGAAGACAAAATAATTTGATAGTTGATTTAATAGTTGATAGTTCAAAGTGTTTTATACTTGTTCATGTGTGGGTAGGTAGATTCAGATCTAATCTCATTTCATTTATACTGATTCTTCTGGTAAAATAGTAGTTTCATTCACCTATAATTTTCTTTAAGAAACAGAGGGCACCAACTTTGGAAGCGTGTTTGCTTGATCAAACTATGTGGAAGGTGTGGGATGAAGAGGGGAAACTATTTCCTGGAAGCGAATCTGGCACCGGGAGGAGTAACGCTTCTCTCCTGTACTCCCTTGGAGTTACCTACTCAGTGCCTGGCATCCCTCGTCAGGGCTTCATTCCGTGCCTGCTTCTGACTCAAAGCAAGCAGCCAGGAAGGGGTGCGAGGGGATAGTCCAGATTTGACAGTATTGACCCCAGGGCTGAGGAGCATTAGCGAATTCCATAATGAGTTTCATCCGGCAGTTCTTGGCTTACAAAGGTCACTGCAATGCAAGACCCAAGGGATGAGCCAAGCAAACCGCCTTCCTGGAAGACGGTGGGGGTGGGGGAAAGGGAACAATGACGTTAACAGGGGGGTGGTGTGAAGGGAGTTTGGTACATCTTCAGACTTCAAGACAGGAAAAAAATGTTTGGGAAGAGGCCAAATAAGAGATACAGCATGGCCCTAGCTAAATGGTAATGATGTAACAAAGAGCAATATTCAGCACTATCTAGATATCAGAGAGAACAACTGGATACTAAAATCATTATAAGATGTGAAATTATACCTCTCACTACTTCATTATCACTATATTTCATAATATTTGTCTAGAAAGGCACACAAAGTCTATCAGGTTAAATTAATCCTAATGATCAATTTCAGTTTTATTCTAATTAAATAATTTCAATTTAATTAATGCTAGCACAGAAATTAGTCAAAATTACAAATGTAAATGCTGAACTTTAAATCAAAGGTCCTCCCTACAACCTGCCTCATGTAGAAGCACTTTAAAGTGTTTGCCTGTGAAGGTAGATGGGAATTTTGACCTTTGTCTGCACTGTGAAGATCAGAAGATAGGAAAATATGCAAAAAAAAGCTGTCCAGGAGCATAGACGGAAGCACAGGTTACACAGACAGACAGACAGACAGACACACACACACACACACACACACACACACACACACACACACCCCTGCACGGCAGTCTATGAAAGTAAATCCTGCAAAGTGAACTTCTGAATTACATGCATTTGTTCCTTGGAATTGCAATGCGTTTGAGTCAGTCTAATGATATTGGGCTTTTATAAAACACCTTTGTAAAATGGAAACCATGCACCCATTTTCTAAGCCACATATTAAACCATTAGTCCCTTCCTTCACTCATAACAGGTCCCTGCATTTCAGTCCTGCTCTGTCTCTGATTAGCTTTGGGGCCTTGCAAGTTGTTTCAGTTCCCCAGGCTTTGGCCCCTCTTATTTGGAGGTGCTACTTTATTAAAATGATATGAACTTTATTCCAAAATATTCTTAAAGTTGTATCTGAAAAATGATGGGAGTCTGGAGTAGATAATCTTTAAGGAAATTACCAGCTTTAAGGAAATTTCTAAAACTTTTGAAAAATACTGGCATCTTAAAATGGATTTGAAAATGGTACAGGGCACATGTGTCTGAGTCATCATATAAAGACATTTAAATATCCTTTCTTCCCTCTTCATAAAAATCCAAAGTAGACAGTATCCAGAGCTCTAAAAATTTGTGGAAAAAGGAATCTGGCAAAATAGATGTTCTTTTTCCCAAAGAAAAGAAAAGAAAAAAAAAAGCATCGGGAGGAGGATACAAAAATCTGAAAGAGAAAAAAAAACACAATAAAGAGAAATACGTGTTCTTTTTTTGTACTTAAAAAACATGTACTAATGAATTATAGTTAATAACAGGTCTGTAGTGCCACTCACTCTTCATCTTAAAAGAACGTTCTACGTTATCACTGTTATCCATAAAATAGCCACAACTTCTTTCTTCAAAAGGAGGCCTTCATCCATGATCCTGCATCTCAACTTGTTCTCAACTGTATATGAGAATTACTTGGTAGCAATCAATTCACTATTACTGTTTGGGGACATTACAGAACAGCAGAGTAATTTAATAATATAGTTGATTAGTATAATAATCATCATTAAATTTAGTAATGATAGTGGGATTCCCCTTAACTTGGTTAATGATCATGGACAATTCATTTCTTGACTGCCAGTGGTAGAAATGGTTTTTGAAATATTAACTTCTGCCCCATGGGAATGACACTTAGCCCATCACATTTAATTTTTGACCTTCATTGAGCAGCACGATCCTAATCCCTTGATTTTATAATCTTAACTAGGAAACATTAAAATATGGATTGACTCCAGTTGGCAGGAATCTTTATGTTCTTTTCACTAAAAAAGCTATAAATTCAATGGTTGACCTTTTATTTCCAGGTCACAAATGACACCCACTCAGTTTTGTCCGTTCACACAGGATTTATGTTAGGGTCTACAGGTATAAGCCATGAAAGCTGAACTTTAATGAAATGTCTTTCAAAGATGTGCACTTAACCAAAAATTCCTCACAAAAAAATTAGCAGGTGGCCTTTTAAAAACAGCCATTATGTCCTCAGGTTCATTGCTGGCCTCCACTAAGTCTATTTTTCACTTGTAATAAGTTTCTCCTAATACCATTTTTCAGGGGGTACAAATTATGCTTGTGTTTGGGATGACAAGAATACCTTAGTTCCCAATTTAGGCTTCTAACCTGAAAGATTTCTGAGATGCTCTCTTTCCCATAACCACAATTCATCTCTCTCCAGTTGAAAAATGTTCCTTGTCCTTTTCACAAAATCAATCGTATTGATGGGAGGCATTCCGTGTTGTCAATCAGGGAAATGTGATTTGATGGGACCCCAAAGCAGCGAGATAGGGAGAGGAATACCAAACCTGCTCAGGTCCACACCATCGGAGTGAGATCAATGTTTCCCATAATACTCGTCCTGTCATGTGGCACCCTGTCACAATTAATAATGTAGAAGGAGCTGATTAACTTAAGTAAAGTGCTCTCTGCTGTGTAAACACATAAAGATCTATGAGGAAAAAAAAGGCGGGGGAGGGGGCAGGAGAGAACAAAACGTCATTTTTATTTTTCATGTGTACACGTTCTCACTTTCTATTCTTCTCTTGTAACAATTACTGTACCAGCCACTCTGGCAGAGTCAATAAATTGATCTGGGTCTTGATGCAGCAGCAAGGCAGACTAATCTGATACACCATTATCTACACTGGAGAGTGTGGGGGCTTGGGGGTGCACTCAGGTAACACAGGGCAAAGGGAAGGAAGTAAAGGCCAGCCAGCCTTACTCTAGATAGGTAATTGATGTTCAGTGTGGAGCTTCTGGACTAGATGGACGCATATGTAGCAGGTGTGTGTGTGTGTGTGTGTGTGTGTGTGTGTGTGTGTGTGTCTGCATGCATGTTAGGAATGGACAGAAAACGAAGCCTTCACCTTGGCTAAAGGATGCAGCCTAAGTAATACCATATGCACCACTTATTTAAGTCCCTGCGGTATTTCAGTCACTCATACCAATCTGCAATTCAATGAGGATCACCACCCCATTAGAACTAATCATGTCAGCTGTGTATCTGACAAAATAAACATTCAGAAACTGTGCTCCTAGGTTCACAACTTGTTTTTGCACTGGGATTTTTTTTTCCTTCCCTCTCTTATCCAGTATAAAATTTAATCTTTTTTTAATATGAAATTATAAGACACACAGAAGCTCTCCGTATGGATTCCTCAGTGTATTTATCCTTACAACGAGAAACTGGCGACGTTAGTTGAACTTTAACTTGCTCCTTGGGAGTATGCTAAGTATGATCTTAATACATAAATATCATTCCACTGGGTAATGAGAGAATTAATGGCACAACTTAAGGAAAATGGACACGGGAGGATGCGGTGAGAAGAGATTTAGCTCAGGGAGAACATTACCAGATTACCTCCGGGGTGCTCATCATATTACCATTTCTGTTTCTTCTTTGTGGTCACAGGCCCCTTGTCCTAAAGATAAATGAGCAGCACCCTGCCTCCAGTGCTCACAGAGGTTCCCTCCTGAGGGCTGAAAAGGCAGCACCACACACTGGCTGGGCAGGGTGCTGAGGGCTTTTCATCCTAACTAGACTGAGTCTTTACATAACTCTAAGTGGAATGCAGGCATTCATTTATAATTTTATAGATGTGACATCTGAGGGTCAGAAAGGCTAAAAATTATTCCAAGGTCACATACTGAGATCAAACTCAGGTCTGTCTCCCTCCAAAGCTTCTATTTTTTCCACTACATTATGCTGCCCAGAAGAGGAAGGTACCTCATGACCACAGGTCTCAATGCTACTATTGCCTATAAAATCCTGTATCTCAGGAGGATTGAACCAAGCAAGGCAGAGGTTTCTTCACATATAGAGATCCCACTGTGCCCATCACCTGCTTCCCATCTCCCACAGAATAAAGTCCAAGTGCTTTACTACCCTTGGAAAAAGGTATGTATTTATTCACGACTAGACTCTGATCTAATGTTTCTGCCGTCTACTGTAAACTGACAGATACACCAAACAGAATAGGGTTCTTCAGACACACACTGCTGTTCCTTTGCATGCACTGTTCCTCCTGCCTGGTCTGGAATGTTCTCCCCACCAAGTATATCTGTCTCCTTCAAAACCACTCATGTGTCTTCTCCTCTGGCATATCTTCCATGAGCTCCATGCTTCTCCCCAGAGTTAGTTACTGACTCTTCTGTATGGATTATACCTATTTCAATTACTTCATCGATCACATCTTAGTTTATTTACTTTTCTTTCTGTGAGCTATGTACGGCAGGGATTGAATAATGTACATCTTTAGCCTCCCTTCCAGCTTAGTATGGTGCCAGGAACATAGTAGGTGCTCAATAAATTCTGGCTTCTTTCTCCTCTCTAAGATCAATCATGCAGCTGGCGGGTGGGAGAGATGAGCTAGGAATCCAGGTATTTTGACTCCTAGTCCAGGGTTTCTCTGTGTACCAAGATGTAGAAAAACTCCTAGTCCAGGGTTTCTCTGTGTACCAAGACCATAGGTCCCTCCTATGGTCAGTTCCCTTATTAGACCTACTATGTTATTCTTCTATCCCCCTAGTACCACTCCTTCCCCATATATGCACAGACACACTGCCAGGGACCAATGGAAGGAAGACTGCGCTTGAGAGGGGCAGAAGCTGTATGTCATGAGGGCTGGCCTTATGCTTCCCTTCACTAGTCAAGGCAACAGGAGATATGCAGCATAGTCCAGCCCTGGAGGGCAGCAAAGGGTGCTTCCCACATTATTAAGGCAGCACTGTGAGGGTCCGAGGTTGCCCTGTGCTGAGAACAACTGTGCCTGGTGGCATCCCCATTATCTCAACACATTCAGACTCTGAGGAAGGAGGGTGTTGAGGGTGAGAAACACAGGGCCAGAACAGCCTGTCCTAACCCAGTGTCCCTGCTCCAAGACAAGGGATCCGGCTTATCACAAGCTCATGTGACTCATTAGTTAAATGTGTAAAGCGTTTGGAAAGTGAAAAGCCAATTAGAAGTGCTAAGTTATTTCATCTCTGCTGTAAAGGAAGCAATGTGAGACCTTAAGAAAAATTCTCATGCAAATATTTTGGGGGAGGTGTGTGCTGTGGAATGTAACTCAATGAACAGACTCAATAGAAAGGCTATATCCCAAAAAGACAGGGCACAGATCAAAGAATGTGCCTAAGTCCTCAATAAACAAACAGGAAGGTAAGCAGGTGGGTGTGAGAAAAGTGGCAGGAAGAATCACTGAGACCTCACGTGAGATCTTCGATGGATCTCACATTAGACAGCAAGCTCTGGGCTTGAAACTGTGTGTGTCAGTGGAACTTTCAAGGCCTTAGACTCATTAGAAGCCCTGGGAAAGCCTAGGTCCAAAAGGATTCCTAATGCTGAATCCTTTCCTCATGTGAACAGTCATTATTTAGAGTGTAGAAATATTCGGTAAGGCCAATTTCTTGGGCATAGGATTTTCACAAGCAAGGACTTTGTGGACAGCGAGAACACCACCTGTATTGAGTTCTCTCCTCAAAGTTCATGCAGCAGGGCCAGTCAACTCATTTTCCTGTTCTCTGAACTTGTGTTGACTCAAGCTCTGCAAAACCAGGCTCTTTTCCTTTGCAAAGGAAGCATCTGGTTCCAAGTCATAAAAGAGAAACCCAGAACCTATTGCTGCCTGTTTGGTAAGCACTCTGGAGGGCACCCAGGGGGCACTGTTTCACAGAGCTCCCCTGCAACCACAAAGGCACATATCCTCCAACTCAGCCTTTTCAGAGTCCATGTTTAACCAGCACACGGTGACCCAGCCCCATGGGAGCAGGTCTGCACAAAACGCCAGGACTTCTGCCCAAATCCTGGACCTCAAACAGAGGCTGAAAAGAAATGACCTCTGCACAGTCACGCACATAGCATCTACATCTCCTAAACACATAGGGAGTGTGTGGAGGAAAGGCAGAATAATAAGCCAAGCATTCAGAGACAAGAGGGTCAAGTGCAACTACTGGAGTTGAAAAGTGCATGAAACCTATCAGGGAATAGGAAAAAAGAATATGGCAGATCCTATTAACAGTCTATCCACTACCTATTGCGCCTTCTTCCTTGGGACAATTTTGCTTAGAGAGGCAAATGTGACTGGTCCTAGGTGACGGTCATGATTTGAGCCAATCAAGATAATCTTCTGCTGGTTTTCTCAGCATCCTTTGCAGCTAGAGATTAAAATGTGACCCAGATTTAGCCAATGAGACCTACAAAGAAATTTGCTAGCAGGGTGCACAGGAGGAATAGCAGGGCCTTTTCCCTGATATTAGAGGAAAAATAAGGTATGATATGACTATGCTATTTGGAGCTGCAGCAGCCATCTTGCCGTCAGAGGCTCTAAGCATGAGGCTGAAGAGGCAGCATACTGAGGAAGACAGAGCAGAATGTTAGGAACGGCATGGGTTCCTGTTGGCCTCGTGCAGCGCTGAAACAATGCCAACAACCACTCACTCACAGATTTCTTGTTACGGGAGGAAAATAATCCTGACTGGCTTAAACCACACTTAATTGGGGTTTCTTCTATGAGGTAGATACTATTATTGCCTTCATTTCACAGATGAGGAAGCTGAATTTTAAAGGGTAAGATACACAAGATCACTGAGATAAATGGCACAGCCAGGATGTCAGAACAGGTCTGTCCTACTCCTTGAATCATGACTTTTCCTCCTGTTCCCCCAGAGAAACCTGGTGAGTACCCAGTACATTTCCCTTAGTACCCTGGAATGTCACTGATCAGAAGCATTGTTATGGAGACCCACCTAAAAGCTAGAAATGTTGATGGCATTTCTGCACTTGGCACTATGGTTTTCTAAGTTCCATGCATGGCTATCATCAACTTTTGATCTAGTTCCTGTCAGTTCTGTCCACCAACTCACAACTCCTTTTTCCAACCCTTTTCCTGACATCATTTTCTGTCCCCCTTTTCCCACAGTTCCAAGTGCTAATTTAATGGATAGCAGATTTTTGGTCTATTCCCTTCCTCTCCCATACAATGTAAAATTTCCTGTGAAATCTCTTTTTTACCTTCCCCTTCTCTATTGCCACTGTTCTCACTTTAATATTAAAAAAAAGGAAGCAAGAAGAGAAGCAATATTTACTGAGCACCTATTGTGTGCCAGATACTATGGCAGAGACCTTAATTATTACAATAATCATCAATTTGTTTCAACTAAGAAGATCCCCCAAATCTTTGTGGAGCAAAGGTGACAGGAAGAACAGGAACTGAGAGAAAAGGTGACCAGTATCTAGAATTAATGGCTCGAACTTTGTCCAGAAGTGAAGTTTGTGGCCAAGGATGTCTACGACATGCTGCCAAATTAAAACTTGAAAGACAAAGACTCTGTTTATTGAAAAATTTATTTTAAGAGTGTCTCATAGCCTGTCAGTGAGTCAGCCGCCAAGTGTATGTGAAGAGAATGTGTCAAGAACTTACAGGTTGGTGTGGGAGCTGGGGAAGCTGGGACGATTCACTCCTGCCCACAGTAGTATGGAGGGAGGGGAAGCAGATTGCATGAGTAACTCATCTCTGCGAGGTGTTGCTTACTATTCAACACCTGCTACTGGAGCTGAGAACATACGAGAAAAAATGACCAGGCACCACCTCGATTTAGGTACCTCCTTTCCCTTTAGATTCTGAGGGGTGCATTCACTTCCTGCCAGTCCTTACCACTCTCAGAGACATTGTCTCCCCTTGGGAAGGCCCTTCTCAGGCACAATTTAGCGTAAGAGAAGCAATGGTACACTTAGACTGCTGCCTGTACAAGGGAAGAATAGCTGTGCCCAATTTAAACAGGCTTTTGGGCACCTGTAAGGTTGATGCTCAGTGGAACAACCTACAGGGTTAGGATTTTGCAGTGGGTAGTAGGAGGCTTCCTAATTTGCTAGACGGTTGCTTTTGGTAAGTAGGTTCTGACCATAGAGCAGCAGGTGCTGAATGGCTTATACACAAGTCCTTCCTTCATAGGACACGTGGAATCAGAAGTGGGTTTGTGTCCTGACTCTACTGACCTCTGGATATGTGGTTCTGGGAAAGTCACTTCCCCTCTTTAAACCTCAGTTTTTTTTAACCTATACAGTGGGGATAACAATAATAACAATAGCTCTGCCTACTTCAAAGTGTAACTCTTATAATCAAATGAGAAAATACTTTGTAATCCAGAAAATAAGAGTTTAGTTATTAACCAAACAATGAAAGCTATCATTTGTTAGGTATTCATTAGGTGTTAAACACTTTTTTTACACTAACAGAATTTAAGACCCAAAACCATAAGGGTGTGTGTGTGTGTGTGAGTATATATACACACACATATTTATTTCTCACTATTTTCACTATTTTACAGTTAAAAAACTAGGCTAGATAAATTGAATTACTGTGAAAAAAAAAAGAAACCAACAACAACAAAAATAAAACACACAGAATGCTTCTAAGTGATGGAATAAAGCTTCAACTAAAATCTGAAAATAAAGGAGTTATCTTAGCTGCTCTGCTATCTGGTCTCTGGACAAAGGCTAGCTGTTCCCACAGATGCAGACTAATATCATTAGTAAAGGTCTTCTTCCCAGGCAGGATGAGAGAATGAATTCAGTCTTGGTTTTACAGAGACATGAACTAACAGGAGACCGGGGCAGATCTTCAGAAGAACGAAGTTCAGCACAGTCCCACTGGAGCCAGGGAGCACTGGGACTAACTTCAAGGCTTCTGATTCCTTGATATAAGAGTGTGAGTCAATCTTAGACTCTTTTAAAGAGAAAATGGTCAGTAACCTATCACTACAAACAACTGGGGATGCAGATAAGTATTTGTGAAAAACAGAAGTTCTGGAGACTGGTTCAAATCTCAGCTACTTCAATTACCATGGGACAAATGTACTCTTCTGAAACTTCGGTTTCCTCATCTGTAAAATGGAGATGTAGCACCTTAGAGGGCTCTCGAGTACTGCAGCGAGTGTAGGCACAGAACCTAGCATGCACGGGTGCTGTAGAATATTCATTTGGCCAATAAGACTTTTAACTTGGCTCAAAGTCAGGAGAAAGTGGAATTTTATCTGCCATTCCTCTCTAATCTTGGGAGTTTGCAGCTGTGAGGGCTTGAAACTGAAATGCTCAAATCCACTTCTAATTAGAAGATGAGGTAGGGTTGCAGGGTGGGATATATACATGTGTATATATATCTCTGTATATATATGTATATATATGTGTATATATATGTGTGTACGTGTGTGTGTGTGTATATATATATATATATACACACATATATATTTTTCCCTCTAAGGAAATCTGAGTTTCTTGTCTTTGTAACTCTCCAGCTGCTCCTTGAACTTCTGTGTGGTAACTAACCTTCTACACTCAGGCAGCTCCTGTCAGGGTGGGCAGGAGCCCGGGAATGGCGTCAGCTAACTGAAATGCAATCTCAAGTGAGCTTGGGTGGGCAAGTGAGGATGTACCACCAGGAGGAGGTGTTTCTTGGAAATGAGGGGTGAAGGGGTTTCTGGCTGAGCCTTGTGCAGCAGTAAAGGAGTCTAATTTTATCTGGTCCAGGGAAGACAGAACTGAACATGTCTCTTATTGGGATGGGTTAGAACACGATCTACCATCTGATTGGCAAAAAAAAAAAAAAAAATAGGGAAAAGTGTACAAGAACCATATCATTAGGCCCAAGCTAGACAAGGACAAGGACAGAAAAACTATCCAGCCTCTTCTGCTGCTTCCACTCTTTGGAAAGTTCCTATACCCAACTCTGTTGTCTTAAAGCCTCTTAGACAAATCTTTATAGTACTGCGATTACACTGTTTTGATGTTGGTGTTGTCATTACCATTATTTCTTCACATTTGTTTCCTCTGCTAGACTTTGAACAACTCGAGGAGAGTTTTTATTCCCTGTACTTTGTAGGTGTTGAGGCTCTATTAAGCAATTAAGTAAACACTAAATGACTGAAGAAAGGAACTTATGAAGAGTTCCACAGATGGTCTAAGCTTTGGTTTCTCAGGTAGAGCTTCAGGAATATGACACACGGAATGGCAACAGCTCAAAATGCTCTCCATGATCTCCACCTCTCCCATTCTGGGTGCACCCCCACCAGAGGCAGACAACGGGTGTCATGCCCATAATTTGGCTATGCAGGGACCTCTCCAGATCAGCCAGCTTCCAGCACAGTGAAGTGTGTGGCTTGTGCATACATTTGTAAATTTCATGAGGCAAAGGCAATCACACTGCTTGCAAGTCAGGCAGCTAAATGATTTATTAAGCAAAGGTTATAGCACCTGTGCCTTTTTGTCAACAAATCAGGCCCATGCCATGCCAAGTGATTCTTCTAATAGTCCAAATGGTAATTTGGTTTTAAATAGCATTTTGGGTACCATGATACTGTTGATGCAAAACAGTGATAGATTTGGGTGGTAAGGAGGAAATGCCTGTTTTTAATATTGTTTGCACCCATTTTTCATTTTAAAGAATTAGTCCTCATTGGAGTTCTGTAGATTAAGCATTTTATTTAAACCTTTTGATTAAACTAGAACCTGTATCAAAATGAGTTCTTTGCTCAGTCCCCTTGTGTGGAAACTGGTATTTCTATTTACTACCTGATGATGAAATATTAACTTTTTTTTCTTTAAGTAAACGCCTCCTCTTAATGGTTCTCATTTTCAGGGATCAGATTAAGTTATGGGATGCAATTGAAATGGCCATTGGCTTTCTGCTATTTGAAACAATGGCAGGTTCCCTATCATTACATTATACCATTCGGTGGGCATGCAGGGCACGTTAATAGTGTCTAAAGTGAAGTAAATACTGTATGCCCCAGAGACCTTTCTATATGTTAATATCAGCTGTCACGGGACAACGTTGAAAAATAAGAGATTCAAGGTGGGACAAGTGGCCACAGTTTCTCAGTATTGATGGGTGTTCTAAAGGCTGTAGGGAGGTGGCCACCTCTCATCTCAGTGATCAGTTACAATATGGAGAAGGAGGAAAAAAATGAGGGGCAAATGATGGTAGCAGAGGTAGCAGACAAGTGAGGTGGAAGAATGGGACAGATAACTCGGCAGGAATGTTCGAACAAAGCCGAAAGCCAGGGCCAGATATACAATGCAATTGGAAGGCAGTTTGAAAGAAAACTAGCTCAAGGCAAGGCTAAAGAGAAGGCAATTCTGCTTCAGTCAAGGGAGGAATTCTCTGGAGAAAAAAACAGACTACAAGGGAAAGAGGAGGAAAAATGGCTTTCAATTATCCACGTTATCTTTCCCCACCAATCATTACAGATGATGAATAGATGCAATAAAAGCCAATATTCAATTTTTCCAATTTACATGGAAAGAAGGCCATAATATATTGTTAAGGGGAAGAAACAGCAGGCTACCAAACAGCGTATATAATATGATCTCACTTTTTGCAATATATTTGTATGCACAGAAACACTCTGGATGGATTTATACAGAAATGTTAACAGTAGGACTACAAGTGATTTTTATTATTTTTCTCAACTGTATTTTCCACAATTAACATGTATTATGAATATAATAAGAAAAAGTCATATTTTTAAAGTTCTTTCTGAACCATTTAGACTCAGCCAATGTATGCAGAGTACCCACTATGTGCTGGGCATGATAATTAGTGCTTTTCTGAGCAGTCAGCACACAATTACTCTGATCAACAGTCCACTTGCTCTGACTGTTTTACAGAATTTTTTACTCCTAAGAGGTGAAAAGGACTTTAGAACTTTTTTAATGATCACGTTTTAAAAATTGTGGTGAAATACACACAATGTAACATTTACCATCTTAACCATTTTTGAGTGTACAGTTCAGTGGGATTTGGTATGTTCACATTGTTGTGCAAACATCACCAACATCCATCTCCAGAACTCTTTTCATCTCGCAAAGCTGAAACTCTGTACCCCTTTAACACTAACTCACCATTCTGCCCTGCCCCTAACCCCTGGCAGCCACTACTCTACTTTGCATTTCTATGAATTTGACTACTCTAGGTACCTCACATCCGTAGAATCATACAGTATTTATTTTGTTGTGACTGGCTTATTTCACTGAGCAGAATGTCTTCAAGATTCATCCACGTTGTGGCATATGTCAGAATTTCCTTCCTTTTAAAGGCTGAGTAATATTCCATTCTATGTATAGACCACATTTTGTTTAACCAATTCATCTGTCAATGGACACTTGGGTTGCTTCCACCTTTTGGCTATTGTGGAGAATGCTGCTACAACCACAAGTGAACAAATATCTCTTTGAAACTTTGCTTGCCATTTTTGGGGGTATACGCTAAAGATTATATTTTAATGCAGTCTTAGGGACAAAAGCAGGGACTCCACCAGTAGTATCCCTGAGAAGTGAGCATCAGTTGCTGTTGGAATATCCCCAGGGAAAAGAGCTCACCAGCTCATAAGGCAGTAACATAATACAGTGGTTAGAGAGCACAGGCCTTGCTGTCAGACAGAACTGGGTGCAAATTCTTGCTCCACTCCTGACTATATTGTATGGCCTTGGGAAAATCAACAATCTCCTTAGTCTCAGCTTCCACATCTATAAAGTAGAGCTCTATCCTATTAGGTGACTATAAAGATTAGGTGCATCACATACTTGATGGATTTAGTACATAGAAAATGCCCAGTAGAAGCTATATACAATCAAATAACTCTTTTTCTTAAAAAAGATCTTATGATAGTCTGAAGCTGCCTACTTATAATGTCTGCATTGGTTCAATTTCTACCCACTTGAAAAAACAGAGACCCCATCAGTTCCATCTTCTACAGGATGATGCTTCAGGCATTTTAAGAGATTTCCACTGGACACTGGCCTTTGGGAGCAGAAAGCCCATTTTATTTTGCATCTGTTTATAGATTTATGTACAAGATACTGCTTCTACATTTAGAAAGCTTAAGTATCTGCTTGGGTGACTCTTCAATTCTTATTTCTCCATAGGTAGAAAGCAAAATTTTGTTTTCCCAGATAACTTTTCCTGTAATTCAATTAATATAAATGTCATGCTTTGTAACAAGGGTATCAATATAGAAAAACACAAGTTTGCCTAGGAAATCTGCCGACCATGTTCTAATTATGTTTTTAAAAATTCTTGTCAAAAATTCCTCTTCTGAACTGATGTCCTCTTGAAAGGGAACTTATTTTTTAAGGTATATTATTATTTTTATTATCTATATCTACGTATATCTAACACTTTAAGTGGTCCCAGAAAATAGTTCCTCATTTAAGGGAAGAGTTAATATATATACCTTAAAATTAAAATATTTAGAACACATAATTTTTACCTCAAGATATCTTTTTTTGGGGGAAAAATGACAACTCCATTAACATAGTTTCTCATTAGACAATTGGGAATGACTTTCTTCAAGCCAAATGTGGCAGGTGTCACTATGGTAAGAAACATTTAAGCTGTTGTCCCCATGACGCCAAATATTTAACAGAAACCAAAAAAAAAAAAAAAAAATTCAGTTCCAGATGCCAATACTGGGCCTACATGACATCATTCATCCAGATGCGTGGAAAATCTGGATTTTTAAGAATTGAATTTTTGTGGTCAGCATTATGAAAACTCAGATTCTGGGTTAAGTAAGGCATTTGTGAAGGAAAGCCACAGTGGCATATAATACATTTTGATTATAAAGAAATAAATTGAAAAGAACACAGCATACAATTTCAGGGCTGTGAATCACAGCTTATATAAAAAATACTATGTAAAATACAAACAGGACATTTCAAAGCTGCATTTTAAAGGCTCTTAATGAAGCAACTTGAGGACATTCGTGCTTTGGGAAAAGCAATCATCCAATATAGAGCCACCATCTCCAGTTTTCCCCCTCTCATTGAACTTGGACACTTACGCCAAATGTACAAAATTAAATTATGTTCTTCTGTTTTAATGCTTTACAGGTAATTATGCAACTTCAAATTCACCAGAAAAGTGTTTGAATATTTGAAGGTATGGGAGAATAAGCAAATAACTGAAAGAATTTTGTGAGAGGTACTGAATAGGAGATTTTAATATCAGACGCCATATGCAGGCCAGTTTAAGAAGAAACAGCAGAGGTGGGAAATTCAAGAGTTAACCTTCTCCCTCCCCTTTTAGCTCCCCCTGTCCTCCCAGCTGCCTTCTCTGCTGATGCTGTACTTTCTGTGACCCTGCTTCAGTGTGAGGAAGGCTTCAGATACAATGCAGTTTAACCTGTGCTGTCGACATAGCAATAAACCAAAGCCCTTTACAGAGGGGGCAAATGGACCCAGGAAGGCAAATCTATCCCATTCATATAGCACCTGGCCATAGTTTTACAAACAGAGGCAAATAGTTATAAATTAGGCATCTGGAGATTCCACACACAGGCATGTGCACAAAATTGCTCCAAGAATGTTTTCAAACACCGCGCTAAGAACCTTACAGAGAAAATACTTTCCTTATGTTAATTATGATAAAATATCGCCATGTTCTAATTAGGAAATCAGAGAGTTTATTTCAAAACGTGAATCTAATTCTATTTCACAAACCTCTAAATGCCTCTACCTATACTAACTTTGAACTTAAAAAGCCTTTTACTGTTTCTCAATATACAGCAGCCATTCCAAAACTTTTCAAAAATATTTCTTCTCCTTGACCTAGACTAGCACAAAACACAACTGTCTATGGGCAGACAAGCTCTGGATGTCTGAGCAGTCCTCTTCTCTCAATCACCTGCTTCAGATATGACTCATACACACCCCTTGCCACCCACCGCACCTTGCTCCCCAGTGGTCAGCAGTAACCACTAATAAACACGTCTTATTTCTGGACCAACACCAGCAACTTAATAGGGCTCATATACCCTTTTCTCCCTCTTTCTTTTAGAAAGCTTGCCAGGTGCCTGGGGACCCTCTAATGAATACAGAGGAGTGGCTGGTCCCTCCATGCCCAGCATGCACTCTGATGTCACTGGCAACCAGATATTACTTTCAGGTTCTGTAGGGGCCTGCTTCTGTCTGCTTGCATTTAGAGGACCATGAATTCCTATAAGAGGGAACACACACTAGCTAACACTGGGAAACCTTTTTGTGCCATAGCTAAAACAGTTCTTCTTCTACCCACTCAATACAAGAAGCAAAAATTGCAGGCAAAATTTTCTGTGATTTCTGAGAACACATGGAAATGTGGCTGGTGGGATCAGGAGGAAAGGGAAGACTGGACAGGGTCTGGAAAATGTGGCCTTTTGTGCAAAAGACAAGTTAAAATGCACCTGATGAATAATACAAGCTGCACCACATACAGAAAAGATGAGAGCGGCCCACCTGTGTCTGTTGAGGGATATTTACAAAGCTTGGATCCCGTGGTCCAACACTGACGAATCGGTTTGCGGGGGAGGTGCTGGGTGTCGAGTAGGCTGTGAAGGGAAGGGACACATGCGTTCAGGAAGCGGCACGAGATTGCACACACAAACAACACCAAAACACACAGTCTCCGAGCCGACGCAGCTGATTAACAAGGAAATGTGCAAACACTGTAGCTAGCAAAGGGGTCTGGCTAGCAAGGGCATTTCAGACAGTCAAAAAAGGGGGAAGAGGGATTGGCTTCCAAAGACTGTTGGGATAAAATGATGTCAAACTAATGCTCAGACGAGCTATTTTCTCCTTCTACCATACAAATTAGAACATGCAGGACATTTGCAAAGTATACTTTCTGAGTTAAACATGAGCTCTGGAGTCAGAAAGAGATATCCTATTCTTTAGAGCAGAGGGAGAAAGAAATTAGGTAGGAAGGGGAGGAAAGCAGTTCATTTTACAAGCTTGCTTTTCACACCGTTACACTCTTAAAAAATCATGAAATGGTCCTGTGCCTCTACAGCTAGAGATCGAAGAGGAATCTTTATAGAAGGAACTAATGGGTTCTCCAGGAAGGAGATAGAAAACCATTCAGAATAAGCTGTCTTTAGAGGCCCTGTAGTGTCTAGAATCTTTATGATGCACAAAATATGCTTTTCATATTAACATTTGTAGTCTTCCCATCCTAGAACCTTTCTGTTCAGGCATAAACTATCAAGACCCTTTATCAACTAAGATATCACACTGGAACCTCAGGTACCACACTTCAGTTTACTATCCTTTCTTGGTTCATGGAAGTTTTGTTGTTGGTTTTTGTATCTGTACTTAAGAGCTTCTTTCTACTTTAATGGGAAAAAATTCAGTGGCTTTGTTGTTTCACTGGCTCATAAATCCAAAGGTACATTTTGTTTTTTGGTGTCCTTCAATTCACTTCTTTATCATCACCTCCAAGGATTTGTTCACATTCTTCCTCTGTACTAGAATCTTTAGACTGTTACTTAAAAATTTCAAATGTCTTAACAATAATTAAAAAGGCCTAAGGTTTTTAAACTAACTCCAGACACACATCATCTAAGAAACAATCTAGGTTTTTAAGCTAACTCTAGACAAACACCATCTAAGAAACAATCAGGATATGCAACTTTTTAAAACACAGATAATTGAGGGCATGATATCAAATTCCTGCCAGATTTTTTTTTTCCTTATTGACATCATCTGCTCCTCTTACTCTGGCTTTCTGTTTTACAGAAAATTGCTCATACTTCTTGTTTCTCTCATTAAACAAATCTAGGGATAAAATTTCCACCATCTGGCCCAGACCCTGTTGGTTGTCTTTGGTAAGAGCTAAGCCACCCAAACAGATCTGCAATGGTCACATGGATGTGGACATGGCTGTGTTAAAACGGCACTGAACAGAGGCTGAGCATGAGGGTCCCTGATGTCTCTTAAATAAGAAACTTTTTGTGGTAATAGTATTTGTTTTAGGAGGATCTATTCAGTAATGACTTTATTTAAAATGATCTAAATGTATGATATGTCATACTGTCTAGCAATGTAAATCTACTGATTTTGTCTCTAGCCCATGCTATGCCAGACTAATTTGAACAGATTTGAGAAATACCTCTGCCTTTAGCCATTCTGCCTGTACCTCTCACTTACTGGTATGGGGGTAATTTAATTTTTTTAAAAGCTCAGTAAAATAATCTATATTAAGTGTACCATTCACCCCATGGCTTTACTTTGATATGCTTTGAGAAACAGCAACATAAAGTTTTTATATTGAAAAGGAGAGACTATAATTATCTGATAGTGTGTTCCCCTGCTCTTAGAGCACAAAGAGGATGTGGGAGGGATAAAGAGGAAGCTAGGAGGTGAAATAACCTGTTGAACCTGTTAGTGGTTAGGGAAAAAAGTGTTCTTTCACACATGAATAGGTAGGTAGGTTGAGAAGGAACAAAAAGGAATGAAGGGTATATTAAGGTATGAAGTCTATGAGTGATTGATGACAGACGCTGAAACGTGAGTCCATGTTTGATGGCCCTGATAGAACAGTGTGCACTCGCCTGCTGCTCATCATAGACACATAGCAGGATTTCCTATGACATTCTTACCATACTGGGGACATCCAAAACAAGCATGCTAACTGATCCCAACACAGAAGCCATTCTGGGGGTTGAGGGGGGGGTGTCATTTTTTGTGAAGATAGCTTCACTATAGCAAGCTTGCTAAATCTGGAAAGGTATTTATATTATATCCCATCACCTATTTTTGCTTAACCTCAATTTCTCCATTTGAAAGATTTAGCATGCAAATACTTTAGCTACACAAAATTTCTATGAGGCCAACAATCAGATATTTTCTCTTCTTCAATCATGGGACAAAACTTGCAGTCTTAGTTTCAGAACATCCCAGAAGGCCTTTCATGCTATCAAAGCCTACCAGAGCTTCTAGAAATTTGATTCTAGTTCTTTAAGAAAAAGAACAATGGTAAGAGAGGTGCTAGGGGGTTTGCATTTATATATATATATATTCATATATATTCATATATAACAGCTACAAAAGTCTACTAGTCTTTGAGTACTCAAGTGAAAGAATGGGACAAATGGTGCCCAGGCAAGTTTATTCCATAGAAAGCTAGCTTCTGGGAAAAGGACACAGGGAAAATAAAGGAAGGAAGAAAGAAATTCTGACTCATCTTCCATTATTCTAGCAGGGCAGTTACCTATAACAGGATATAGTCCCAAAAATGATATAACATAAGTTGAATTTGATTTTCCTACAGAAACAATTGGATAAGGGAATTACACTGTTGAATAAAACCTTAATTGAAACTTTTTGTTAAAACAACCACATTTACCATAGTGAATCAATTATACATGCACAGTTAAGAGCTTACAATGTGAATATAAAATCAAGCAAAGGGGCAATAAGGTAATTAATTACATACAACTGTGTATACTATGATATTATATCATATTCATATCTTTCTTAATTACAATTCTTGCCTTATTTACAACAGCAATAATCAAAGCTGTAGGTAGAACTATGAAAAATAATAAAATCCAGAAAATAGTTTTCTGGGGAGATTATTGTAGGACATTTTTGGGCATTCTGGAGGGGAGGTTCAGAAGTACTTGATGACTTACTGATAAAGTCAACAGGGAAACCAACTTGGCTACCTAATCTTATTATAAGAATCCTTATGGCAAACATGACTATTAGAAATCAAATCATTGATTATTTGGCTGCTTCTGAAACAGAAAGTGTTTGCTTTTTTTTTTTTTAGCAGCCATTTTACCTATATTAGCAATAGCGCTATGAACCATTTTCCTAACATTGAAGAATGTTCCTATAAGAAGCTTCTGGCCAGATCTCATTTGCACTAATCTGACCATATTTTCTCTCTCTCTCTAATGTATTTCTTCACATTATCCAAGAGTCTTAGTTTGGCCTGCACTACAGCAGTAAGTTTCAAAATCCCAAACCAGAATTTGATCCCATATCCAGAAAATTTGCATTCTTTCTGTGTTACCCCCTTATGGTAGGCATTGCTAATTATATAATCCTTCACTTAGACAATACCGGTCCTGCCTCCCTAAGATCAGTCGGGGAATGGCTCAAGAACAGTTCTCTCTTTATGAACAATAGTTTGACAGGGCCTCTGAGGATGCTAGGAATTATCTCTAGGGGCACTGTGGGGTACATGGACATGAGGGAGTGGGGTGGAGAGGGTTAGTAGGGGAATCATCCATCAGTACTGCTCTTTTTTTTTTTTTTTTTAAATAGAGACGGGGGTCTCGCCATGTTGCTCAGGCTGGTCTCAAACTCTTGGGCTCAGGCAATCCTCTCGCCTCGGCCTCCCAAGGTGCTGGGACCAAGCACTGCTGTTTATCATGGCGGATGTCCCTGAGAGGACTGAACGGCCTCTACGTCCTCAGAAATGAATGTGGCTTACTGACTGCTAGCCAAACAAATTCCAGTTTTTGTTGTTCCTGTGGTAGGTTTCCTTTTTTCTTTTTCCAAATGGGAAGGTATAAGGGATATATCTGCAAAAACGAACCATGGCATTTCCAGATGAATTAGTTTTGAGTTTGTAATAGCCTTCACTCAACCATTATACCTGAACATGGTGTTGAAAACGTGGTCAAACTGATTTGAGTGGAGATGCTTTCAGCTTGTCTTTGGAAAAAATATGACTGAAGAAGAAGATATTAAGATATTAAAATATTCATGCCAACGTCAGTTGAGGTTTCTTTATTTTTTTGAGATGGAGTCTGGCTCTGTCGCCCAGGCTGGAGTGCAGTGGCAGGAACACAGCTTACTGAAGCCTTGACCTCTTGAGCTCAAATGATTCTTGTATTTCAACTTCCTGAGTAGCTGGGACTACAGACACGTGCCATCATGCCCTTCTAATTTTTAAAATTATTTGTGGAGATGAGGTCTCCCTATGTTGCCCAGGCTGGTCTCAAACTCCTAGGCTCAAGTGATCCTCCCACTTTGGCCTCCCAAAGTGCTGGGATTACAGGCGTGAGCCACCACACTCAGCCAGTTGATGTTTCTTTAAGATAAAAATAATATTAATAAAATTCCCCAAATCTGACAAACTAGAAAATGTGAGTTCACATTGGTTTGTTTTGAAAGCAGGCAGTTAGTTTCAAGGTTTAGTTCAAATTTAGCAATCACTAAAATACATGTAATCACAGAAAGGCAGAAAAGGGAGAAAATTTAGCCAGATTTCTTCCGTGTAAAGGGTAAACCTGAAAGGGGAGCTGCTCTTTGAACAAACACCCCTCCATATACCCACAGGGTGCCCAGAAGGAGGCTAAGTGGCTGGTTTCACCTGAGGCTGACCTACTTGAGTGACAGCCAGCTCCTCTGGCCGCAGCTAGGAGGAAAATGTGAGGCACCTTGGCAGAAAAGATACGGCAGGGTGAGCTTTGAGGTTCTGAATTTACTTCCAGATGCAGGAAGCGATGAGGTACCCTAAACCCTGGCAGCCTGGCCTACAAACCGACATGAAGTTTGAAGAGAAACTGGTCTTCTGTTTTATCAAATACTCCAAATATACGGAAGTAGCAAACATTCACCCCCTCTTCATTCCCTTAAACTCGATCTACCAAGTCTAGCTTCCGCAGTGCATCATAGAGACATTTTAATAGATTCATTTTTTTTCTCTCTCTCCAAGAGATATTTCAACACTTGCTACGTGCCAGGCTCTGTACTGAGCACTATGGAGGATGCAAAGGCGAGTGAGACACGCTGCTATCCCCAACATGTTACAGCCTAATGGGGAGAGATAAGTACAGAGGATGGAAACATGAGTGCCTAAAAAGTAATATAAATAAAACTCTGCAGGGTGTAAAGGACAGAAAAGTGACACTGGCAGGAGGAACAGGACAAGCCTTACAGGGGAGATGGAGCGGGCCTCTGGGATGGGCTGTGAAAGATGTGTTGGTTGACAGGTTCCAGTGGACTGAGGCCACCAAGGGCACAGCACAATTGGAGGAACAGAGGCAGGGAACGGAGCTGGCAATTGTGGAGGGAAAGGAGAAGATAGAGAAATTGCAAATTACGTTTTGCCATACAGCAAGGAAAGGTAGTATTTTAAGGATCAGGGATCTAAATGTTTGAAAATGACGGGCAAGAAGCCTGTTGAATTTATTTTAAGAGGAGGAAATAATTTACAAAATAAACAGACACCAAATTTCAATTCTAAACACTGTTAAGGCAACTAGACATTCTTCCACTCTAAACCTTTCCCTTCTCATCTCAAATATCAAGATGCACCTTCATGTGTTCCCTCGTTTTCAGAAACTCAGACATATTCATGTGTGGGAGTCTCCCTCTAAAGCTAGTCGAAAATTCAATTTTATTCAAAATAGGCTTACTATATGATTCTACTACCTGCTCAAAATTTGCCAGTTATTAGACAAAAGTAATCAAAACAAGTTCAGGAATATAGACTTAAACAGAACCCTGGGTATTCAAATTGCAATTTTATTAAATGTTTATCAGTGACTCCTGGCAGTAAAGGAAACGTGCCTAAGAAGCATTCAGTTGCAAACTGAAACAAGGAGGTGGCTAAATACCTCATTGAAATAATGTCCCGAATCTTTTAACTGCACTGTCATGCTATTTAAAAAAAAAAAAGGTCCTGTGAGAAAACTTTCATTTCTAAAAATAATGCAGAAACTGTTAGAAAATATATCGGCTAATTTCTATATGAAACCATTACAACTGAACTCACTTAAAAATTTGAACAGCACTATTTCTTACAAGGTCACAAAAGAAATGCTAGAAAGTATTGGAGTGTTTCTCCTTCAAAGAAATCAATTGGTATCGACAAGTTTACAGGGCCTGGGTTAGTATTAGTAATATTATTAGATAGCTAGAGAAACAGCCTTTTAAAAATCTACAGGCCTTACTTACACATGATCCAATATTCAGAGATTTAGAAACCCCCACATGATGGAATGGATGTTGTAGTTTTTATCCAGATGTTTAGCATCTAGAGGATAACTACGCCGAATTTCTATTATTCTGATCACATCTGTACAGCTACCTCGTCCTATTATTTCTGCAAATCTTTTGTCTCTACAAACAAGTTACCAACAGCAACAACAAAAACTCACAACCCTCAGGGCACAGAATAAAAGCCTCCTTATCGCTAGTAATTACAGAACAACATACCCACAAGCTTCCTTCCTGAAAAGCTAATGAATTCTAACTTAAATATATTAGCAATGCTTAACGTGTATGCTAACTATTTGCATGGCATGTCTAAGGTGCCAAGAAGTCACAAAAACCATGAAAAGAAATAGTCTGGCCAGATGGCTTTGCTCTGTTAGTATTTCTGTTTGTATTAAGGATCCTAAGGGCAGTAGGAGGTCAAGCTATATCAGAATTTGGGGTAAAAAGTATAGAAAGGGAGGTGCAAGAGAATTCATGTTATAATGTGCACACAGAGAGGAGACCAGAGTAACCCTTCAACTGGAGACGCTTTGACCTTATGTTACCAAAATCTGTGCAAGAAGAAGGCACTTTACAATGAGTGCAGTGAGTGTTTCCTGTAGCCAATCTTTTGTTTTAGAGACAGGGTCTTATTCTGTCACCCAGGCTGGAGTGGAGTGCAGTGATGTCATCATAGCTCATTGCAGCAAGTGATCTTCCCACCTCAGCTTTTCCGGTAGTTAGGACTACAAGCACGTGCCAAGGTGCCCAGCTAATTTTTTTACTTTTATTTTTTGTAGAAGTAGGGGTCTCACTATGTTGCTCAGGCTGGTTTGGAACTCCTGGTTTCAAGCAATCTTCCTGCGATGGCCTCCCAAAGTGCTGGGATTACAGGGGCAAACCACTACACCTGGCCCACAGTCTGTCTGTCTGAACTGCCTGTAACATTCTTTCTCATAATAGTTTTTAAAGGCTAAGAATACAACTTTGTTTCAGTTCATTTAAATTTACTTCTGATGGCTGATCCAAATTTTATGACTGTCATTTATTTTTATGTGTATGCTGTGTGTTGCTCAATTGACAGAAAATGTTTATTGATCAGAAGCAACCATGTATATGGGTAGGGACAGGTGAAAGTTATATTAAATAGCCACAGGGAATAAACCCTGGATTCAGCTGGAGTTTGCTAAAAAAAGAAACTTAGATCAATATATTGGATTGCTCCCTCTTGAAAGACTTCTGCAGCCTCTCAAAAGGCAGTGCAACTCTGGAATCTACTTCAGGAATTTATCCTCCACAAATACTAATAATACAGATAAAGGTTTATGCTACAAGATGTTCATTACATCATTACTTATAAGAGCAACAAATTGGAACCAACTTATAAGTTAATGCTTCATCCATACATTGGAATATTTTGCAGCCATTAATAATATCTTAAAATAATAATGTAATGTGCTTATAAGACAAAATAAGAATCATTTACAAAACTGTATAATACACACATATATCATGATCAATTATGATTAAAATATGCACAGAAAATGACTGGGAAATATGCACAGAGAGTGATTGTCTTTGAAGACTGGGATTATGGATGATTTTTTTTTTCTTTTTTGAGATGGGTCTTGCTCTGTTGCCCAGGCTAGAGTGCAGTGGCTTTAACATGGCTCACTGCAGCCTTGACCTGCTGGGCTCAAGTGATCCTCCTGCCTCAGCCTACCGAGTAGCTGGGACCACAGGTGTGTGCCACATGCCTGGAAATTTTTATTTTTTGTAGAGACACTGTCTCATTATGTTGCCCAGGCTGGTCTTGAACTCCTGGGCTCAAGCCATCTTCCTGTCTCAGCCTCCCAATGTGCTGGGATTACAGGTGTGTGCCATGACACCCAGCCGGATTATGGATGATTTTTAAATAACTTCCAGTAATTTTTAATCTTAAATAAAACACAAATGGAACCTAAAAATCTCAAATAATACTTTTTTTGGAGACAGTGCAACATAGTAAATAGAAAATAAATTTTAAAAACCAGCAAATCCTGGATTGAATTCATTAGATCTCTTATTAGAAATGTGATCTTGGCAAGCCAGTTAACCTCTCTGAACTTCTCTATATAGAGTCCAGTATAATGGACATTACTCCAATCTCCCAGCCCTTTAACTAAGGCTTTACCCCTCTGTGATATCCAACAGGTCACTCTCTTCACAGGAACAGTCCAAAGGGTGATCCCTATGGAGAGGCTTTGCAAATAGGATGGGAAATCCCTAAAATTCCAATTTTAATATAATTGATACAAGTAAAGAAAAACACTAAAATCATTTCATCAGGGACTACTGATTCCAATATCTGATAAGGGACATTATATCCCCAACACATTTGCCTTCCAACAATTAAAAAAGATAACACCCAAACTTCTCAAGGGTTAATGTTATGATCATACTCGTACACAATTTGAAAAGGTGTAAATTGGCACAACCTTTCTGAAAGCAATGAAGTAATGTGTATCAAGAGGAATGTTCATACTGTTTGTATTAGCAATTCCAATTCTAGAAACATATCCTAAAAAAATTATTAGAGTTGGGGACAAAAATACATGTCTAAGGATATGCTGGAGCATACTCCATAGGTTAGAAGAAAAGTTTATGTCCTATAGTAAGAATATAGGTAAAAATTATTTAAAATCCTATTTCTTAACTTTTTTTTGAGTACGAAAAGGCATAAAATGTGAATTAATGGCATACTAGATATTATATTCAGTATGGTCACAATCATCTTATATGTGTATACACACACACACACACACACACACAAAGATGAGGAAACAAAACCAAAATGTTAATAGTTGATAATGGGAGAATATAATTTTCTTTTTTATGCTTTTCTATATTTTGCAAATTTCCTAAAATGCCATATATTATCTTTATAAAGAAAGACTTAAACTCATCTGTCATCTGAAATAATAAAAAACTAAGGTGAACACAAGAGTTGACTGGGTTATGACGACCCAAATGAATGGAATCATCCAATGTTCTGTTCTTTTTCCTATTCCTTCTTTGTAATGCTTATCTCTTAATCTTTTTCCTGCTTTGGTTTCCATGTTTTTCATCTATTTCAATGTACCCAGGATGGTGTTATTCTTGACGTAATGTAAAAGATTTTTAATGGGGTGTTTTAAGATTTTCAAAGGAAAGCTGCATGATATTACACCTCTAAACATAGTATGTGTCCTGGTAGAGTAGAAAACACTGGGCTTTGGAGTCCAGCAGACTGGGATCTGAACCTTTGCTCCGTTTCATCTTCTTTAAAAGGGGCTAATAATTCCAATTGTGCAGATTTATAATAACAAATGCAACTAAGGTAATGCATATGAAAATACCTATCAAAATGCTTGATTTTTAATAATTCTTTTTCTTTTCATTTAAAAAATTTAAACACCAAAATATTAGACTACACAAAATTAAAATACTCTAAAAAGTATTTATAACCAATTATGTTATAAGATAGTACAAGTACATTTATATTTAATGGGTTCGTAAGGCAGAACCTGCAACCAACTAATAGCTACTGTGAATGAAAATGCTCACCTTACACTGAACCCCATGCTCTCTGTGAGGGGGAAAAGAGTATTATTTTTTACTAGAAAAATCACACATTTTTGGAATCACTCCAAAAGTTCAGGTTAGTACAGCTAAAAGCTAGATGTATAAAAATTGCCAAGGATTTTATGAACTCCCCCATGTGTGAGTATGTGGTTTTGATCACTGTCATCATTTTAGTATAAACAAGATTATTAGATCACTAGACAAATATTTTTAAGAATAAAGAAATCATAATATTTGATATAAAAGGAGGACTGAAAACTTAGCAATATCTTTCTCACTGGATAAGGCACCAAAAAGTTGTCTGCCAACAACCTTGCCCCTTTCCCTGGAGTAAACCACTATTAGTTTCTATCCTTCCACATACAGTCTGATACGTACATGCATCCCCTCTCCCATGCAGCATTCCATACATATTTCTTAGCACTCTCCTTTGCTGAATTAATGTAACAATATAACTCAAGGATTAGTCCATGAATTCATGGAGACAGACCTATCTTTTTATTTTTAAAGAGCTCCTAATGTACAATACTCAGTTGGTAGGTATTTCAGTTATTACCAGTCTCTTATTGTAATCAATGTTGCAATCAATACTTTATGTACATTTTTGTTCATATGCCCTAGCCATGTATGCACGGCTTACATGTAAAATTTATATATGTACTAATATAGGTACAAAATGTAAACATGTTTTTGTGTTATAAACTTTATCACACACATTTACATTTTATATATATAAAAAACTAAAATGTCCTCTGTAGAGGTTGAACCAATTTACAGTCCTTTAGTAGCACAAGAGAATGTCTGTTTTCCACATGCTTACCAATATTGTGTTAAGACACCTTTTGATCTTTGCTAATCTAATAGGTAAAAATATCACTCAAGTTTTAATCAGTATTGCTCTCATGATACATGAATGAGATGTCTTTCAAATGTTTTCCTTTTCTGTTTATATCCCTTTCTTGTCTTTCTATTGGATTGTTGGTCTTTCTCTTACTAACTTTTAAAAATAATTTATATGTTAGATAATTTAGCCCTGTCACGTCTGTTACAATTTTTTTTCTATCTTTTGTGTTTTGACTTTGTTCATGGTGTTTTTTCCATGCATAAATTTTGGATACTTTCCTTTCATGGATGCTGGTTTTTTGGCATTATTTAGAAAGCCCTTCTTTACTCCAATAGTATAAAAATTTGCCCTGTATTTTCTTGTGCTATTTTATGGCTTAATATTATATTTTTGATTCCGGCTGAAATTTGTTTTGATGTAAGAAACATTATTTTTTCCAGACTGTCCCAATATACTTTACTCACTAACCCCTTTTGCTTCTCTAATATAAAATGCCACTCTTATCATAGATTAAAATACTGTACGTATTTAAGTCTCTTTCATAATCTCTCAATTTTTGAAACATAATGGGATAGCAGCAGCACTGGTAGAGGAATTAAAATCAACATGGAAATCAAGCAAAGTAAAATAAGTTCCCTGGCACTAAGTGACATCAGACTTTAAACTAAGAGTAGGTGAGAACAATGAAAGAGTTTGGGGATTGTTCCGTATCTTGTCTGTGGTATTGGTTACAAGAATGTTATTAACATTCACAGAGCTGTACACTAAAGAGTGAATTTTATTGAATGTAAAATTTTAAAATTAAGAAAAAGAACAGTAACATAGTCCAGGCGTCACTAATGAAAAAAAACAGTTCCGCGAATGGAAGCCACTAACTCCTTTTTTTTCATTCTTTCTTAAAATCTACTGCTTCTTCTCTGACAGAGGAAACACAGTCCTTATATTTCCCCTCAAACTTTCTGCTCTCTTCCTTTACCTGCTAATAAGATGCACTCTCTGGAACAGAAACCAATTCATACTTAAGTATAAACAACTACTAACATCTTCCTCTGTATTTCTCCCATTGGGTTTTCACTGAAAAAAAAAAACAAAACAAAAAACCAAAAAACCAAGAAGCTTTGGGCTAAAGCAAAGATCCTCATGCTACAGCCAAGCCTATGAGCTCTAGGTTGAAGGTGAATTGGATGGAAATTATGACTCTAGCATCCTGGCTGAATGACCTTGAGAAAGTTACTTTATCTTTCCATACCTTGTCTTTCTCAATCTGGCTAACAAGAGAATTTATTTCATAGGATTATTCTGAGGATGAAGTAAGATAATACATATATAAAAACATTTTGTGAAGTGGGCTGGGCACAGTGGCTAATGCCTATAATCCCAACACTTTGGGAGGCCGAGGCAGGTGGACCGCTTGAGGCCAGGAGTTTGAGACTAGCCTGGCCAACATGACGAAACCCTGTCTTAACTAAAAATACAAAAATTAGCTGGAAGTGGTGGTGCGCACCTGTCATCCCAGCTACTCAGGAGGCTGAGGCATGAGAATCACTTGAACCAGAAAGATGGAGATTGCAGTGAGCTGAGATTGCGCCACTGCACTCCAGCCTGGGTGACAGAACAAGACTCTGTTGCAGAAAGACAAACAAACAAAAAAACAAAAAAACAATTTGTGAAGTGCCTGACACATCTGTAAAAGTAAAATACTTGGGCCAGGCACAGTGGCTCATGCCTGTAATCCCAGCACTTTGGGAGGTTGAGGCGGGTGGATCACAAGGTCAGGAGTTCGAGACCAGCCTGGCCAATATGGCGAAACCCTGTCTCCACTAAAAAATACAAAAATTAGCCAGGTGTGGTGGTGGGTGCCTGCAGTCCCAGCTACTCAGGAGGCTGAGGCAGGAGAATCGCTTGAACCCAGGAGGTGGAGGTTGCAGTGAGCTGAGATAATGCCACTGCACTCCAGCCTGGGTGACCAAGCGAGACACCATCTCAAAAAAAAAAAAAAAAAAAAAAAAAAAAAGCAAAATACTTTGTTGTTGTTAATTTCTGACAGTAGCAGACAGCTGTGGTTCCCCCCAGAATCAGAAATCTAGTGACATTGTTTGTAATTTGTTCAGTTACAGTATGAGGTAGTAGAAAGAGCATGGAAAGGCCTGTATTTGACTCCCTACCAAACTAACCTGGGAATGTAACCTCCATCTTCCAATCTCAGTTTCCTTGCCTATGAAATCCTGACCTCATAGGAGTGTTGAGAAGATGGGATAAGATAATACATATGTAAAAAGAGCTTTGTTAACCAAAAAGCATTGAACACATGTTAATTATTATACGAGAAATTTTAAATCCCAGTCATAGATTATTGTTAGGTTCTTGGCTAACGAATTCATATTCATTTGTATAATGAATATATACAAGATTCATCAAAGATATAAAAATAAATAATAAAGGTAACTTATTATATGCTTCTATTTTAATAGAATTCTAGTTGAAAAAATTCAAAGTTCATAGTGAAGAAGGCATGGAGAAACATATTGATAGGTCTTTCATGCATTTTTAAATTGAGTTTTTGTGTTCCTACTTAATTAAAAAAATATGCATGTTTTATCTTCCATCATAATTCAAAAGTGTTTTTTCTCTTTCTATTATATCTCTAGATTATGATGCCAATCTTCATTTTTTTCTGGAAAAGTCCATTTTTATAGTATATTGATTCCAATCTACAATATAAAAATTGGAACTTAAAGTACAGTTACCAGAAAGAATTGTGTATTTTGAATTACCACAGCACAAACAGACCCAAACATAATGAAAGCTTTGTCCCATGCCAGAGCTGTTCTCAGGACTCTTAGGTCTATTCATTCATTGTACTACATGTTCAAAAAGGAGTCCCTTCTCAATTTAATGAGATGATACACACAGAAAAACCCAGTCACCTGCAAAGAGCTGTGAAAGGCAGCTTATTATGATAAGTCCAGCAGTAAGATGTCTAATAGGCATCTCAAACATAATTTGGTCAAACCGAACTTCTGATCTCCACCCCTCACCCAGAGATGCCCCTCCTGTGGTCTTCCCATCTCAGCTGCTGGCAACTCTATCCTAGTTGCTCAGGTCATAAACACAGGCATCATCACCAATTCTTCTCAACCCACATCTAATGTGTCAGCAAATCTTGCCAGCTCTACCTTTCAAATATACCTGGAACCCGCTTACTTCTCATCACCCCTATTGCTCCCACGTTGGTGCAGGTCATTAGCAACTCTTGCCTGGAAGATTGCAATAAGTGCCCCTCCCTATCAACCCTGCTTGTTTTAGTTTTCTCCATTGTACTTACTGGTCCTTAACTCGCTAATTTACTTATATTTTAATTATTGTTTATCCCCTTCCACTAAAATGTAATCTCCACCAGGGCAAGGGATTTTTGTCTGTTTTGTTCACTTTTATATCCCTTATACCTAGAATGCTGGCTGGCATGTAGAAGACGCTCATTTTATTTATTGGAAAAATCCAGCTTTTTAACTCCCTGCTTTAATTCTTTAATTCTTGCTCCTGACAATCTATTTTCAACAAAACCTTCAGGATGTATCTATTAAAATCTAGGTGGCATTACCTCTCTGCCCCATCTCACTCAGGGTAAATGCTGAAGTCCTTATAAGAGCCTATAAGAACCGGTGTAATTTACATCCCCAAGGTCCCAAATGCATCCTCACTCCACTCTGACCTCACCCCCTTGCTTTCATTCCCTGATCTCACCACATTGGTCTGCCTTTCTACTGGCTGGTTCTTCTGCTTGGAAACCTCTCCTCCTACTGCATCCTTGCTCACCCTCTCGTCTTTGTCCAGACTTTGTTCAAATTTGCCCTTCGCAAGTAGCCCTCCTCTGATCACCCTGCTTAGAGCTGCATCCCTCCCCTCTCGGCTTGATTTCCCTATGTAGCACTTACATATCACCATCTTATATCCTACGTACCTTTCGTACTCACTATTTTGTTCACTGTCTTTCTTCCCTCTCTAGAATCAAAGTTCCATAAGGCCAGGGATTCCCTGCTGAATCCTAGCACCAAGAAGAGTGCTTGGCACACAGCTGATGCTCAATAAACATTTATTGAATAAATGAAAGAAGTGGTCCTTTTTCAGTAGGTATCAAAACCCACACAGGTAGTTAATCTGTGGGAATGGAGCACATTGGTTGTGAAATGCTCTTACAGGTTATGCTTCCATTTGTCATAGTATCCTAAAGAGACCTGGCACAGTCTATCAATCTTTCTCCAAACAAATCAAGATTATAAAAATTATTCTTGCCCCACCCCCACTTCCCTACTTCTTAGGGCGCTGGTAAGGATTTTTCCCATTAAAATGTATTTATTTCACAGGATTTTTTTTCCCCCACATCTGCCTTCCCCCTGCTTTTCTGGCCACAGCTGCAAAGTTTAGTATTAGTGCCAGAGGCAACTGATTAGTTAAAAAATACATACTCTGCTCCAGGCTGGCATCCATTTGTATTTCATTATAAGAAGATATTAAAAATGATGCCTTGGACTTTTAACCGTCTACAGCACAGCACATCTGTTACTCCTGTTTGTTCTGATAATCTGACTACGAGAGTGAGTAGAGCAGTTAGTGTTATTCCATCAATACATAAGGGAGTTGAGGTCTAGAAAAGCTGATAATACAGAAGACACTTGGCATATTTTCCTACTTTTATTTTTATTTATTTTTATATATATTTTTTGAAACAGGGTCTCGCTCTGTCACCCAGGCTGGAATGCAGTGGCGTGATCTTGGTTCACTGCAGCCTCAAGCTCCTAGGCTCAAGCATTTTTCCTGCCTCAGCCTCCCAAGTAGCTGAAACTACGGGTGCACGCCACCACACCCAGCTAATTTTTGTATTTTTTGTAGAGATGGGGTTTCACCACATTGCCCAGGCTGGTCTCGAACTCCTGAGCTCAAGCAATCTGCCCCGCCTCCTAGGCCTCCCAAAGTGCTGGGTCTACAGGTGTGAGCCACGAAGCCCAGTCCCTATATTTATTTTTAGAATTGTATTTTATTGCAAGTCATCTCAAACTCCTAAATAGAAAAGGCTGTTTTACATCATACAGTTTACATTTTTGAGAACAGCCTCCATTTCAGACATCAAACTGTTGGGATGCTGAGCACATGTACTGAATACCCTGTCATGATGCTCCTTCTTGCTAAAGTTGAGCTCTCATAAGCTGACAAGATAAACAGAATCCACTCAACCTGTGTGTTTAATTTCTAAGAAAGCACCTGATTTCTGAAACTATAGTTTTGCCCTACATTTTTATCTAGTGGTAATCCAATTTTAGGCCCCCAGCTGGTTTCAGAAGAAAAGTTCTATCTTCTCTTAAGACACCAGGATGTCATCCCTACTGAATAGCTTAGAAGTCAACTCCTCTAAAATACCTTTACCTGGAGGCCCACACTGGACCAAACTCCCTCCCATGTCTTCACATGGCACCTATACACACCTTTATCCCGGTGTCATCCTGTGTAAACTGCCTGTTTACCTTTCCCTCAATAGATCCCCATTTCTTGAGAGCAGGGATCCATCATCTCTGAATCCCACACACTAACACAGCCATGCCGTGTCACAGATGCCTGATAGGTGCAGGCTGAATAAATGAATGAAAAAGGCAGTCATCAAAGATGAATGTTAAGGGAGGGAGAAGCTACTTCACTCCTGATATTTATTCCCTTCCATCTACTCTTGGCTTCTCTCCACCCTCTCACCTGTTACTCTCTAGGTTGTAAGGGCTTCAAAGGAAAAACTGGACATGACTAGTCCCTACCACCCCACCCTGTCTCTTCCTCTTCGGGGACAGGTGCTGGTGGGAAGCACACTGCCACCCGCACCTTCATGCCATCAGCTTTACAGGCTAGGGCGGACCATATGTAGGAAGGGCTGCTGTGGTCTAGTCCTGCCAGCGACCTGGTAGCTATGACGATGTAATTGGGGGTTCAGTGTTAGGAAGTGCCCTGCCCACAGTTATAAACTAAATTCTCTCATAATAAAGGTGATATTTTGTCTTCTGATTTAAAAAAATATTTTATTTATCAATTGGTTTAGAAATCAGGGCATGGGAGACGATATTTTAAAATGAGGGCCCTTAAATCCCCTCCAAATAAGGATGAGTGGGCTTCAAGATTTTTAATTTGAAAGGCTTCTCCTACGCTATAAATTACAGCTCTCCCAGCCTAACACCATCTTGTTAAGAAAGCAGAAAATGGTAAGCAATAGTATGCTGTGAAACTACATATTACTATGAATTCATCATACCCTAGAAAAGCCTTTAGCTGAACAAGGGCTAAAATGAATGATGATAAAAACCTTTCTGTGTCATCGGTAGAACATTTTGTTTTGTCTATATTTCTAGAATCCCATGATTCAAAAAGTAAGTATCAAATTATCTGTATCAAGCTCTGGGACTCTTTCTCCTGATATTCTCTCACCCCCACCCCACCCCAAATCTTAAGTGCTGCTCTAACATGCAACCATATGAGTTGGATCTGCCAAGACTCCTTCTGCCCTTTGCCCCTTAGTGCTGACAAGATGCTTGAGGCTGGGCACAAGAGGATGATAGGTATCATCTTATACATAGCACTTGGTTCAATCCACGGAGTGGAGTCTAGAACTGTGGACCCAAAGGCATCAACTCAATTTAGGGGTTGAGTAGCTTCTCCAAGTCCTACAGATATATTTTACCATTACCCAAGCCTGGAGTCTTCCACTATGTAAGAGTTTGGGCAGATAATAAAATACTCCAATGATCAGAACTGATCTCACAACAAACATGCCAGGTAGATATTATCATCTACATTTTATAGAAGAGGAAATTGATTCAAAGAGAAACACAGTTAGTAATTTGAAAGGTGGGCATTTGAGCCCCCATCCTTTAGACTTGAACAGCCACACATTACTATTTCCACTCTTCTGCTGTGCCTCAGCAGAGCCTCATTCCCGTTACTGAAAAACTCATTAGGACACACGAGCCATTGAGAGTGGAGGTGAGGATCTGTTTCCACGGAATTGATTGCATATTACTATGCAGCTTTTAAAAGACTGTGGCAATGTCCTGCACAGACAGAGAGAAGACGAGCAGAAAATGGTATGCAGAGGCATGGACAGGGCACAGTAGGCATAATCTGTAAGCCAACATCCTCAAGGAACAGATGTAAGTAGAGTCTGGGGCAGTTATTTCTCTGACTTGTTTAAAGATGTTACATAAATACACAACGAGCAGGGCACTTATTGTGTATTTATGTGACATCTTTGAACAAGCCTCAAACCTCTGAGAAGCAGAGGCTTTCCTTCTAAGCTGAGCTTCTAAGATCCATGGGCCAAGCCCAGCTTGCTTCTCTGTCATTGGACACTGAGGGTTTTCTCCTTTGTTGACAAGTGTTGAATCACCTCTTACCAAGAGAAGTAGGTCTTCCCTAGATTGCCCCTGAACCTTCAATCTTTTGGCTATTGATACAGAATCTATGCACAGTGCTGCTCATTTCTGCATATATTATCAAAATGCATAAATACTGGATAACCCAAAGCTCACTCTCTGATGTGTCCATGAGGGCCTCTAGCCATCTGGATTCCGTGCCCCCAGAATCAAATTCTATGAACATGGCATAAACAGGGGCTCAGTTTTCTTCTTTGTCTCTTTCCCTCCTGTATTCACTATCATTATTATTCCAATACTGAAGGTAAGGAAGCTGAGAGGCCTAGAATCTTCATTCACCGCATTCATCCAGAGGACTGTCCAATCCCGATGCTTATGTCTACAAAACACTCCCCACCATGTCCCGTTCCATTCTACACCTATTACTGTGGTTCAAGTTCTTGGCCTTAACACTCCTTTCCTATGCTGCTCTTACATCCTTTCCTCTGTAGATTCCTTGCCTCAGTCTCACTTCTTTTGACAACCCCCTTGAAGGCTTTCCTTAGGGTCACACTGCCACAGCTCCTATCCTTCTCTTATACTTTGCTGCCTCTTTACAGCTTTAGGGAAGGTGCTCATCACACCATCTATCAAGGCTAGGGCATCCATCACCTAGGAACTCCAGCCATCACTCTTTTTGTCATTATTCCAGGCACTAATAAAAGGCACATTTGTGCATTCAAACTATTTCTATCCCCTTGCCATATCTAAAACATCAGGGAATATCTGGAGAATTACTCTCTCTCTAGTTCAAGTAATCATTCCCATCATCTAAAAGGGTTGTGAAATCTTATATTCTTTGATTAAATGTTCTCAGACTGTTCAGAGAAGAGCCAAGACTTCTCTCCTCCTTCCATCCTACTCTCCCCTCTATCTCCGTACCCCAGCCCCTACCCCAACCTCTGCCAAACCTCACCATGCGACTGCCAGGGCTACTAGCATTGATCTTCTGCCAGGCTCTTACTCTCAGCGAATGGTCAGTGTACACACCTTTGAGTTGGTGCTTTGATCTAGACATTTTCTCCTATTTGATGTATGAGGTATATAACTTTCAAGTGCATTTCTCTTAGACTGCAAGTTCCTGGAAGGCAGGGCTGTCTGTAAGAATGAGGAACTTTTTCTAAGCAGAATCCATGTAAGTAGCTGCTGCTTGATGATGGGAATAGCATTTGAAATCCCTCAAATAATATACAAAATGTAATAGCTCATAACTTGACTTCAGTCCTAGGTATGTAGCTACACCATCTCATCCACCCAACACCCAGTGTTTTCCTCATCTGGTGGAGTACCCAAGAGTCATGTTCACTTTGATTCTCGGTCTGGCAAACTCATGCTACAACATCACTGGGGATCTGTGCCTCTTTCTAGAGCCTATACAGTGAGGGACAAAGCCTAAGTGTGGATTCCAGTGCATACAGCTTTAGAAGTGACCGGCGCCTTGTCGCAGCCATACTTACTTGGTGACGTGGGGGAGGCTGCACCTCCTTCTGTTGACGTGGTTGGAGGCTTTGTGTCTGGCACCGGCAGAGGCACAGGCCTGGCCATCGGTGGTGGCGGTGGCGGTGGCAACATTGGGGTGGGAAGGAATGGGTTGTGCACCTTGCCTTGGCTGCTCCCATTGGGCTGTGGGGGGGGGGGGGGCAGAAAACACACGTACAAGAAAAAGAAGAAAGAGACAGCAACCATTAGCTGCTTCTGAAAACAAAATATTCATCAGGCACCTTTAATGTAAATTACTAAGTATCTAGCTGCTTCAATTCTTCCATAAGCCCATACGGAAATGTCCATTGTTGGGTTCTGTTCTTAAGGCATTTCACAAAAGTACTCTTAGCCACATGTGCTCCATGCATCCTAAACTTATCTCTTGAACTACATTGTCCTTCTTTGCATCTGGTTTCATAAAATCACCTGCCAATTATCACTTTGGATTTGTCCCCTGAGTAACCAACTTTTGCTTGGAATCTTTTGTATTTTTCTGTATTAACTGCTACCTTCATTATCTTTCTCATGATTATTAAATATTTAATATCTAAGTGTTTTATGGACTGTGGCATTATTCCACTATGTTTCTTTACATAGATAGAATAAATTTTCCTAAATATGCACTTGAGATAAAAAAGTAATATTTTATTTTCACTCTTCAAAGTTGATATTATATAACATTTAATAAATGTGTTAAGTGAACATAGAAAATTTTGTTCACATATTGTATAACATCAGGCACAGAAACTTTAGAATTCAGCTGTCAGAAGTCTGCTAGGGAAAAATATCACTTCTAATTTTGATTTAAATTATATAAGCATATGCCATAAGAGTCATATTTATTTTGCTGCCTGATGTTAAAACAACCAAATAACAGCTCTTTAACAAAAAATTCCCCTCCAAAGAGAGCAATAAAACCCATTTTATTTTCAATTTTTTCAAAATAGTTTCATGAAGAGACCTGCCTTAAGTCCTATAAAATTCTGATCAAAATGCAAAACTGGGCATTTGACAGTTATATAGGGTGTCAGGACTATTACAAAAATGGTTAATAATTTAGAAGTCAGATGCTTGATGCTGGTGATCAGCTCAGTTTTTTCATTGTTTCCCAAGAGGCCTCTATTCAACCAACGACAACAGTTCACATTTAGTCCCCAATCAAAATTCGGTTGAAGGAGATTCTGCTGTCCCAGGCTTTTACATTTAAGCTTAATAATTCTACAGAGGCAGTCTCACTCCCCCATCAACATTTACTTATATATTTAGTACTTATATATTTAGTATTGCTCCTCAAAGACTACCTCGTCTGACGATCAGAATGCTGTGCTTTCTTGCCAGCAACCTTGCCTTTGCGTTATTTCTGAGTGGGCTGAGAGTCCATAAGTGAATGCTTTAGAATAAGCCAAGCAAATGAATGTACAAGCAAAAAGAAAAGAGGCACCATATTGATTTGTTGTCTAGACAGAAATGTATCTGCTAACACATCACCAGACATTAGTCAAAGCTGCCTGTTCTGGCGCAGATATGCAGAATCAGGTATTTCTGCAAGTGAAAAAAATCGGTGACAGGATGGTGTGACATACTATCCTAAATTGGCCAGTAATAATTATGGCTAGTCTGTGACTTCATGCACAGTTATTAGTAGAAAAGGAAAATCAAATTTGGCTTTATGCTGGTCGTTGTTTATTATTATTGGCCTTGAGATACAGCTTTCCACTGTAAACATCTAATCCTATATTTGAAATAAAATTTCTGATTTTTAAAAATCACTTTTACATTTGGAATGCCATTTCAAATTGTGATTATTTGGTTTATTTGAGGAAAAATAAAAACATTCATGTGAAGCTATTGAACACTGTTTAGCTTTATACCAAGATAAGTGGGAAAGATAATGACTTGCAGAAATAACAAACCATAATAAACTGTACTTTCAGCATCTTGAGTTCAAGTACTGGTCAACTTGATCTAAAGTGTTACAAGACTGTATTTTTCAAAAATATCAACTTAGTTGATCTGAAACATCTGTCCCCTTCATCTCCCTACCTTTCTCTACCACCCCAAATCATTATTTAAAACTACTTGGTCTTTCTATTTTGTTAACTGTATGAGCCCTGGGGTTAGAATGCACGAGGTGGAATGATCAGCCCACAGAACTTAGAAGGTTATATAGTTCACCCTTGAGCTGATTTATATCCATAAACTTGACAGTTGCAAACTTAACACAAACACTGTTTTTAAACCCTGACTAATCACTCTTAGACCAAGTTAACTTTCCCACAATCTAGAATAAATATGACATTTGCCTGCAGTCAGTCAGCACAACATTAGAGCACAACGTCACATGATCATAAGGTCTCCCCTTGTTATTTTTATATTCGGCTAACATTTCTAAAGAAATGGAAAAAAAGAGGTTTCCTTACATTGAGGAACCCCACCTGTCCAGCCTGCTGACCAGCATCAGGGCAGACAAGTTGGACAAATTCTTTCAGCGTCTCCTGAGGGTGATAGCGGATGGCTGGGTGTGAGAAGTAAGGCCCAGGCTGCTGGATAATGGGTGATGTCGGGAAATGAAGAGTCGATGGTGTTGCATGCGGACTTGCTGCAGGAAAAGAAAACATCAGGGTTATGAAAAGAAAGACCTGCTTTGTCATAGCTGAACCCGATTCAACTTCCTCCTTTATTTCTCTTCCTGGCCCGATTCACAATATTGCTCATGTGACTGAATTTAACACTGGATAGGTCTGACAGATTTTCTTCCTTAAGGCTCTAAGACAAACACGGAGGTTAGATTAGGGTAGAGTTTCAAGCTGTCTTTCTATTTTCAGTGGACATGAGTTATAAAGGCATTAATAATCCTTGGTGAGGCTGAAGATTATTCATTACCTTAAGAGCCTTTTTAATGAAGCAAGCAATAAAAAATGTATTTGGTAGATTAGACCTGACTTAACTGACATTACATATGACAAATTCTAGTTTGCACATATGGATCCCCTTTCACGCTGAGCTATCCATAGACAATAATTCATTGTTAAACCTCTTATACCCCTTTCAAGGAAATTTCTAGGGACTAATTCAGGATGAAAATTTTTTGAAGTATGTAGTAAATGATCACTTAATGAGCCCATGCAATTTGGGTGCCTCACTTTACACGGATGGTTTATGTCGCCTTCAGATGCCATTTCAAAGACAAACTCAGAAATGCACATATGTTACAGCAGGGGAACCCACAGGGTAAGCAGGCAGTGACCCCTGCTAAAATGTTGGCCCTGTGCCCATAAAAACTGATAAAAGACTCAGACAACTACTGCTCCCTTACATTTGAACCCTGGTAAATTTCATGTGAACAAGAAGATTACATTAGATTAAAAAAACTTATGTGAGGTGCCTAATAACTTCTCTAAGAGAACTTTTGCCCTTGAATTAGAAGGATGATTGATAAAACTGGCTGGAGGATAAGAGCAGTGCATGGGAAGGTTGCAGATATTCAAACCAAGTCAAGCCAAGATAGCAGCAGCTCTTGCTTCTCAATGAGAGCCAGAGAAACCTCTCCCAAATTAGAGGAGATGAAAGTATTTATCTTTCCTTTCTTCGGTTTAAATCTTTAAACTGAAAATCACAGGAATGTCCACATTTTGGAAAATAAGACCTTTCCAATACCAAGAATGACTCATAATACTGAAGAGAAACTCAGTAAGACAGGCCATCACTTCTACCACTATCCCACTTGCATGGCTAAAGGCTGTGAAAAAGAATGCATCTGTATTAGTTGCTGGGCATAGGTTCTTTGTTCCCTACCGGGATCTCCTCATGATTGGGGCACTTTCTGACTAATGACTGAAATGGCTCATGCTATGGGGTTCAGAGTGACATCTGTAGTTTTCAAAAAGACTGGAAATGGGCGATTGGAGGGGAAGCAACTTTCCAATCCATGTCTTGCAGGTGGTCTGGTGCAACCCTTTAATTTATGCAATCTTTAATCTGCCCAATAAATATTCATAGGCTCCTACTATGGGCTCAAGAAACAAATCTGAGCCAAAACAGATGAAATTTTGCCATCGGTCATACAATTGAGGATGTCTCAAACATAACCTATTTGAATCAGAATTTTCATTACCTTCTCCTCTCAAGCTTACACTTCTCCCAGCCTTCTCCATCTTCGTAAATACCTTTTCAACCCACTGCAATATCCCCAGAACTGAGTCTGGCACTCAATAAATATTTGTTGAATGTGCAGTGAATGACTGAATAAACAGAGGTTAATAAGATAATCATACCGTTAAACATAGAATAAAATTTGCTAAAACCAAAACTTGGTTTCTCCACCTGGTCAAGAGCCAGGGAGCTTTTAGAAAAATCGGTAAAACTGGCCTGGTACGGTGGCTCATGCCTGTAATCCCAGCAATTTGGGAGGCTGAGGCAGGCGGATCATGAGGTTAGGGGATTGAGACCACCCTGGGTAACACGGTGAAACCCCATCTCTACTAAAAATACAAAAAAATTAGCCAGGTGTGGTGGTGGGTGCCTGTAGTTCCAGCTACTCCAAAGGCTGAGGCAGGAGAATGGCATGAACCTGGGAGGCGGATCTTGCAATGAGCCGAGATCGCGCCACTGCACTCTAGCCTGGGCGACAGAGGGAGACTCCGTCTCAAAAAAAAAAAAAAAAAAAAAAGAAAAATGAGTAAAACTTAGGACTTCCTGCAATGAATGATAAATCTTGGGATCTATTGTTGTTGCTTGTTAAAACCCACAAGCTAAAAAGTTAAATGGCTCTGGTCATCTCTTACTCTGCAAATTATGCCATTGGCTTTCAAGAATCAAAGGAATTTTTTCATCCAACATGGTACAGTCCTCCTTGCTGGTGGCAAAAAACTTGTACTCGGTACCCTGCGTCTGATGGAATAGTCACTAGTTAAGGACAGAATGTGATATTTCCCAAACTAGGCTGAGAATATACTGAGCCTAACAAAACGAAACACTCAACTTTTGCAGAATGCCAAACACAAAGGTGCCAATTCTGCTGACAAGAGCCCCTGGTAGGCTGACCTTGAAGATAAAGTGCCGCTGCCTCAGGTGCTCAATGGAAAGTGATGGGTAATTGTTAGATTATGAAATCACGGTGGCCTACAGAAAATGCTGCCCAAAAAAGAAATTCACTTGAGCAAAGATCAAGCAGAGCTGATCTTTAAAGAAATGAGATAGAAGAAATAACTCAAAAGCACCCTGTCATCTCCTCATTAACTGTTATAAACATCCTTTCCCTCATTTTGTTGTTGTTAAATACGTAAAAGACAATCATTAGCAACTTAAATTTAGACCTTCGTTTTTTATTTTACTAAAAACAATTTATTCACCATTTCCTTGTGGAACAGAGTTTAACACAAACACAAGAACATATGGTACTATATGGAATTAATTCTACAATGACTGATTTATAAGAATCAATTAATTCTTAATTAATACCAGGAAATCATTTAGCCTGTAGTTTCAAATTGGGCAATTGCTGAGTCTGCATTTTAAAGGGTCATCCTTTGCAACCCTTACTTTCTCATGCTTTGGACTTTCTGGTTCAGTCATCAGTTCACTGTGCAACTGGAGAGAAATCATTCGAGATCCTGAACCTTCATTTCTTCAAACAGAAAATAGTTACGTTACTGACATCACAAAGCTCTAGTTATTATTAAATAGATGCTATTTCTCTAGATAACCTGCTATTCCTCTTCTACCAGACAATGAAACCCACTGAAACTCAGAATTAAGATGTCATCAATGCCTGCCTAACTTTGTTTCTCTTCTCTCCTATTTCTTGTTTTCTCTCTTCATCTTGGATGTTTTTACTGTACCTAAGTTTTTATTTGTCTCAAATCATTTTAGAAAGAGCCACTGGGGTTAAATCAATTAAAGAGTAAAATTCATCAACTATATTTTGAGGTGGCCAGATCAGGCTTTATAGAAAAAAACTACCATTATGAATTTGGCATGATGCTAATGGAATGCACGAAGAATGGTATGAGTCCAGATTTTTGACGAAGAAAAACATGTCTTATGGATGTGTGTGTGTGAGTAGTTGACACCATAAAAAATTATAGCACATTATGTAAATGCATATTTAGATCCTTTAAAATGTGCATTATTTACTTGAGAGTCAATAAAGGCTTTTCTCAAGTGGTTACAGTTTATTGCAGTGCATCCATCTGTATCCACATTGATGTTAATACAATTTTGTGTATTAAAAGACACTACAAAATTGGCTGCTTCCGGCATCTAATACTCTTAGTACCCTAGGCCAGGAGCAGCAGAGAGTGTCAGAAACACTTCACTCCTGATGGATCTCACTACTAGTTTAAACTTTAACGAGTGGCCAGACTTGTTTAAAACAACTGTTTGGGCTTTTCACAAAGAATATAAATAAGATGGGAAGGAAGGAAATTTGATCAGGTTTCTTTGGCTGCAATGGCACTGCCTACACATCCTGAACAAAGTAGCCACAACGAAAAGAAACAGAGAGCCACAATTTCCCAAAGGGTGTAATACTCAGCTATTTATTACAAAATGATCATATTACTGGATACTTTGAAAAACGAAAGCAGGTCAGTCAGGTTGGTTTACTTGTTCATTCCCTCCCCACCAGTCCAGCAGCCCACCAGTTCTTAAAAATCCTCTCTTGGTTTTAGTTTAAAGGAGAAAAAGTTAAAAATTCAAACAATTGAAAAAATACATATACATGTTTAACTCAAAAATGCTTCTTCCGTTAAAAGCAGAATTTATTAAGACTGAGAAAGGAGAAGGTCAGGATCATTATTGTATTATTGGATATGTTGCAAGACTTCTATAATACAACCAGTGATTCTTGGTCTGAGAGTCCACTATGGGGAGGAGGTCTTGTAGACACATAAGAGTGCTCTTAAGAGGAGTCAGAACTAGTTAGAAAATCTAAGCGTGGGCCATATGAAATAGGATGGTATCAGGGAGCTGTGTCCAGACAAGCTTGGAATCTTGCATTTTTCTGCTTTTATAAGTCTTAGGGAAGAAAAAGAGATAGAAGAAGAAAGTAATCTCTTAGTATTTCCAGTAGTTTTTCTCAAGCTCATCCTCCAAGAACTCTAATAACTCTCACACATTTTCCCTCAAACCAAAATTTTATGGGTTGAAATATGTTCTTCTGTATTATAACCCTGACATTGCCTTAATTGTTTTATTCCTTGTCCATGAACCGTTGCAGATTCTCACACACTGGACAGAGACTTGGATTCTTTTCACGTTAGCTTTTGCTTTCTGGCATCAGCCTTTAAATCCCAGTCTCTCTTCTATGGGAGGCTCCAAAGAAAAGCTGTCAAGAGAGCAACACAAACAATAAAATATAATCCTCCTTCAGGCACAGTGTGCTCTTAAGGCAGTGTTATATACAGGCTTCTTCCCTCACAAGAGCGAATAATCACTCCTGAGCCCTGGCATCTGCAAAACTTCACAGTCTTAGTGTTAATGAATACAAAGGCAGTGGCAACAGGTGAGATTCCAAACAGTTTTTCTCTGTTAGCGCCATTATAAGAAAAACCTTCTTATCTGTCTTCAGAAATAAGATGTTCTTTAGATGAAAGTTACCACTTCCATAGCGTAAGGGTGGCATTAAGAACTCTTGACTACTCATAATTAGAAGTAAAAATTTGTAATACGGCAAAGCTTCAAAAGGAAAAGAAAATCGAAGAAAAAAATCCCACTTAAAAAACAAAAGAAGCTTTCCATAAGGGTAAATAGAACATAAAAATGGCTTGGGTTGTCAACTACTATGTATCTTGCTTCTTCAGAAATTCAAAACCACACTATATAACACCATTATACCCCACCTAAAGCTGAGAAATCTATCTTAATGGTCCATAGCCCTAATTTATAAATCATGCATGAATCAGGCCTGCCATTGATGAAAGCTGAGAAGTTTGGAGTTAAGGGATTTATTTTAACAGAGATACAGGAAAGAAGAATTGGCAATGCTTTTCAAACCTTTAAGAGGTGATGCCTTTTCTAAATAACAAAGCTTTTGACTCGAGGTGAGCCAAGGTTTTTCAAAACATATGGTACATATCTTTTAACATCACGAAGATGCACGTGAAAGGACCCAGATATGTCAATTGAGAGAAATATATGACATGGCTTGACAGCTTGCAAAACACCAGTGTTTTTGTATTACTGCTACCAGACAAAGTAACTTTATGCCACGGTTAGTTTCCAAGATGGTTGATAGAGTCTATTCCATTTGAATTCAGGGGATTTTCTAAGAGATCAAATTCTAATGTCTTTTGGAAAAACAGAAAGAAAAAGAAAGACCCACACAAGAAAACAGAAGGCCAAAGTCTTTTAAAATTTTTATCTAGATCAATTTTAGCTACTTCAAGACCTTTGTTGCTCAAGGCCCTGACTAGACCAGGAGTTGGCAAACATTTTCTGTAAAGACCAGATACTAAATAGTTTAGACTTTGCAGGCTATATGGTCTCTGTTGCAACTGCTGAACTCCGCTGCTACAGTGCAGAAGCAGTCACAGACATTACATAAACAAATGAGCGCGGCTGTGTTCCAATAAAAGTTTATTTTCAAATACAGGCAAAGGGCTATTGGATCTGTGGGCCCAATAGTTTTCCAGTCCCTGGTGTAGACCCACAAAATTCTTGTTCACTCTCCAAGCACCTGCTGTGCTCTGTGAGTCAGACCCCTGACAGTCAATACCAATTCCACCTCAGCTTTCTGAAGCTTTCCAAAGCAATCTGGTCACCTTTGATATCTCATTAACTCTCCACGGTAGACTTTTGATTGTCTGTCTTCACCATTACTTAATATGCCTTGGTCTGTGCTGGCTGACCACATCCGTGTGTGTGCGTATATAATTCTAAGTTAAACATACGACTCAGAAAAGCAGTGCAGTATAATATAAGGACCAGGGCTTTGGAGTCAGATAGACATGAGTTTAAATTCTAAGCTCTATCACGAGCTATGCTTCAGGTTGCTGAGCTTCTCTACAACTCAGTTTTGGCATCTGTATAATGGGGCTAATAATACCTCATAGCGCTGTTGTGAAGACTAAATGAGACAATGTATATAAGGCACACGGCACAGTTTCTGATCACACAATTAAGTGATCAATAGCTTCTTTTGTAGTATGATAGTACTATCATAGACAAGAATGGGATAGGCAATGAATACATTGAAATTTGCTCCTGTGTGCTAGGACCTGTTCTGATTGTAGAATACATGAAAGAAAGGAGTGATGGAACAAGAGGTACTTGTTGCTCGCCTGTCTCTTGGACAAAAAAGTACATAAATATTGATAAAATAGTATATACTATCAGCATGGATATGACATGAGGGCCTTGAAAATAATTCCACAAACAACAAAATGAAAAGTAAAAGCAACAACAGCAGTAGCAACAATCTTGACCTAATAATCATAGATACCATAGATATCTAAGTAAAGATAAAAGTTCTTTAAAGACCTAGACAAATAGTCTTTGCTGACCAAACATACTGTGAATTCCTGCCTTTACTTAAATTTCAGACTGTGAGATTTAACCCAGAAGCTTAGAACTATGGGGCCATCTCCCTTTAGATGCTATTTTTCACTTAGACCTACAATCCTTGAGTGTCCATACTGACCTCCCTCTTCACCACGTAGGCCCCTGCCAACCGGGCATTATTATTATTATTTTTTTTTTTGGAGACAGAGTCTCACTCTGTCACCTAGGATGGAGTGCAGTGGCGCAATCTCGGCTCACTGCAACCTCCACCTTCTGGGTTCAAGCAATTCTCCTGCCTTAGCCTCCCGAGTAGCTGGGACTACAGGTGCCTACCATCACACTTGGCTAATTTTTGAATTTTTTTAGTAGAGATGGGGTTTCACCACGTTGCCCAGCGTGGTCTTGAACTCCTGAGCTCAGGCAATCTACCTGCCTCGGCCTCCCCAAGTGCTAGGATTACAGGCATGAGCCACTGTGCCTGGCCCCCAGGCACGTTTCTGACCACACCACAATCTGAGCATGGCCTCCCCACGGCCTCCCAAAACATGGAAACAGTGGAAATCTCTATCATTTCCCTTGAAAGTCCCATCGTGTTAGTTATTGGGAGTTTGCTTATCAGAAATCTAATACATATTGACTACTAGAAATACTTTTCGGCTGGGTGTGATGGCTCACACCTGTAACCCCAGCTACTCAGAAGGCTGAGGCAGGAGAATCACTCGAGCCCAGGAGTTTGAGACCACCCTGGGCAACACAGTGAGATTTCATCTCTACAAAAAATTTTAAAAATGTAGCCAGGTGTGGTGGCAGGTGCCTGTAATTCCAGCTACTTGGAGGCTGAGGTGGGAGGATTGCTTAATCCCAGGAGTTTGAGGCTGCAGTGAGCCATGATCACACCACTGCACTCTAGCCTGGGTGACAGAGCAAGACCCTATATCTAAAAAACCAACCAACAAACAAAAAAACAGTAACAAAAACAAATGCTTTTCAGAAGATCTAGGGCATTTTTTAGGAATATTTTCAGACTAGATAAAGAGACTTGGGTTTTAACTTAGTTTCTGCCACTACCTGGCATATTATAAATGTGGGTGGCTTCTCTCTCCCTAGGTCTCTCTTCTCACAGTAAGCAGCTTGGACTAAATACTCTCTGAAGCTCATCTAGTTTAAGCTCTAGTGGATGTATAGAATTCAGTCTCTGGGATTACATTTACAAATAGTACAACTGATCCATAAAAATAAAATTAAAATCTAAAAATTGAAATAAGGAAGGCTTTTAAAACAAATGATTTTAAAAATGTTTATGGGATATTAAGTTGTACAGTATATCTAGACTCAGTCTTTAAGATACTTTGGCTTTGGGGAGACTGTAATATTTAGAGTTTAAAAAAACCTGAGTGTGCTACTTTAAGCTCTGTGAAATACAGCCCCAGCCTTTGTCCTGACAGGGCCTCTTTGAATCAAAATTGACCATATTCTCACACTAATTGCCTAAGCTTCCATGATGGCTGATGTGAAATGTGTTCAAACGCCACGCAACAGCTGTGATTATTGGAAATATTTAGAGTGATGGTTTAATAGGCAAAGTTGACAAGAATCCAGTTACATGAAGGGAACTTGAACTTTTACGTAACATGTAAGCGATACTACTGTGAGACTAAATGAAGAATGAAAAACAAATCAAAACAATTACTTGAGAAGAAAACTAACCACCATAGATTGGATGATTCCAGAGATTAACAGAAAAAGGGAGGGAATCATCCAATGACCTGTTGGAAGTGAAATGGAATTACAAACTGCAGTCCTGTGAAAGAGGACTTCAAAAAACAAGATCCATGCAGATGCTTCTTGCGTAACGACCAAGTGCTGGATCTAGGCTGTTGCAAGTCTTTTCCTGCATTAAAAAAAAAAAAAAACACACACACACACAGAAAATAAGCAGACAGAAAAGCAAATCTCATAACAAACATAAAGCCATGGGTTATTTTGCAGCATTTCTCTCCACCAAATTGTCAGATTTATACTGAAATGGAAGCCTCTATTTCTGTGCAACATGATTACTAAAGCATAGGCTACTTTTCTCTCTCTCTCTCTCTCTGAGACAGGGTTTTGCTCTGTCGCCCAGGCTGGAGGGCAGTGATGCAATCTAGGTTCACTGCAACCTCTGCTTCCCAGGCTCAAGCGATCCTCCCACCTCAGCCTCCCAAGTGGCTGAGACTGCAAGCATGTGCCACCACGCTCGGCTAATTTTTATATTTTTAGTAGAGATGGGGTTTCATTGTCACCCAGGCTGGTTGCAAACTCCTGAACTCAAATGATCCGCCTGCCTTGGTCTCCCAACATGTTGGGATTACAGGTGTGAGCCACCGCTCCCAGCCAAAGACTACTTTCAAGGCATCCTCCTGAACTTGAAGTATCTTCCTGAATTCACCCCATAGGATTTGAGGAGTAATCCTACTGTGGGTAAATTTCACACAAGGAATGGAATAAGCAACAGAATAATCAGTCTAGTGATTAAAGTCAGGGTACCAAGTTTTCATGTCAGCTTGGGTATTGACTAGCAAGACGCCAGCCTCCTATATTCCTTAGTGTCCTCTACTACAAAATGAGCTTGACTCTTCTGGTTGTAAAATCATTCACTCCCTGTGTTAATCTGGGCAAAATTATTTAACATTTCCAAACCTACAGTTTCTTATCTTTAAATTTCTTATCTTTAAATAGTAGCAGCAATTGGTCAGGCATGGTGGCTCACGCCTGTAATCCCAGCACTTTGGGAGGCTAAGGCAGGCAGATCACAAGGTCAGGAGTTTGAGACCAGCCTGGTCAACATGGTGAAACCCCATCTCTACTAAAAATACAAAAAATTAGCCAGGCATGGTGGCGTGTACCTGTAGTCCCAGACACTCAGGAGGCTGAGGTAGGAGAATTGCTTGAACATGGAAGGCAGAGGTTGCAGTGAGCCAAGATCGTGCCACTGCACTCCAGCCTGGGCAACAGAGCAAGACTCTGTCTTGGGTGGGGCAGAGGGGGGTAAGAAAGAATAGCGCAATTTGAAAGGCTTTTCTGAGGATTAGCATTAATGTACACAGGTGCCTCATTCATAGTAGGATCACTCATTCAACAAATGTGTTGAGAATCTACTGTGTGCCAAACAGCATGCTAGACTCTGGGTTATTTAATATTCTTAGGATTGTTTTTAGAATAAATAGAGATACATGAAAAGTAATCTGGATTATACAATGCAATGAGGTAACACCAGCTAATTGAGAATCAAGAGCCGAACTGTTTTCAAGTGACCCTGGGGGTCTGTGGCATGAACAAATAGGCCTGGGTTTTTCTTGTGCTCTGCAAACACTAACTGCAGGAACAAGCCACAGCTAGTGAGTAAGCTGAGCCCATTGGCCAGTGCTCAGGCCAGCTTTGCTGTTATCTCCTGGGGGTAGCTATTATTTTTGCCTGCCCAGCAGTTCTTCACCCCTTCTTCTGGAAACAGAGCTCTAATGTTTCTTTGGGGAACTCTCTGTCCCTCAGCCTCAGCCTATGTGGTTAGGATGGACTTAACCCGCTGACTCCATGGGTGGACAGGGAAGCCGGGTCACACCAATGAGGCACTCCATTGTCTTTTAAACATAAGGGTTATTTTAAAAGTGAGCAAATGACCCAAACCCAGATAATCAGAATCATAAGCATGCAGGAGTAGGCCCTTCCCTAAATCTGTTGTTGAAAAGCTGCTCTTTTTTCTCTTGGGATTATTAAATTGGTGGAAATTAAGGCTGGAGCTGCTCACTGTGGCTATCTGGGCCACAGTCTGAGGATATTTAGCCTAAGCACAAAGCTCACACAGAGAATAGCAGACCTGGGTGCGGGTGGGGTTGGGGAGGGGGAGAGACGGGGAGAGAGGGAGAGAAAGAGGGAGAGAGAGAGAGAGAGAGAGAGAGAGAGAGAGAGAGAGAGAGAGAGGGAGAGGGCGAGGCAGAAGAAACCATTCCACATAAAGAGGAGATACAAGTTCAATCTTGAATTTTTTATTCTATGCTGAAAAAAGGAAAATAAATAATGAGTCTATACATGGAATCAACTTAGGTTAAGCTAAACCAGAAAGAACGGGGCTTATCTGACTACGCAAGGTACAGTCCAAGCGTACGATACCAGGAAGTCTTAAAATGAGGGGGTTTCTAAGAAACCTTGCTCAGAACCACTGCCTTCACTATGTATGGATACGTGGGTCTATGCCTGTGTGTGCCTGTGCGCACACATGCACCACTGGGACACATAGGCCTGCGTGTGACTGAGAGGGACAGAGAGAAAGGGGCAAAGGAATTCCAAGGGAAAGCAGCTTCTTTTGTGAAGATGAGTTTAAATCCAGGTCCCCTGGGTTCATCACCCTATTCTCTTCAGCACTCACCCTGGAGGCCCTTTGCCTCTTTAAGAGATTAAGGAGCCAAGTGGTCTCACTGCTCTAACCTGTCCTCCCAGGGACAACATATTAACATGATTCCACTACGGAAGAGCTCTCTTTAGAAGTTTGCTGCAGGGATGACAAATTAACCCAGCAGGGTGTCCCACACATCTATCACAGTACAAATTATTAGTGTAATAGAGCTTTTAGTTGTGCATTTATCTAGTAATTATTGAACGTTACACAAACCCAAGCTGAGCAGCCATGGCTCTTTATGAGGGTGGCTCGGTGGGTGGCCTTACAGTTAATTTAGGATAGTTCCACTAGGCAGTTCACTTGCAGACAAATTAGCTAAACAGCCTTCTCCTTTAAATATTTTCCATGTCACAGTGAAACTCTTTACAATACAATAAAGGTACAGTTTTAATTACACGCTTCCTGACTTTTGTTTAGTTGTAGTTTTAAAACATTTGCTGGCACTCTTTTTTTCCTTTGGCTGGGCAGTAATAGCTGGTTCTAAGTATCTGGCTAATGAATTTAATAATTTCCTGAACTGGGACTTAAAGGACCTCTGCAAAAAAAAAAGAAAAAAGCTGCTTTTTCTTTAGTGTCCTGCAACTTCAAATCCCATCCACAACGCTGCCCATTAGGCTAGGCACTGGCACTTGAACTAACCCTGAACGAGGCTCACAAGCCCTCTTGCTTCTCTGTTCCATGCTCCTTAAAGGTGGTACTTGTTAGGTCTATGAGGCCTGCATTTGAAAATCAATTCTGGCAATTCTTCTTGGAGAAAGGCAACGTAATGTTTGCTCAAGTGACATACTCCAATAATAAATAAACACCGTGCGTCTGTTGGCAGATTATTTCAGTGCCTTGTTAGCAACAGGTACCTAATTGCTTCTCATTTTCCTGAGATGATTCAATTGCACTAAACCAGGAGAGACAAATTAGATTCAGTGGATCACCAGCATGTTCTCCAACTAAGTTAAAAGCTTTCCTAAGAGGCAAAGAAGTTTGTGGATGTGATAGGAGAAAGATGAACAAACCTAGCACTTGGGGGCCTAGGCCAGGGGAGGGGGTGCCACAATTACAGTAGTAGTGAAACGCCAGGGGACGTTCTTTCTGGAGGGACCTTAGTTTGGAGAGAAAAACTTAAAATGCCACAGGAAATATTCTACAAATAGGGGACCAAATAATTTTGAGCTCATTTCTCTTAAGGTCTATCAAGGTAGATCTTAATTAAAACCAAACATATATTAGGCTGGGCATGGTGGCACACGCCTGCCAGAATCAAGGCAATTTTACTTCTAAACTGCCTGTGTGTGTGTGTGTGTGTGTGTGTGTGTGTGTGTGTGTGTGTGTGTGTGTGTTTGATTCATAAAGAAGTGGGGTTTAACCTTGTGTTCGCATTTTGTATGTCTTAAATCCTCAGTACTTAGTTATCTAAGGGCATAACTTATTTGCTGTTGTAATCCCAGCACTTTGGAAGGTTGAAGCAGGAGGATTGCTTGAGCCAGGAGTTCGAGACCAGCCTAGGTAACACAGTGAGACCCTGTCTCTACAAAAAAATTTTAAAAATTAGCTAGGCATAGTGGCATGCGCCTGTAGTCCCAGCCACTTGGAATGCTGAGGCAGGAGGATCCCTTGAGCCTAGGAGGTCGAGGCTGCAGTGAGCTGTGATCAAGTCACTGCACTCCAGCCTGGGTGTCAGAGAGAGAGACCCTGTCTCAAAACAAACAAACAAACAAACAAACAAACAAATAAACAAACAAATCAAATATATACTGAGCACTTAAACATGCCATGCCTCTTTCTACGTGCTGCTGAATATATGCATTTGAATATTATACTACTACACAGTGGAGAAGGAAAGAACTTCCTATTATTCTCAAACTTTCTGTTTCTTCAATCAAATCCATGCATTCATTCATTCATTTATTTGACAATTATTTATTGAGTGCTTTCCTTATGCCGGGCACAAGGCGGAGGGATTCAGAGATAAATGATAAAGGTGTGGTCCTTGCCCTAATAGGCCCTGCCATCTAGTGATGACTGTCACCCTCCTATTTTACCTCTCCTTCCCCGCTCCTCTATTATTGTCTATGCCTATTATGAATCCACACTCCTCTAACCTTTCTTGGTGACCCCAACTTCCTGAAAGGTGATCTTAATTCTCATAATTCTCTGCAGTATATTTTTCTTGGCCAAACTGGGAGATATTGTTAACTTCAGACCTTCAGATGTTTCATCACTGAGAGCAAGATCCCTATTTGGGCCAGGAGGATCATGGACTTAGAGAGGTTTATAGAGCATATAAACTTCTGACTACCTCTCCAAACAGAAACTGGAATGATTCTTTGAAAGCTGCACAATAAATCTTTGGTTTATATGGTGATTGCTTTAGTGTATCTTAGGCGTATTTTCAGAATCCAGGCAATTTTACTTCTAAACTCCCATCGTGTATTTTTTTTTTTGACTCATAAAGAGGTGGGGGTTTAACCTCATGTTTGCATTTCGTATGTCTGAATTCTTTGGTACTTAGTTATCTAAGAGCATGATTTATTTGCTGTTGTTCTGTTTTCCATGCCCATAATGCGAAGGCAAACTGTTTGACAATAGCGGTTGGGTCTCCTGTGTGTCTGGACTTGCGTAGTGCCAGATGCCACTGTAGTTGTCCACAAGGATGTCCTTCCCCTCATTTTCTACCGCACCCTGTGCTTCTAGCACAGCAGTGCAACTGCTGGTTTCCTTGTCCTCTCGTCCTCCAGGAGGCAAGCACTCAAAGGACAGAATCCATGCTTCTCTTGTTCACTCTACTACTAGAGCATCTTGTACACTGTAAGAGCCTGATAAATATTTGTGGAAAAAAATTAATGGGTCCCCAGATAGTAATAGGTATCTGCAAACTAATACAATATTGAAAAAAGCCAAACTGACCTCAAAAACTGTCTCTAAAGTGGCGTGCACCTAAGAGAAACCACAAATTTACCAGTAGCAAGGACTTATGGACTAATAAAAAAGGCTAAGTGATTTGTTTATGGCTGCTATTAAAAAAAAAAAACTCAGTGTGATGGCACAGGTTATATTATGATTATCAAAAGATCTAGATGGATATGTTATGACTTTGACTCATAAAAAATGTGAAAACAAAGTAATTGTTTAAATAAATGCAGTTAATTTCTCCCAGTCGGGGGAGAAAAAGGTAGAAACTACTGATATGGCAAAAAAGGCACTGAACTAGAGACTTGATTTCTGGTCTTGGTTCTGGCTAGCTCAGATTTCTCATCTGTAAAAATAATGGGGAATATGTTGCTAACTGTCAACCAGCATATTTATCCCTTATTTACCCACTGATAAAAGCTTAATTTTATAGAGAGTGGCCATATGCTCAGCTAAAAATTTGGAGTTTCCAGCCTCCCTTGCAGCTACAGGTGATCATGGGACACAGTCTGATTGTGCTGCAGAAGATCCTATGAAAAAGTGGCAGGATAAGCTGACAGGTCCTTTTTGCCTTCACCTTTTCCCTTCTTTCTGCTTGGCATGCAGACATAAGGCAGGGGGCAGCGCCCATGCTGTGACCTCATAAAAACAACCCACTGAAACATGTCTAGGAGAAGAAATCTCAATCCCTGATGGCACTGCAAGTGCCACCCTATCAGCCTTGAATCACATACTTGCTTTTTTTTGTTGTTGTTGTTTTGAGACAGGGTCTTTCTCTGTTGCTCAGGCTGGAGTGCCGTCATAGCTCACTGCAGCCTCAAATTCCTGGGCTCAAGCAATCCTCCCACCTCAGCCTCCCGAGTATCTAGGACCACAGGTCTCTACCACTATGCTCTCCTAATTTTAAAAAGTTTTTGTAGAGATAGGGTCTTGCTGTGTTGCTCAGGCTGGTCTCAAACCCCTGGCCTCAAGTGCTTCCTGCCTCAGCCTCCTGAAGTGCTGGGATTACAAGTGTGAGTCACCATACCTAGCCACATACTTGTTTTTGTATGAGAAAAATGTGACTCCTTATTTTCTTAAGCCATTGTTCAGTCAGATATTCTGTTACTTTCAGCCAAAAACAATCTTCACTGATACTGGGAACACATTATACCAAAAGATTCCCAGACCATAACTCTTTCAATTACTTTCAATTGTGCTGCCCAATGTGGATCGTGTAGGCTGCTCTCTGTTCCTAAATCTCTAAGGCACAGAATTGTTTTACTTAGTGCAGAGTATTTAAATAAAGTATCATTCACTATCTTCTTAATCTTCAAAACAGCAAAGATTTTAAGCAAAAAGATAAGTTTCAAGAAGATCTAAACCTTCAAGAAACTTTAAGATGTAACTGATGATTACTCTAAATAATTCTCTAACAAGTTAGACCCTTCAGATCATCAACCAGGCAAACTTACAATTCTTGAAAAGGCAAAGGGATGAAGAAAGATTTCTTTTTTCAATTATCATGAATAAGACAAATAGTCATGAGTAAATACTTTACTATGGTTACAATTTTAAGTAGTGGTAAAAGAAAGTCTTTGAAAGCTCAATCTTTCAGCTTAAAGTGCACAGTAATTATACTAACGTATAACGATGTACAAATGCCTCTACTGAAATTTAATATCTTCCCCCTATCGATAGGATATTCCCAAATAACCTCTTTACCTAATTCTAACCACACAGAGAAACAGGTGGTAAAGTATTGTCCCCATGGTACAGATGGCCAAACTGAGGCGACAAGGTTAAGTGATTTATCAAAGCCATAAAGAAAGCCACTATCAGAGAGGGGATTCATTTTAAGAAACCACATGTCTCTACCTTTACACTATAAATAGGGAAGTGGTTAGAACAACATAAAGAAAGCCCATAGCTCTTAATAGCAAAGCTCTACTTAGAGAATCTTGCATAGGTTTTCTTTGGATGCAACGCCATGGTTCTTCCATGTCTTGGACATTTCTTACAAGGAAGTACTGCATGAACTATCACACATTTATCTGAAGAAATGAAAACTCATCAGGGTCAGAGAGGGGATAAATGTCTCCTGTGTGCATTTATATGCAATTTGACTACTTTTATTCATTCAACCAATATTTGAGCATAAAACCCACTGTGTGAGGCACAACAAAGATAGTGAAATGTCTAAGTTAGAGATCCTTCCCTTTGGAGGTTCTCCTCCAGGAGACATGTAGATTAACTAACAAGGCCAGATGAGGTTGGTGGAGTCAATGTGCAGACATGAAAGGCAGCAGGAGCTTAAGCAGTGTGAGATGATGGCAAGCTGGGTGGAGGAGAGGAGGTTTCACTTTGAAAGTACTGCTTGACGAGACTCCGTCTCAAAAAAAAAAAAAAAAAAAAAAAGAAAGTGCTTGAGCTGATCTGGGGGATGGGCAGAATGTTGCTGGGCGAAGGCAATAGGGACAGCATGATACTTTCAAAGCCTGGGTGAAAAAGGATTATTTAATTGTATGACCCACGTGCATACTGTACTTCCAGGCACTGTGCAAATGACTACAAATACATTATTTCCTTTGCTCCTAACATAATACAATTCTTTTGAGTTAGAGATGATAATCTCTAACTTAGAGATGAGAAACCTTTGGTTCAGAGAGAAAAGCAATGTGCCAAGTAGTGGACAGAGATTCAGACACCAGCCTATCTGACCCCCTGAGATTTTGTGCTTAACCACTGCTATAGGCTGAATGTCTGTGGCCCTCTAGGATCCATATCTTGAAATCCTAACCCCCAATGTGATGGTAATAGGTAGCAGGGCCTTTGGGAGGTGATTAGGTCACAGGGTGGGGCCCTCATGAATAGGATTAGTGCTTTTAAGAAAGAGACACTAGAGAGCGACCCCACCCCTTCTGCCATGTGAGGACACAGCAAGAAGATGCCATCTATGAACCAGGAAGTGGGCCCTCACCAGACACAGAAGCTGCCAGAGCCTTAATCTTGGACTTCCAGCCTCTAGAACTGTGAGCAATACATTTCTGTTGTTTATAGACCACCCAGTCTATGGTGTTCTGTTCTGGCAGTCAAAACAGACAAGGACAACCGCTGTGCTACGCTACCTCCCTTCAACGCCCTGTGTTTCTCCCTTTGCTTTGCAATCTTAAGAGAGAGATTTTCTTTGTAAAAGGTGGCTGTGAAATTTCCAAATGTAGCTTATGTTTGCAGCCAAAAGTAAGGCCCTTGTGTTTTTAGTGAGGTGACCTTGATTTGCTGTAGCTCTGTAAAATCTCATCTCCATTCTGAGCGTGGATGTGTGTTGGACAGTTATTGCTTACTAACTGGTGCTAGTCTAGTTGAAGCATTCCCGTGATAAATGCTAGGGAAGGCAGCAGAAGCCTCACAACCTAGTGCTAACCAGAGAGCAGTCAATGGCCTCCGTGATCCCTGCCCCATGCCCTGGGGACCTGATAAAGGACATTCTTTTCTTTTCTTCAAGATCCTTTTAAAGTTTGATTCTCTGGATTATCTAATAATTTACTATTTTGGGTTGTGGCAACTTTGCCCAATACAAGGAGTGTCAGAGGTTGAAATCTCCTTTATGCGCACATGTGACATCGATTCCACACTGACTCTTGCAGCTATACTCTTCCTCCTCAATTTTGGCCTCATCTTCCTAAAACACCACGTCTTACTCCCAAATGTGGTATCATTCCAAGCATTAGCTTTCCAACTAGTTCAGAGAGAAATGAAGGAAATTACAGTACCCACAGCAAATAAATAATGAGGCTGAATTCCAACCTTTTAAAAATGTCTTAGCCAGAAAAATGTCTTACGTTAGCCTATCTCAATTCTTATGATTCTTACCACAAAGAGGCAACTGAAGTTTCATCTCAACTACTCCAATTCCCTTCACCAGACCACTAAGCGGGGTGGGACACGGTAAGAACGGGTACCTGAGTAGACTTTCCAGAAAGGAGAGCCGAGGATGCTGGGAGCCATCTTGAATTCTGGTGAAAACAAAGAATCTTTGGTATTCCATAATTCTTACACTAGGCATCTTTCTCTTTTCCTCAAACACAGTTTTATGAATGAATATGAATAGATTGCAACTTGTTATGCTGTGAGCTAAGGAGGTCCACTCTGGTTCAACCCAGCGTGGGTCATTTTAGAAAATGTGCTTAGTCATCTAGCATGAACAAGCTCTCAACCTGTACCCATAGGGAAGTGCCCATGACAGTAATTTCTAGAACTACAGTTTTAAGGCAAGACACACATTAGACACTCTTAATATTTACTGACTAATGATAATATATACAGATTGCATTATGCTCTTCATGGAATCTCCACAAATACTGTTTTATTGTTGTTTCTGTATAAGAATACAAGATTGGGAGGAAATGGTCATTATTAGTATTGTACCCACTATATTGATGAGGACATTAAAAAACCCAGAAGGTGAGTGGGAAGGAAAAGAGGGAGCCTACCCAGCTCTCCTGATTGCTGGCATACTGTTCTTCTCAGTTCTTACTAACTTACTACACCACAAATCTTTCCTTTGCTTAGGATGGCCCTCCATTTATCTAAGCATCTTTTAAGATTTGACTTCAATGTTATTTATACTTTGAAGTCTCTTTTTTTTTTGAGATGGAGTCTTGCTCTGTTGCCCAGGCTGGAGTGCAGTGGCACCATCTTGGCTCACTGCAGCCTCTGCCTCCTGGGTTCAAGTGATTCTCCTGCCTCAGCCTCACAGGTAGCTGGGATTTACAGGCATGTGCCACCACACCTGGCTAATTTTTTTTTGTATTTTTAGTAGAGATGGGGTTTCACCATGTTGGCCAGGCTGATCTTGAATTCCTGAGCTCAAGTGATCTGCCCGCCTTGGCCTCAGAAAGTGCTAGGATTACAGGCGTGAGCCACTGTGCCCGGCCCATCATCTTTTACTTGCTTATTTCCTTGTGTGCCTCTCTTCTGCAGTAGATAACATGCTCTATGAGGACAGGAACCACTGGTCCCAGTGTCTATAGAGGCACTCAGTAAATCCTTGTTTAAAGAGTGAATGAACCTCCACGGTCCCCCCAATACTGAGCTCCTGCAGGAACTTTTACCATTCAGTTAGCATTTAGAATATGTTAACTTGACCCCAAACAGATGAAAAACAACACATGCCTCATCTCCTTCAGGCCATAAATATTCTGACTAAAAGGGCTTCATATCTCTGATCCCCCACTACAGTTTATATGCTCAATGAGTGTTAACTATGAGGATAATATCTTAATACTATTTAATAAGCCTCATTCTGGGACCTTATAATCTAATTCTGATGCAGGTTTTCAAATTATATATCGATAGTAAGCCTCTCTGATTATACCACACATAATACACAAATGAAAGAAGGGATCTTGAGAAAGTTCTACCAATGATCACAAGATGTTTAAAGATGAAACAAGTAAGTTTCATTCCCACAGTGGTCAAAATGCTTACTTTCTTCAATATGACTCCCATGTGTGCACCGGACAGCCCTCTTACCTGCCACATTTCCCTGAGATGCACACAGAGCACATTCATAAAGGGATTCAGATTGGTGGGGCTAACATTGAGATTAATGCAAGAAACATCAGTTTCCCCAGGTATATGTCAAAGCAGACAAGAGATCATAATTTTCTAGGATGTTTTATGAAACCAGCTGGTAGGTCACAGACCTACCTAAAAGAAAATCTGATAAAGGAAAGCAAACATGGCTACAATTATTCATACTTCTACTGTGGGAGTTTCATAAACAAAATAATAAATATTTTTATCTTGCAATAAGATCAAGTTAAGTGATTTGCTGACATTCTCTTGAGGCTTAAGGCTTGTCTTTAATGCGAAATACAAATCATATTTCTCGTGGACACATTTTAATAATAAACTTAAAAGCATATGAGACAAAAATAATGAAAACATTGCAATGAAAACCAGACAAACTATCTACCACTTCAAAAGGAGTGAATGAAGACTGCTCGTCAACACCCTGATGCAAACAACCTCAACACAAAATGCCACATATTGAAATCAGGTTTTATGGAAAGAGAGTCAGCAGGGATGAGAAAAAGCTACTACTTGAAAACAGGTAATTGACCACATGGAAATATACTCACCCAATGCATGCATGTGTGCACGCGCATGTGCGCACACACACACACATTCTGTCTCTCTCTCTCACACACACACACACACAACTTGTAGAACAGATTTGATTTTGGTTCAATTCAAGTTACTTCCCATCTTTCTGCAAAAATCTCACTGGCCAACAAAAAACAGATTTGGTCTCTTTTTGCCTTAGGAAAGGACAAAAAATGTGATGCCAAATCTCTTTGGTCTCTAAAATTCCAAGGCTGCCCCCAAGGGTAAGAAATTGGAACACTCACTGCCTCACGAGTGTTCAGGGGGAGTCCTCATTGTTTCTCATTTTGCTACTTGGGTCCAAAGGCCATGATATAAGCACAACCAAGGGTGCCTGTGGAGCAGCTCACCTCTGGGTCCTGTAATGACAGGTCGGTGATGCTGTGTGAACGCCGTTCCCAGGGAGGAGGTCTGTGAAGGGGAGGGGCTGCTGAAACCAGACTTCTCCGACTTCTTCAGTGTGGTTGGAGATGGCATTCCTGGCAAGAAGGATCAACTGGTAAGTACACTTTAATTCATGGAACAATGATTTGTGCAACCTAAAAGATAACATTTAAAGAATTAAAAACAAACAAAAAGAGAAATCCACCTGTGAATGAAAAAGATGTTGTGAATTGCTTTGCATTTGTCACAGAAACAAAGAGGTGACAGAATAGTCCCCTGATAAGTCGGTCTGTATTTGATTTCAATTTATTCTAATTAATCACAGTCCATTTTTGGGTTATTGGTCTTCAATAATAATACAGGGTTCAACTTTTCCAGTGTTTCCTAAAAGTTGCTGCTTGTGTCTGTGACCTCTGTGACTCCCAAAAAGGAAACCATGTATGCTTATGAAGACTTCACATGCAATCGTTTCATCTTGTTGGTTACCTTGCTTTGACACCAAATCACTTTCTCCATATTTTAAATAATTTGGCTGTTTTAACATAAGAATACCCTCAACAATGGCAACTTAGTTGTTCATTCAATGAATTCTTTAGAATAGAAAAAAAGAAAAAAGAAAAGTAAAAAAATCTTAAATGCCCTACAATTGGGGACTGGTTAAATAAGTATGGTATAACCAATGTAAGCAATACTGTAAAAGAGTAATGATGTGGCAAAACATTTATAATATAATGTTAATTGAAAAAGGCAATTACAAAATAGGATGTTATACTATGACACCATTGAAAAGGCTATTTCTATGCACAGAGAAAGAACTGGAAGGCAATATGCATAAACTATAATGGTAGTTCTCTCTCTGTATTGAATTTGGGTGATTTTCATTGCCTTTGTTTTGCTTACCTGTCTTTTCTATGATGAACATATATTGCTTTCATGTTAATACAATAAAAGCTTGTTTTTAAAAATAGTACTTTTATTATTGTGTCTAAAGTTTTCACAGCATTTCCAGCATAGAAAATGCTTTGGGAAGAAAATAATGGAGAAACAGTTCCTTGTAATTACTGGATTTGTAATGTTCTCGGCAACCACGCTGACATACCCAACTGGAGGCATCTATCAGTTTGATAGGGTGCCAATTAAAACAATGAAAATTTGGATATAAAAATAAAAGAAATGACTCCTAGTCTCCGCATCAGGGGACAAATTTGGGCTCTCTTAAGGTTGTAGCACAAAACTGGTCTGCACTGATGTTAAAAGAACCAAATTCCATTTTACTTATACATGTTTACATGTGCTGTGTTCTGCCCATGACCAGAGAATTATTTGGATGAACTGGAAAAGTAATAAAAATCATAATGATATTAACATGTAACTGTTATGGAGTACCATGTACTGTGCCAAGCACTTTATAGGTATAGATCTTTCCAGAAATTTAGCTAGTTTTGCGTGTATCTAAATATGTCCCTGTTATTTCTGATCACAGATTTCCTTAATGCAATTCTACAACATGACCTTTGAGTGTGACTCAGACTGTATAAGGACAGAGTCCTTGTCTGCTTTGTTCCCCTCTATGTCCAAGACCTCCAAGGGTCTGAAACACCCAAATGGTCTGAAAAGATATTTAAACTACTTGTGCAGGTCTCAGCTTTATCTGTAGCTTCATGAATAGATGCTTAAACATAGCAAAGCTTAGAATTTTCACCCCAAGAAAGAAAAATTGAAAATTGGTAAACACATTTGCATAGTCAGATATAAGTACAACATAGAGTGGTATGTGATTTCATACTAATTTGACAATTTGAATCAGATCCTTTCTAGATCAACATCCATGTGATTTGAATTAAAAATGAAGTAATTAAGTGACTTTAGTTATATTTGTTGCTTGCTGAATCAGTAACCAGTCACACCATACCAAAGTTCTAATGTAGGATGCACTGAGATTTTGGGTGAACATTCACTGTAAGATAACCTAACCTAAGGTTATCATCATGTAATTCCACTAAGGAGGAGATTTCAAATAAAAAAAATGAAAGAAATAAAAAGCTAGCAAAATGTAAACAAATCTCCCAACTCATTTAAACCTTTTTGTGTAGACCAATTTATAGGCTGCCAACCATTCCACTGATTTAAATTTAGTCCAATGCCTGAACTACATGTCATAAAACAGAAGCAGAACAGATAATTAAAACAAAAATCAAAACTTTAAAGGTGGCAGATTTTTTTTTTTTTTTCAGATAATGGAATCACTGATGAAATCCAGTATCCTAACTAATCTTATTGATGATAGCAAATGGCTGGACTCAAGAAAAAGTTATGATTTCTTTGAAAAATTCATGTTTTCTAATTCATGCCATTCTAAATACTGCAGAAATATTGACATGATTGAAATCCACTATTTATGCTTCTAAAAGGAATTACAAGTAAAATTTGGGCAATAACAAGTATCAAGAATGACCAAGTTGGTAAACAAGTTCAAAAATAGCAAAATTTAAATCTTCTTTGCAAGGGTTAAAGACGGAAGAAATACCGTCAGCATGCAGGAACAACCAGCCAAACTATGTATAATCTTCTAAATTTATCACAGTCAAGTAATATGAACCCTAAGGCTGTCATGAATCTCAAAATTACTTTGTGTTTTCAATTTTTAAAGAGTTCGTATTGAGCACATTTCCTTATTATATACTTTAATATTTTCTCTACATACATAATGTATGTTTTGGTTAATTTGTTTTGTATATTTAATTGACCAGATGAAATTCCAAAATGCTAGTAAACTGCTTTCTGTTAAAAGCTAGAAAACATTAATGTTGGCTTTTATTTTTGAAATCAAATTTGGTTCTGTACATTACTTTAAAAATAAACTCCTTTTTAAAATCTCTTTTGCCAATTATTTATGCACAACTGTTACAAAATTACTGTATGGATTAATGACTGATTGGCTTTCTTTCAATGCATTAAAACTTTAATTTCAATGTATTTTCTAGAAGTACCAGATTTTTAAAAAAAGACTACGGATGAAGTAATCCTACTCTTTTTCTGGAGGAAATGAAATGTTACTTCAAAGTTCAATGCAGAAAAATAAAGACTTTTGTAGAATGAGAAGCAGAAATCTAGCATAATGTTTTGTTTCAATGGGGCATTTCATCCTTTTGATTGGTATAAAAAAACCCAATGAGAGTAAATAGAATTGGAGAAACATGTCAAGAAGGCCTGTGGCTTGTCACTGGTTTTCTAAACATCCAGAATTTTTGAATTTTCAATTTCCCTCTAGTCTGCCATTTTTTTCTAAGCTATATGAGTCATTCCAAATTGTGTTCAGTAGACAAGGGCAAACATATATGGGATTCTAGTCATGTAGTGGCTTTCATCTCTGGAGGCACTTATAAGTGCAAAGTTCAACAAGAAAACCTTGAAAATACAGGTCAAATGCACTATTCACAAAGATTCCTTCAAATTCATCATTGGTATTTGTGGTAGTCAGGCTGGGCTGGTGGCTCATGTCTATAATCTCAGCACTGTGGGAGGCTGAGACAGGAGGATTGCTTCAGGCCAGGAGTTCGAGAGCAGCCTGGACAATATAGTGAGACCTTATCTCTACAAAAAATTAATTTTTAAAAGTTAGCTGAGGCCAGGCACGGTGGCTCATGCCTGTAATCCCAGCACTTTGGGAGGCTGAGGTGGGCAGATCACAAGGTCAAGAGATCGAGACCATCCTGGCCAACATGGTGAAACCGCATCTCTACTAAAAATACAAAACTTAGCTGGGCATGGTGACATGTGCCTGTAGTCCCAGCTACTCAGGACGTGGAGGCAGGAGGATTGCTTGAACCTGGGAGGCGGAGGTTGCAGTCAGCCCAGATCATGCTACTGCACTCCAGCCTACTGACAGAGCAAGATTCCATCTCAAAAAAAAAAAAAAAAAAAAAAAAGAAAAAGAAAAAGTTAGCTGAGTGTGGTGGTATATGCCTACAGTCCCAGCTACTCAGAAGGCTGAGGCAGGAGGATCACATGAACCCAGGAGTTTATAAGCTATCATCATACCACTGCACTCCAGCCTGGGCAACAGAGAGAGACCTTATCTTGAAAAAAAAATTGTGGTACTCAGAATTCTAAGATGGCTTCCTAGTTTCCAGCCTTGTATAATGATGCCTTATATAATCCTCTCCTCTTGCATGTGTGAGATACTTGTGAATATGATAAATGTCATTCTTGTGAATAGGTTATATTATACCGCAAAGGTGATTATATTGATTAGGTTATGTTATATTGCAAAAGACTTCTACAGATATAATTAAGGTCCCCAATCAGGTGAGTTTGAGTTAAGGAAAAATATATTATCCCTGGAGGGCCTGACCTAATCAGGGGAGCCTTGTATAAAAGGAATTAGAAGTCAGAGAGATTCTTCTTCAGGCTTTGAAGAAGTCAGCTGCCATATTGTGAAAGGGCCTGTGACAGCCACATGGTAAGGAACTGCAGGGGCCTCTGGGAGCTGAGTGGGGCCCCTTGCTGACAGCTTTCAGAAAGCAGGGACCTTAGTCCCACATCCACAAGCAACTGAATTCTGCCAACAATCACGAGAGTCAGCAACAGGCCCTTGAGCTCCAGAAAGAAATGGAGTCTGAACAAAATTCTCATTGCAGCCTTGTATGACCTAAGCAGAAGATCTAGTTCAGCCGTGGCCAGGCTCCAGACCCATGGAAACTGTGAGATAATATTAATAACTGTGTGTTGCTTCAAGTTGCTAACTCTGTGAAAATTTGTTCTGCAGTACAGAAAACAAACATGATATTCAAATATAAGACGACTGCAATGCTAGACATGTGTGTATTAAAGATGTTTACTGTACAATAATTACTCTCTATAATTCTGAAAGTTTCCCTTATTTTTACCTAATCCACCCTAGGTTGTATAGTCTTTCACTAGCCTAGTCACCTAGAGAAAACGGTAAGACGTATTCTTAGAAAGGGAACTAAAAAGTGGTAATTTTCGAGGGACATAAATACTTTTGAAAATTTCTACTTCTCCTGATTCTTTCGAGAAACATCAATAACAAAATTAGATTGAGTGACGTGGGAAAAAAACTCAAATTCTTGGGGTCTCCCCTAAGAAGTTAAAATTTGTTTTAGGGAATTTTTCACTGCAATTTGATATCACATAAAATAAAAAGAAGAAAACCAATCATAATTAATTTCACCTCTCCCCTACTCCCAAGTTATGATATTTTTCAGACACTTTGACCAAGAACTCCATAGTGACAATAGTAAAGGAAACACTGCAGGAATCATTAGGAAGTACAAAGCTGTTTTTTCTTCCTTAGGTATCTTCTTAAAGGGGAGATTTTTAGGAGTCAAAGGAGCTACAACATTAATGGGAATGGAAGAGAAGGGAAGGATCACCATAAACTATAATTATTCCAGTGACAACCGAACAACATGCTGGATTTTTCAAAAGGAACTGTAACTTCTCAGTGTTAGTGCTTACTTTGTTAGAGCACCTATCCAAAAATTCATTCTCCTGTTAAAAGTATCCCTGGTAAGTGCTGCTCGGGACAGCAGGACCTTATCTTGTCTGTCGCAGGAGTTTGGGAGATGTAATTCAAGTTGTCAGAGAAGATATAACTGGTGTATGTTCTTTTCTTCAAAGTGACAAAGTCAAGAATAGAAAGTTTAGTTTCAATAATGTTCATTTATAGTCACAAACGGAGAGAAACTCTGAAAGCAAGCAACCTCAGCACTTTAGTTTTTAAATCCAATACAATAAGCAGGTTAGAGAGGACCCCAAAATGTTACAAGTTTAATTGTTCATGACTTGGATAGTGTCCTGTTCATTGTCATCATCTAATTCCCAACAACCTATTTTTATAACTGTTATTACCAGAACAACGATTACACCAAACTTAAAGGCTTAAAGGCAACTGGAAGCCTTCATCCATCAAGTGGCCTCAAGAGAGGCAGGAGGCAGCTACAGAGATTAAATCTCTGCATGTCGATCACGTCCAAAAACCAGGCTGAAAATAATAAAAGCTACAAATTATGAAGTGCCCACTATGTGCCATGTACTTATAAATATCTCAAATCCTTACATTTTCTTCTCTTTCTTTCTTTTTTTTGAGATGGAGTCTCGGTCTGTTACCCAGGCTGGAGTGCAGTGGTGCAATCTTGGCTCACTGCAACCTCTGCCTCCCTGGTTCAAGCAATTCTCCTGCCTCAGCCTCCTGAGTAGCTGGGTCTACAGGCACATGCCACCATACCCGGCTAATTTTTGTATTTTTTTTTTTAGTAGATACAGGGTTTCACCATGTTGGCCAAGCTGGTCTCGAACTCCAGACCTCAGGTGATCCACCCACCTTGGCCTCCCAAAGTGCTGGGATTACAGGCATAAGCCACCGTGTCCATCCCCAAATCCTTACATTTTCATCTGAGATAGGTAGGTATTATTATCTTTTCTACCAATAACTTAATATTACAGAAATTAGATATCAAGTGATGTTAAACAATTTGTCTAGGATCATACAGCTATTAGATGGTACTGCAGATCCAGGTCTCTCTGGTTCTCAAGTGCATACATTTTATAAAACCCTCATGTAGTTTCCCTAGTATACTATAAAAACAGTGTCCTATTTAAGTCAATAAAGTATATTTATAGCTGAAGTTTTAAATTTGGTTATCCAAAGGGGGAAAAAAAGGAAGGGTATATCAGATACAAAAGTGTATGCAAAAAAACCCACTCTGAAGTATACTAGGAATCATTTGTCTTATATATCAAAGTTTTCTCTTGGCCTTAGTAAGGATCAGTTAAGATTTTATCAAACACACACTGAATGAATTATCAGCGATTCTAACACAGAACCTCCACAAAATAAATATCACATAGATTTAGAAGAAGATAATGACCCCAGATGTTGAGTTGCAAAAGAGTATATAAATGTTTTATATTTACTATAGGCCTCTTGCCTATTCAACAAGTTGCTTTTTCTATAAAGCCTCCTGCAAACCATGTTATCTATCTATAACAAGAAAGGACAAAAATTCTTCTCTTAAGACTTGTTGATAGTGTCCAAGCCTAGACTATATATTACAATGCAGTAATAAATAGCTCACTTAACCAGAGGCTATAACACACACACAATTATTTAGAATTCAGTAATGTGTAAAAATCAAGGAAGGCCCCCGAGTGTCTAAAGTCAGCATCTAAACAGGCAACTAAGTTGAGGCATTTAACTCATTGGAGAGTATATCTTTATAGAAACTAAGAAGTGTTTCAAGGAGAAGGCTGCAATCAACTGAGTTGAATGCCACTGAGAGATCACGTATAATGAGGACAGAAAAGGGTCCACTGGATTTGGCAACATGAATGTTTCTGACAGTCTTGAAAAGTGAGTTCCAGGAGAGTGAGGCACATAGAAGACAGGATAGCATGGTTTATAAAATCAATGGGAAGTGAAGAAACAGGGGAAATGGTGTAGTCAACTTCCATGAAACGAAGGAGGAATCTGCACAGGAGAGCAGAAAAATAGGGTAGTGGCTACAGGAAGAGGGAGGGAAGCAAGGGATAGCTTTCTGAAGGTGGGAGAGAGTCCAGCATGCTTGTCTACTGATGGGAATGGTCCAGCAGACAGGCAGAAAGCCATGACTCAGAGAAGAGAGGGTGCCTGAGGCAGTGCAGTCCTTAAGAAGGTGAGAGGCTACACAATCAGTGAGTGGAGGAGCCAGGATTTGAACCCAGGAAACCAAAGCTCTTGCTCCTTTCAGTGTACCATGCTACCAAGATCCCTACTTCTGGGTGAGGGCGCGGGGGAGTACTACTTATGTATCTTATCAATACAAACCTATCATGAGCTGATTTAAATCTGAACTATTAATGACACTTGAACATGTTTCTTCTTGCAAACATTCCAAGTCTTAATGATGCTAACTGCTTTGTGACTCTTTTTTACACTCAGGCATTCAGATTCCCCTACTCCACTAGATCTAAGTGTGGGGAACAGACAGCTCAGTCATGTCCATCAGACTAATGGTGTCCACATAAATTTCAGTGACATTTCTCAAGCCCAGCATGAATGCTGAGTACCAGTACCATCTTTTGCAAGTCATCCACCATCAGATTTACACTCAGACACATCTCTTCCAGATGCAGAGCTATACTGCACTCTAGTAATTCCCCCACAGGCAGGAACAAGACCTTTCTAGAACCATTTAAAGTATACCTTGTAATTAGATTATCTCTAACCATGATGCCAAATAAAGGCTGTGACTGAACAGAAGAATCCCACGGTTAAGGGACCATTCTGTTCTTGTGAGCATAAACACAGGCTGCGTGATACAAGGAGGTCGTTGAAGACACCACACGTTTGTTAGATGTGTGTCCTAATGATAAAATCCATTAGAGTTCATTCTAATATAATTTTTTATGATTAGCACACTCAACGATAAAAAGGTAAAATAGACTATTTTGACTTTTAGCCTTTTTCAGTCAATAAAAATGTTTTAAAATCATTTTTATGATAGAGAGCATAAATGAAAGTTAATATAGCTTCTGAGGTTTATCCTTCTTACTCTATATGTAGCCATTGAAAATGAGCTAAAAGGACTCCCAAAGAATTATCACATCATAAAGAAGTTCAGGTAATTTAAATGGCTTGGGGACATCAGTGATTTCTTCAGTTTTTAAAAAATGGGAGTATGGAGTAAAAATTACATGGATTATTCAGGGGGAAAGAAACGATGAGTTCTGTAATATATTCCAAATGTTCATTTGTGAGTGAAAATTTACAACCAGAGAGAGTAAAGAATAGACACAAGGAAAATGTCATATAAAAATCTGGTTTCTGGGCCAAAAATAAAATCTCTTGACTAGTTGGGGGATTTCCTCTCCTTTCAAGGTAAACACAGACACCCCAGTGACAGGACTGAAATAAAAAAAATTGTGTTACATGCTCCATATACTTACAAGAGGTTGGAGATTCCCTACCCATTCCATCTGCCCCCTAGCCATCCCATCCCCCCATGTGTTCAGGAAAGGACTGATTTTAGCTCAACATAGCAATTATACGCATTCACAGAAGGACTGAGGATAAAGAAGACATTTCTGAGAAAACCAAATTATTTCTTTGCATAAACAATACATATAGTATAAAATAGCATAATGTTTTATTCATTCTCCTTAGATATCCAGCTGAATAGTAAAAAACTCAATCATACATATGTTTGGCTTATATCTGCCCTGCCCAATATGGTAGCTACTAGCCACATGTGGCTACTTAAATCTAAATTAATTAAAATTAAATGAATTTAAAAATTAAGTTGCTCAGCATAGCCACATTGCAAGGGCTTAGTAGCCATATGTGGCTCATGGTTAGAATACTGGATAGTATAGACACAGAACATCTCTATCACTGCAGAAAATTCTATTGGACAGCTCTGGTCTCTATGATATGATACCAAATAACTTTTTACTTTTTTGGTCATGCTGTACAACAGTAGATAAACCTTATTTTGTATTGTTCAGCATGTTTAGTCTTTTTTTTTTTAACTTCCAAAAGCGAAACATATTCACTGTACAAATATAGAACTGTATAATGGGAAAAAAATGAAAGCTTTTCCTCTCCATCTCCAACAAGCTGGAAGTAACTCAGTGTTCAAGCTTGGTTAACACCCTTATGAATACTTTCGTTGGCATATAACATTAGCCTTGATGATGTGAACTTTAGTATTTACTTAAATATACTCTCTTCTGTCAGTTAAAACATGATAGAGAGCTAGAGCTTAAGGGTCCTATGGATAAAATTTAATTTGAAAGAGATGCATAGTCTGTGAGGGTCCATGTTTGGGATACGCCTGTGCTGGAGCTCTATTAATTCCAGTGTTCCTTGGATACAAGCAGAGAACCCAGCTAAAGTAAAAATTTGAAACTGATTGAAACATTTCATAAGGGAAAAAGAAAGAAAATTTTAGCCCTCTTCAAATTGCTTGAACTGTGAAATCAAGTAATGAACACGAGAAAAGGTTCTGTCAGCTAGAATCTAAGGCTTCGTGTTGTCAGCATTTTCTTGCTAAATCTTATTATGGCAAAGCATTTGCTTTTTCATCTCTGCACTCTGTTCATCCCACAAATAAACTGCTTTGACCTCCACCTGTTACTTAGTGAAATCTGCCTGCCATCCTTCAATAACCCCATTCTTTGCCTTCGAAGGCCTTTGAATCACAGAGAAAGTGGGAAGCTAGCGTTGTGCAATGAATTGAGCTGCTATCACTTTATAAGTATTCCGTAGTTCATAGTTCAAGCTAGAAGCTACACAGCAAAAGAAAATGAATTTTTTTAAAGGTAGTGCTTATGAATACTGGAAGAGGGCAATACATTCCATCATTTTAACCTCAAATTTTTAATAGAAAGAGGTTCTCTCTTCAGCTCTTATTTAATGCAGAAAACTTCTAGCCCATTCCTTATAAGAAAACCTTTCTCTGAAAGAGTTGTGCCTTCAGTTTAGGTAGATGAGCCAAAAGATCCCTTCAAAGCTTAAAAATACTTCAAATTCAAGTATGTTCACTATACTGATATTTTGCAAAACAAAATGTATGAACCACTTACCTCAAATGCAGCTTCATGGATGTAAAAGGACCACACTACTATTAAACACTATTAAAGCAAACAAAAAACAATAAAAAGGGAAATAACTGTATTTATGTAAATCACACAACTACATGAGTCATTTTCTGAAGCACTGTATCTGACAAAATAGTTTGCTTTTTTTTTTTTAACAACAATGACATATCAGAAACAAGTATGCTGTGTAAAGTTGCACTTCTAATGATTAATGCTACATTCAACAGAAGAGATGGTGTCTGTCTAATTATGTTAAATACTTATCTAAGAGGGATTAGCAGGCTGTTTCTGCTCACTGTCATTCTTTGTGACAATGTAATGATCCATTTACTTATGAGTACAATTATTAAAAAGCATGCTATTTTCTTAACTGTCTTCATATCTTAGAAATATTTTATTAAAAATTACTTATTTGACACTAAGGGTAAATGCTTGGCAGAGTTTGGCATATCAATTAAGTAAATGAGTTAGTTCCATCAGTCATAGTCTTTGTTGGGTTTCTTATTCAAGTTGGGTGAAACTTGATCACCATAATCCTTTCATATTGGAGTTAATGATTCACCCTTTTTTCTCCTCATCTTATTTGTCCAAATCCTAAAGTTTGGTTTTCACTTAAACTAAAAACTGCTCATGGCCGACATTTTCTCTGGAGTCATGATTTAACACTTCTTCTTCACATTCACACCTTTTTTTGGAACCGAACACAAGGATCC